>NC_000002.12:207186587-207489618 GCF_000001405.40 Homo sapiens | reverse complement strand
TAATGCCCCCCCGCAACCCAGGATGTCCACATCCTAATCCCCAGAACCAGTGAATGTGTTACCTAACATGGCAAAAAGGACTTTGCAAATGTGTTCAAGTTAAGGATCTTGAGATGAGCAAATAGCTTGGATTGTCCAGGTGGGACCCATGTAATCACAAGGGTTCTTATCAGAGGGAGGCATTGCACTGGAGGGAGGGAGGAGATTTAAGGCCAGACACAGATATCAGGGAGGGAATGCTGGCCGGGTGCCGTGGCTCATGTCTGTAAGCCCAGCACTTTGGGAGGCTGAGGCAGGAGGATCACTGCAGTCCAGGAGTTCAAGACCAGCCTGGGCAACATGGCGAAACCCCATCTCCACAAAAAAAAAAAATACAAAAAGTACCAGTAGTGGCGCCTGTAGTCCCAGCCTCTCGGGAGGCTGAGATGGGAGTGTTGCTTGAGCCTGGGGGTTGGAGGTTGCAGTGAGTCAAGATTGTGCCACTGCATTCTGGCCTAAGTGACAGAGTGAGACCCTGTCTCAAAAACAAAAAAACAAAGTGAGAGAGGCAATGCTATGCTACTGGCTTTGAAGCTAGAGGAAGGAGTCATGAACCAAAAGAATGTAGGTAATCTCTAGAAACCAGAAAAGCAAGGACACAGATTGTCCTCTAGAGTTTCCAGAGAAAGCACGGCCCTGCCAACAACCTTGATTTTGGCCCAGTGAAGTCCACTTCAGACTTCTGACCTCCAGAGCTGTCAGATAATAAATCTGTAACAATAAATGTTGTTTTAAATAACTAAGTTTCTGTAGGCCATTGAAAACCACCTATGAAAAAATGTAATAAATAACTAAGTTTCTGGTAATTTGCTACAGCACCGATAGGAAACGAATACATGTGCCATATCTGAGAAGCTTTTCTTCATCACCTTTTCCCCCAGGGGCAAGTTAAGGGCCTCTCCTGCTCACTCCCTTACACTCTGATGTTTCTTTTCTGTGCCTCAGTTTTTCCACGTGTAAGACAAGTACTTACTTCACTGGATTCAGATGAGGATTAAATGAGTTAATATCCACGAAGTATTTAAAATAGTCACTTTCCCATAGTAAGTGCCCAATAAATGTTATTGTTATTATTACCCCATCACTGCCCACTTATCACACCATTGTATTTGCCGAATGAAGTAAGTGAGTGGGAATAGAGATTGAGGAGTATGATTAATATTTCCGCCCGTCTCGTGGGCCTGATCCCGGAAGAAAGGGATCTACCTTTCCAGGGCCTCAGCAATCGTTCCTTCTAGAACCTGACTACCAAATATGTTTTCCCCCTTTGTTTTGCCCTTTTGGAGGGTCTGTTTCCTGGGTTTCCTCTTGCACATCCCCCTTGGCTCCCTGCTCTATTGCCTGGAAGCCTGGGACCTCGCCACACTTACTGGCGGCTGCAGCTCCAGGAACCCAGCGTCCAAACCTTGAGTCCCTCTGCTGCTTTCAGAAGGGAATGTAGATCATTTCAAGAAAAAAGGAGAGGGATGAGTCAAAGAAGCGTAGATGGCTTCAAGCTGGCTGACTCAGAGAATGACTAAGAGAAGAAAACTGGAGAGGATGGGAGGACAGTAGCTGGAATGGCTTCCCTTGCTGGCTGTGTGTCCCCGGCACTCTATCCAGCTGCCCCAAGCCTCAGCTTACTGTCCTTCAAGTGCAGCTGATCACAGCACCTGCTTACAAGAGTATCATAAGGGTTAAAGGAAAAGTGACCCTTGAGCACTTAGCACAATGCCCCATCTGCACACAGCACCCTCTAAGTGTCAGCTGGCATTCATTTGAGTAGGAATGATGAGAAAAGGGTATGACCTGTAACAGCAATTTTCCAACTTTTTGGCCTCATAAGGTCTCCTTTATACTCTTAAAATATTATTGAGGACCCCAAAGAGCTCTTGCTTATATGTATATCTAGTAATATTTACCACATAAGAAATTAAAACTGAAACATTAAAAGTATTTATTCTTATAAGAACAATAATAGACCCATTATAGTTAACATGATTTAAAAATAAAACATAGTTAATTCTTCCAAAACAAAAATAATTCTGGTGGCATTGCTTTACATTTTTGCAAATCTCCTCAGTGTCTGGCTTAATAAAAAGATAGCTGGATCCTCATATCTGCATCTCTACTCAGTCTGTTGCAGTATCACATGTCACAAGTCAGATAGCCTCTGGAATACTCCACCGTACACTTGTAAAAGAATGAGAGTTAAAAAGGCAAATGACATCTTGGTATTATTATGAAATAGTTTTGACCTCAGTGACTACCTGTATAGATCTCAGAGGTCCCCAGAACACATTTTGAGAACCACTGACCTATAAGATCTTTTTGCAAAAATGTTTTTGCCGGGCGTGGTGGCTCACGCCTGTAATCCCAGCACTTTGGGAGACCGAGGTGGGCGGATCACAAGGTCAGGAGATCGAGACTATCCTGGCTAACACGGTGAAACCCTATCTCTACTAAAAATACAAAAAATTAGCCGGGCGTGGTGGCGGGCGCCTATAGTCCCAGCTACTCTGGAGGCTGAGGCAGGAGAATGGCGTGAACCCGGGAGGCGGAGCTTGCAGTGAGCCGAGATCGCGCCTCTGCACTCCAGCCTGGGTGACAGAGCAAGACTCCGTCTCAAAAAAAAAAAAAAAAAAAAAAAAAAAGAAAATGTTTTCAATCTGTGTATATAGACCATGATAAAAATGAGATTAAATATTACCTCCATCACATGGGCAAAAATGGAAAAGTTTGACAAAGATGTGAAAAGTGTTTCTGAGATGATGAAACACTGGAGCTCTCAACCTCTGTTAGTAGGAGTATAAATGGTATAAATTGGTTTGATTATTAATTGTTACTAAATTTCTCTTTAGAGTTAAAAATGCTCATATTCTATCATCCACTTATTCTGTTCCTTAGGAGAATTAAGAAACAAATTATGATATAGTTACGTAATTGATGACCACAATTGAAGACTATAATGAGTGGTAATAGTAATAGAATACCAATGAATAGAAACATATAATTCACATAATAGAATGCTGCAACTAAAAATGAATTAACTACAGCCATGTAAACATGAATGCATCTCAAAAACAGTGGTGAGCAAACAGTAAGAGATTCAAGTTCTGTGTACCATTTATTTTATTTTTTAAAAATTATTATTATTATTATTGTTATTCTTGAGACAGAGTTTCACTCTGTCACCCAGGCTGGAGTGCAGTGATATGATCTCGGCTCACCGCAACCTCCTCCTCCCAGGTTCAAGCAATTCTTTTGCTTCAGCCTCCCAAGTAGCTGGGACTACAGGTGTGTACCACCACGCCCGGCTAATTTTTGTATTTTTAGTAGAGACGGGTTTTCACCATGTTGACCAGGCTAGCCTTGAACTCCTGGCCTCAAGTGATCCTCTCACCTCGGCCTCCCAAAGTACTGAGATTATAGGCATGAGCCACTGTGCCTGGCCAGTGTACCATTTATGTAAAGTTTGAAAACATGCAAAGCAAAAATACATGTTGTTAATGAGCACATACATATGTAGTGAAAGTATATAGTCATGCATGGAATGAGAAACACCACATTAAGGACAATGGTTACCCATGAAGAATGAGATAATGAAATCAGGGAGGGGTCTTGGAAGGCCTTAACTATATTTGTAATGTTTTATTTATCTACTTTAAAAATTTGAATTAGAAAAACCTAAAGTGCTGCTTAAGCTGGGCAAAAGAATAAGGCAAGAAAAAAAGTCCAATAAAAATGACACTGACAAAAAAAATTAAAACTCTCTGCATAAAGCCTTTGGACAATGACCCCCAACCCTTTGCTCATGTTGGCTATATGGACAGTGCCTGGTTATGAGGAACTGGGTTTCAATTGTTCATTGGTGATTGATTGCAGGGTGCTTACCATGGATTTTCCCACAGCAGCAGTTAAGCACATTGCCTAAGTGCCTAGACTAGGCCCATCTATCCAGCTCACAGAAACCCATTAACTTTACAACCTGCCTAACCAATGGTAAGAGATCAGCAGGGTTGAGAGGTAGTTGACTGGGAAATTTGTTCTGACTTAGAGAGCCAGGAAGTTCCTCTCTCTGGCAGACCTGGCCTTATCCTTCCTCTACCTTCCTTTCCAGCCACGTATTGGGATAGGAGATTCTCATATTCCTGAACCAATCGAGGTTGGCTGGGGTAGAAACCCTCTCCAATAGGATAGGTCTGGGGTAGGTGAATGGTAGTGGAATTCGGGATCAGGAGATACAGAGATACGGGAGGGGCCAAATCTGCCAGCACAAATCCCTGAGTTGGAATAACTTTTATTTTTTATTTTATTTATTTTTATTTTTTTTTTGAGACAGAGTCTTGCTCTGTCACCCAGGTGATCTCAGCTCACTGCAACGTTCGTCTCCAGGGTTCAAGCATTCCTGTGACTCAGCCTCCTGAGTAGCTAGGATTACAGGCGCATGCCACCATGCCCAGATAATTTTTGTATTTTTTGTAGAGATGGGGTTTCACTATGTTTCCCAGGCTGGTCTTGAACTCCTGACCTCAAGTGATCTGCCTGCCTCAGCCTCCAAAAGTGCTGGGATTATAGGTGTGAACCACCCCACCTGGCCAAGTTGAAATAACTCTTGATTCTCAATCTGCTTTGGAGTCATCCCTCACTGATTTTCTGCTAAGACTTCTTTTACTTCCTCATTTACTGCTACGTGGTTTCTAACCTGACTTACCTCTTCTGTTCCACTGTTGAAAAAGCCACTGTGCCACGGAGCCTCCTGGAGCCTGCCACACAGTAGACACTCAGTTACTGGTGACTCCGTAATTTCCTTCTAGGTGGGGCTGAGGGTTTGGTTGGAAAGAAAGATTTGAAGATGTGTTTATATACATTTTACACAAGATGGAAGCAACATTAGTTGTCCCTCCCTACCAATCTCAACAAGTGTTAGCTCTCCTCCCCCACTTCCATTCTTCTCAGCGTCTGAAGTGAGCACTCAGCTTGGGGATTTGGCAAAGAAGGCAAAGACTAAAAATAAAAAGCAAAAGGAGAGTTAAGAATTTCAAGCATTCTCTAAGAGCCTCCATTAACCGTTGGTTCTGATATTCATTGAAACATAGGTCCAGCTCATTAAAAGTACCTTTGAATTATATTATAAGTTTTTTTTAAAACAATAATAACATATTTAAAAAGACTGCTTATCATTGGGCATTCCTTTTCAGCTCTTGTTACAATGATATATTTCAATAGCTATAGATTATAGGCACATATGCTTTTTATCTTCTTATTCTCTATGCTCCTACCTAGTTGTCATGCTTGTTTTTTAATGCCTGGCTATATTCTGTCAGTGGCTATTAACGGAGTAGAGAACATATGTTCTGGAGTTCTAACTCAGGAAGAGCATCAAGACCTCAGAGGGTTGATTCAATAATTAAAGGTCACAATAGATGTAGCATATTTACAATAGTATGTAGACAGCATAAAGGCTGACTAAATGTTGGCTGTTATCTATAACCATATCAACTCAATTAACTTCATCTTTCTTCTTTACAATGTAAGAGTAACTTTTGGTGGGGAGCGTGCAGGGTGAGGGCAAGAGTAGGGTCTCTGGGATGAGGCACTTGGAGAGGTGCCAGGGTCATTTAGTAATGCTACAGCAGATATTTTTTAAGCACTGCGTGTTTTTTTTTTTTTTTTTTTTTTTTTTTTGCCAGTTTAGCACCAGACACTGAGCAAGCCTCCTGGTCCTTGAAGTTACAAAAAATGAATGACATTTTCTGATCTCAAGTTGCTCAGTGTGTAGTCAGGAAGATGTGAAATGAGGAAACCGCACGTGGGAAGAATGTTCATCCCAGGAGGTCAGGCAGGAGCTAGACCCACACTGGGCTGATGCCCACACTGAACTGAGTAGGGTTCCTCCTAGGAATTGGTCAACTTTTTAGGCAATGACACAAGAAAAAATGCCTAGAAGCCAGATCATGAAGCAGGTTGTATGAAGTCATAAGGAGGGCCCCTCCCCCTGCCCTCAATAGGTGATTCGAGAAGTTACAAAGCACAGAGGGACAGAAGAAATGAGCGATGAAGGTTGACTCTTTATTCTTCTCTCACATTTGTTTCCATCTCTACTACCCCTGCAGATTGGGGCCTCCATAGCACAAGGGTTATAGTTGGGGAAGAGGAGGAAAGAGGAGAGACAGGAGAAAGAAATTCTAGGTAGTGACAGTGGAGAGGAAAGGGGAGTTTTAGGAACCCACTGGCTGGTGCAGTCATTTGTATTTAAGAGATGTATGTAATTTAAGCTTCTAAAAGCCAGAGACTGCCCTAGAAAATAAATTTCCCATGCTATGCAGCAATTCATCAGTACCAAACTTCATCTCCTAGTTATTTATGAGTTTGCATAACTTGAGTAAGTGCCAGGCAAGTTTTTCTGAGTTTGATTCTTCATTTAGTATGTTTATTTTTGAATATTTTCTAAAGTAACTTTTAACCAAGTTAAAAGTTAGATCCTCACACTGAAAGGTGAAGAGTATTAATGTTTGGGAGTAAATAAAACAGTCATTCCAATAACTCCCAACTGAAACAAACTTTTCTCTCAATTATGAGGCAATTAAGCAAAGTGAGGTGGTGTTTTGACGTGAGATATATGAATAACTGAGACTGTAAAGCTAGCAGATGGCATATCAACATATCAAGTTTGTGAGGTAGTTCTGTGAAGTGAAAAAATATGTACAGTTCCAAAAAATATTGAGGTTGACCTAAATACGTTTGCTTATGCTATATGAGTACAAGGCTAACTATGCAACGTTGTTTAAGTGATGACTAGGATACTATTTAAACATCTGAGAGAACAAGTTGATTCCTTTAGCAATTTTTTTTTGAGCAGTCATTTCAATAAGTGCCTTAGAAGTTATATGAAGACTTGATTTCAACTCTAAGAATAAACTACATAATGTTTCAAATCTAATATTATCTAGAAGATCCCAGATGTCATGATACAGTTTAGTTTTGGAACAAGAAATAGTAATTAAAATCAACTAGAAAGTCTAGTGGGAGATCATTCAAAAACTTCATATGCGAGAAACTTTTAAGAGGCAAATAATATGAACAGTGATTTCATCAAAAAGGTGTAAAAAATAAACAGATGGGGACCTTGAAGAAAAAAATGTTATAAAATATCTACTGTTTTTCTTCCAAATAATTTCCAAAAATAATCAAACCTGTAAGAGTTATATAATGTGTAATTAGTAATTATTGTATCTCCTTGAGTTTCTTTCCCCTTTAAAAATATCTCTGCCTGTGGCTGTATATACAGAATTAGAAGAATTTTACTGGCTTCTCAAAACCAGTAAGGGGCGAGGGAGGACAGACCAGATAAGCAGTCATCAGCAATTGCGGTTAGGTTCAGCTGCATGGAAGAGAAACCTGGCTTCCTAGGCTTATACGAGGAAGGTGGATATTTTCCTCATGTGACATGAACCCAGAGCAGGGCAGTCCAGGGCAGGTGCTGGTATCTATGAAGGTCACTTAGGACCTGGGCTCCTTCCTGCTTCTCCACAGTCATCCTGGCTGGAAACTCAGCCATGTGTTTATGCCAGGCAAGAAGAAGTAGAGAGGCAGAGACCTGCAGAGCTGGTGCCTTTTTCAAAAGCTTTCCTGGCAGCTCCACCCTGTGATTTTTTGCTTACATTTAATCAGCCAGCACTAATTCCATGGCCTCCTCTAACCATCAGGGAATAATCCAGGTCAGGGCAGGGTTTTTAAACCGAGTACCTTGCCACCCCAAATGGATTTGAGTTCTCTTGATAAGAAAAAAAGGGAGAATACTTTTATTTTTGATTTTGAAGGTATTTATGTTATCCTGTTTGCCATCAAAAGGAAGTCAGAATTAATCTAGTTCTGTTACGATCTTTCATTTCCTGCTGTATATTATAGTACGTGGTAGACATTCAACAAATGTGGTTGATTGATGAATGGATTCATTTAACCAGTAATTATCAATCATACTACATGTCAGTGTTCTATGATATTTAAAAAGAAATATATATTCCTATCCTTGAGGGATTTATAGTTGCAATTTCAGACATTCATATATATGAAATGATTAGAGAACAATCCAACTGATAAAAAGAGCACAATTCTTCATCTGTGTTTTGCTTTCTATTGTTCGTGCTATTATTGTACTGCTACACTGGATTTGGTTCCAGGACTATTTTCATCAAATTATTTGGTTAAATATGCCCAGTGGTGCAGAAAAACAATGGAGGCATTAGATACTTGGGTTTTCATAGCATCAGGGTTGTGGATGGTCATACAGCTTTTGTGCTTCTCATTTTCTCTCTATAAAACATGCCATAGCAATGGCCATCCAGCATAGGCATTGGATAGACAAGGGGAGATGAAGACAATTAGGAGCATGCCTGGGCTCTGAAGTCAGGCTTCCTGGATTCCTCTTCCAGGTCTGCCATTTACTAGTGTAACCAAGGGTGTGTGTCCTACTTTCCCCATCCAACAAGTGGGGCAATAACTGTACAAACTACAGGGGCTGATGTGAAGCTTGTGCTAACATATGAAAAGTATTTAGAAAGAGCTTGGCATGTAGTAAACACTCAATAAAAGTTAGCTACTATTATGTAGTGTTTTCCAATGGTTTATTTAGAAGCAAAATAGTATCAGTCTAGAAGTCCAGGCTTGTTTTTCTCCCAAACATGTTTTCACAAGTGCTTCCATGGTCTCCTTCTCCTTTTCTTCTTCCTCTTCCTCTAAAAACATATTTTGCTGTGTCTGCTTGGTCATCTTTCACTGGGCCAGAGAAAGAATCCCTGAGGGTTGGACAAGGGGAGCAGCTGAGTTGGTGAGAAAAGGAGCCCAGCAGGTTGAATGCCTCGAACCACTGTGATGAGCTCTTGAGCTGGGTGCCAATCAAAGTGAAGCAGTGGGGCTTGCCAGGTGAGATGTTAATTTCAGCGGTCACACGTGTCCCTGTCTGGACTCTCCCTAGGACTCTTGACCCTACCCTGCAGTGGTTTGAAATGGATTTTATTAGGCTTTCATTACATTCTCATATCATTTTTTTCACTTGGTATCTAAGCTACACGAGAGCCAGTATAGTGCTTTGTCCTTGGCTAATACTCTACCCAGACCTCTCCTGAGTGTCCAGCTCTCTCTCTCTGCTGCACCAAATCTAGAGTGAGGTCAGGGGCTTAGAAACTCAACTCAACTTGTTAATCAATGAAGCGGTGAGGCTATTTTGTCCCTTTCTTAAACTTCTTTCTAAAGCAGAATTATAAATAGGATACTCTGTGACCTATGGGTCAAAAAGGGAACAATCGGGCAAATGATTTTTGATTGTAATATCTATTATGACCATAATATATTAATAATGAATGTCAAGGATTTGGCTCGAAGACAATAAAAGCAAAGGTGCCACATATGTGCTCTCTTTCTCCCTTTCTACAGTACTGATTTCATAACTTATCTTTAGGTAGAGTGGAAATTAGATTTTAAAAAGTGAGTAAAAGTTTTCACCCGAAAAAGTAATTTGTTAATTTTTATCTTGAATAACTCCTTGACTGATGAAACTCCATTTTGTCTTATACTGTTTGCAAACAAAAAAGAAACAATAATCCACACTAATAAGCACATCTGAGAATGCCTTTAAAACCCCTTTATTTGCCTAATTGGAGAAATTTTCTGGAATGATTGTCAATGGAAAACAGTTACAGCATTTGTGTCTAAATATATCTTCTTGCTTTTGTTCTACTTCCACCTGAGTGTTTTTAAAATTCTTATGTAGAGTTGATCTTCCTTTGTTAAGGATACTAGTTTTCAGAGTAAGGTTTTTTTTTTAAGAAAATCATTTAAAACATTTATACTACCCTAAGCTTCCACAGTTCTTGTTGAGAGTATTTTTCTCTTTGAATTTCAAGGGAGTGATGTCTTGTTGGCATGTTTGATGTTGTGGATGTGGGTTTCACTTTATTCGAGCAAAGCATTTAGAAAGCTCCAAGAATTTCTCTCATCTTCCTGGGTTGAGGGAAATGTAAACAGTGACAAACAGTTCTTCAAACTCTCCCTGATTTTTTTTCTTGTGGTGTTACTTTCCACAGAGTTCAAACACATGGGCTTTTAAGAAGAGATAATAATCTCATTTGACAGTAAGCAATAGTTATTATGACGCAGATTAGTCAGTATTTTGTGAAATATCAAATAATCAAGTAGTTTGGATCTGCTAGACCCCTCCCATTTCAATCATTATGCATGAAGTTGATGACCTTCATCCTTGTGACCCCACAAAGATCTTTATGACACTTATGTGTGAACTTAGAGCATTTTTCTACTCAACCGCAGCGCTGCTAACTCTGTTTGGGACGGAGGAGCTGCCTGTGCATTATAGGCTATTTAACAGCATCCATGGCCTCTCCCTATTAGATGCTAGTAGGACCCCTTCCTCTAGTGTGACAATAAACGGTGTATTCTGACATGGCCAAATGTCCCCGGGGAGCAATATTGCCTCCCATTGCCGTGGGGACCTCAGCCATCAACCTATGATGGGTAAAGGAAAAGATATTTTTCTTCTCCTACAGTTAAAAACATAAAAATTAGAAAATCCCCGGGAAATATTTTTATATCACCAGCAAATATCCTGACTAGTCAAAATGAGGCTTGCCATCAAAAGGAAGTCAGGATTCATCTATTTCTATTATGACCTTTCATTTCCTGCTGCATATTATAGTACATAGTAGACATTCAACAAATGCCTTTGCCTCCCATTGAGAACCACTGTCTTACAGCAATCTTCAGTCCAGGAGTATAGTGACAGTTTTTCACTACAATGAACAAAATTACTAGAGGATGTTAGGAGTTAGAAACCCCAGATTGCTGATGGGGCAACATAGGCACAGAAGTTTACACATGCCCAGTCTGTCGTAAGAGAGGGAGGCCGAGTCCCACTTCCCATAGTGCTTGGATCAGTCTGCCTGATAGTGCTTGCTTGATAATTACCGGTTAAATGAATCCATCCATCAGTCAACCACATTTGTTGAATGTCTACTATGTACTATAATATGCAGCAGGAAATGAAAGGTCATAATAGAAATAGATGAATCCTGACTTCCTTTTGATGGCAAGCCTCACTTTGACTAGTCAGGATATTTGCTGGTGATATAAAAATATTTCCCAGGGATTTTCTAATTTTTATGTTTTTAACTGTAGAAGAAAAATATCTTTTCCTTTACCCATCGTAGGTTGATGGCTGAGGTCCCCACAGCAAAAGACAGATTAACAAAAGGATACAAATGTGTTTAATATAAATTTTATGTGACATGAGGGCCCTCATAAAGAAATGAAGACCCCCAAGAAATGGGTAAATGTGAGTATTTTCATGCTAGGTTTGATGAACAGTGAAGAGTCATGGAGAAATACGATAGGGTGAAAAGGGTGTGATCTAATGGTAAGGCACTGGGGGAAATTTAGCAAGACCTGATTGTTCAGATTCTTTTCTGTGACCCTAGGTCTTCAGAGATAAGGATGTTTTTTCCCTCCAGGCATAGGGAGGACGCCTCGCACATGAAGCTGTTAGCACCTGCTTCAGAGAAGGGTAGCGGTATGATGAGAGTGGACTTGCTGCTTCTGTCATTTTTCTCAAATTCTTTCAGCTGAAAATATTCTGGGATAGTCTGTCCTGAACCCCATATCGTAACTTATATATTAAGTATATAAAAAAAAATTTTAAGTAATGGTTGCAGTAGCAATCAGTAATCAATCAAGTCCATTAAAAATAAAAATTGTGGCCGGGCCTGGTGGCTCATGCCTGTAATCCCAGCACTTTGGGAAGCCGAGGTGGGTGGATCACCTGAAGTCAGGAGTTCAAGACCAGCCTGGCCAACATGGCGAAACCCCATCTCTACTAAAAATACAAAAATTAGCTGGGTGTGGTGGTACGCATCTGTAATCCCAGCTACTGGGGAGGATGAGGCAGGAGAATTGCTTGAACCTGAGAGGTGGAGGTTGCAGTGAGCTGAGATTGTGCCATTGCACTCCAGCCTGGGTGACAGAGCCAGACATTGTCTCCAGAAAAAAAAAAAAAGAAAATAAAATTGTAAAGAGTTTTATTTCCTTTCTCCCAACCTCTATCTTTTAAAAAGTTATTATTTGTTATATAAGATATGATTATATAGCAATAGCTTCCTTTTTCATAAGGTCCCCTTTGAATAACTCTTTCATATTTACTGTATATCAAATGCTGCATCGTCTGATGCTATCTTGGTCTTTCTAGCATACATTTCTTTTGTAGACTCTGAATACTTAACACATGTCTTCTGATTTATGGTTATTTTAAAAAATCTTGGTGAGGTAGGAGGAACAAGTATCATTGTCTCTTATTTATGGAGTATTAAAAGGTAAAGAGGGTTTAAATGGATTACTTAATGCCACAGACTTTATCCAGGAAAAAGCTTTGAGTAAGATCCCAGGTTTTCTGCTTCCTAATTCAATGTGCTTTCCGTTAGCCTGTTTTAATCATTTTAAATGTAGATTTATATAAAAACTTCCTTTACAAAAACTTCAGGTGCTTTAGAGATAACCTGTAATTCAAATAATGCCTAAAACCCTTGCGGGATGTTGTAACGATGACAGGATAAAGTGGAAGAAAAGTGTATGGGAAATGAAAAGGAATACGTCAGAATTAGTGCTCATAAACTTTGTCCCCTGCCCAAGTGCTATTTAAATTTCCTGAGCTTTGTGGATGTTAAAGAATAAATATGTGCCTCACAATTCTCAGAGACAGAACCAAAAAGGATGTAACTTAAAGGTCTACAGAGTGCAGGCAACTAGTGAAAACCGGTGAGATGAGCTGGGTTCATGTCAGGGAGGGGTAGGGATAATGGCAAACAATAGTGATGTGCTCTCTGTAAAGGGGCAGTCACTCATCAGTTCCAGTGGAAGGATTGGCCCAGTCACGCCAAGTCCTCTGACTTTACTGAGAAACCCAAAATTGGATTTTTATGTAAAATATTTTGATTAAAAGAACAAACAATGCAGGCCACATTAGTATGTCTGCAAGTGACTTATGCCCCACAGGCCTCAGTCCACTCTTGGCATATTTTTGACTTTTAACTATTTTCAGATTTAGAGCTCCACTAAGAATAACAGTTGATCTGTTAGGTGGAAAGGTTCCTTTCACTTGCAAATATTCCTGAAGATGGGTCTTGAAGGTAGCTTGATTCCTTTCTTTCTTTTCTTTCTTTTTCTTTCCTTTTCTTTCTTTCTTTCTTTCTTTATTTCTTTCTTTCTTTCTTTCTTTCTCTCTCTCTCTTTCTTTCTTTCTTTCTTTCCTTCTTTCCTTCTTTCTTTCTTTCTTTCTTTCTTTCTTTCTTTCTTTCTTTCTTTCTTTCTCTTTCTTTCTCTCTTTCTTTCTTTCTCTCTCTCTCTCTGTCTCTCTCTCTCTCTCTCTCTATCTTTCTTTCGAGACAGAGTCTTGCTCTGTCGCCCAGGCTGCAGTGCAGTGGCATGATTTCGGCTCACTGCAACCTCCACCCACCGGGTTCAAACACTTCTCCTGCCTCAGCCTCCCCAGTAGCTGGGATTACAGGCATGCGCCACCATACCCGGCTAATTTTTGTATTTTTGGTAGAGATGGGGTTTTACCATGTTGGCCAGGCTGGTCTCGAACTCCTGACGTCAGATGATCCACCGGCCTTGGCCTCCCAAAGTGCTAGGATTACAGGCATGAGCCACCACGCCCAGCCAATTCCTCTCTTTTTACAAAAGTACTCCCCAACCTTATTTCTTTAAAAGGCATTTCCTTTGCTTAGGACTGCTGTCTACCCACTGTTCACATCACAGCTCCTGTGTAGGTGTGTCCTCTCACAGCACGGGGGCTCATGACACAGGCATGCAGGCAGCAGGCTTCTGTTCAGTGGTTCAGGAGTTGTCACTCAGGTCCAAGAAAACTGCTTTGCAGCATCTACCCTTGGCATGGTAACTCTTATTGATAGCCTCCTCTTGGTCTGTCATTTCTCTGTAATTCCTGCCCTGCAGGAAACCAGAAAGTGATTTTCTATGCACAACCATGAACCATGTTTTTACCTAAAAATATATTTATGAACTGATCTCTTGTTTCCTCCAAATATTAAACCCTTTTCCTTAGAATGGAAGAGGACAGTCATTTCTATAAGATCATGTTCAGATTAGAGACGCAAACATTTTCTGTCCTAGAGTTCTTCGAAGTTTACTGTCATGAGAAAACATTTCTTCCCTGAGGAATTGAATTCTGAAAGTTCAGGAGCCCAGTAGCATCATAATTTTTTTCCATTCATTTCTTCCAGTGCCCTATAAAACAATCGCAAAAATAATACAAACTCGATCCCAAATTAGATATAAAATATGCAAAGGTGTTGTGCTATGTAAGTAATGTACTTATTATCACATATGCGATGCAAATGGATGCAACATTCTACAGAATACTTCGGGAAAATAGAGAACGTAAAAATGTTCTGATTTTAATCACAAAATAATTCTATTCAGAAGTTAGCCACGAGAGGGCAGCATTGTCTACACAAACACAGAATGGCGACTGCATTTGAACCTCAGACATTTTCGTGAGGCTGTTTCACCATTTGGTTTCAATCACAGGGAATGATCATAGAAACAGCATCATTGATGCTTAAATTCACAGTTTTTAAAATAAAAACTCTAATCTCTTCGTCTGCGCAACCATTAGGACAAGGCTAAATATCGTGGAACAATGACACATATTTTTCTTATATTTCTCTGTCTTTTCCAGCATGTCTTCTTTACGCTCTACGCTCCGTTTCTGTAGTTTACTTACTTTGAAAAAAAAAAAAATCACCCGACTATTATTATGATTCTGGCCACATGAATCCCAGTGAGCATCAATTTCTTTGTCTACGGAACTTTTTTTTTCCCCTGGAGTCTTGCTCTGTCGCCCAGGCTGCAGTGCAGTGGTGCGATCTTGGCTCACTGCAACCTCCGCCTCCCGGGTTCAGGTGATTCTCCTGCCTCAGCCTCCTGAGTAGCTGGGATTACAGGCGCCCGCCACCATGCCCAACTAATTTTTGTATTTTTAGTAGAGACGAGGTTTCACCATGTTGGCCAGGATGGTCTCGATCTCTTGGCCTCGTGATCCACCTGCCTCGGCCTCCCGAAGTGCTGGGATTATAGGCGTGAGCCACCGCGCCCGGCCATCTACAGAACTGGTAAGCAGTCTAGGGTAGTAAATAGAAACAGGGCCCCAGCTGTGGGCAGGGGCTGCTTCTGCCACTTCGAGATTTGCTTTTCCCCATAGATGAACTGAAGGTAATAACAGCATCTGCCTCTCACTGTGCTGTTGTGAGGATGCACTTTATAATGGATTTCATAAGGTGCCTGGCACATAGAAAGTGCTCAGTAAACATTGCGGTAACAGTGGTGGACTCTTTTTTTTTTTAATTGAATGAGTTGTCAACATTTAAAAATCTGGAGAGCTCACATAAAAATCCTCACTGATCAGTTTTGTCCACATATATTACTTGCCCGGCTTCTGTGGGCACGCGGGTTGTGGTCCTTCGTGAGCCCTTCCATCTCCCACCATCTGTTTATTGCCTTTAGATGATGATAAAAAAAAACTGCACCATGGCCAGCAAGAACAGCTGTAGGAAGGAAGACTTCAGATTTTTTCTCCAAGTTGCAGAAGATGATTGTGCTCAGTCCTAACAACTCTCTGTAGATTCTTTTATCTGAGCAATCCAAAGCCCTTAGCGCTGCAGTTTAATCTAATTTGTTTCTTTTGTCAGATTTCATTTTGAGGCTGAAGCCTTTGAGAGACTAGCAGAGAGCATTTCCTATGGGAAATTTGGTTTCATTCATTCCTAGGTGGCAGGTTGGGGGGTCAGGATTGTCAAACTGGGGAGGACATCTGATGCCTGATGGTAAAACAAAAAGCCACCAGGGACAGGCTTAGGACAGTTCCACTGTGACATCCTTTTTCCTTTTTTCCCCTTCACTTCCTCAGCCCCCCTACCCCATGTGTTAAATGGGTTTTCTTATTTTTAATCTTAAAGAAAAAGAATTTGTGTTTATAAAATAAGATTTAAAAGGTTATTTCCTCCTCACAGTGGGAATCCAGGGAGATAGCTTGGCAGCCCCCAGGAGCTCAGGGAGGAACTCAGCAATCCTCTCATCTGTCTTACAGAACCGTGCTAAGTTACCAAAGGAAACCACCACTCATTTATCTAAACCCTTTGCAGTTAAATGCTCAGAGACGAATGCGCTTGTTGCAACTGCTCTCAGGGTGGCAGCAGACACTCAGAATGGTGTTTCGATTTAACTTATTGCATTTCAGCTAATTGAAAAGCAGAGCACATCGAAGGGCCTCTGTGAGAACACTTTTCAGACTATAAATCGGGGCTGGAGGAGATGTTTAATTAAATCAGTCCTGAGGTCACAGGAAGGAAAAGCAAACCTCTCCCTCCCAGACTTGACCTGGTTCACGTAGCATGGCAGCTGGAGAACTTGGAAATGTGTTAGTAGGACTAATGTAAATATACCAGATTAAAGCACTTCCCCGCCAGACTACGAAGCAAGAAATCGGATCTAGAGACAGACAATGGCTCTGACCTTCCAGTTTAATTCTGTATGCAAGAAACACACAGATGAAGATGGCCGGAGAGGCCGAATTGCTACGTTTCAGATTGCAGTGCGAGGACAGACTTTCTTAAAAGAGCTTATTTCCAAAGAATTCTGTTATTTGCGAGCAGGGACTTGGGAAGCCTTGAGTCAGTCCTGGGTCAGAACTGAGTGTTTGAAGGGGTGAATCATTAACTAAAACCCAACAGTTCATGAAGGAGGAAACCTAGTTAGAATTTGGGATCCTAGACAGGACACTAGCCAGGTGTCATCTGCAACAAAGGAAAGCGTGGCCAACCCAGCGTGGCCCACACAGGAAGGCTCCACACAAACCTATTGGTCTCACTTTTCTTGCTGAATTCTCTCTCAGGTTCATGGGCTTGTATGATGAATGTTCATGCAACATCTCTCAACAGCCTTCTCTCCCCATCCTTCCCAAATTTAAAGATAGGATCACGTGACAGAAAGAAAAAGAGCAGAATGTAAATGTGAAATCATAGCATTTGAAGGTGTGATCTTGGTTTTTAGCTAGAAGACGAGGAAGCTGAAGAAGTAACTAATTCAGGCCGGGCATGGTGGCTCATGCCTGTAATCTCAGCACTTTGGGAGGCTGAAGTAAGCAGATCTCTTGAGCCCATGAGTTAGAGACCAGCCTGGGCAACATGGTGAAACCCTGTCTCTACAAAAATGCAAAAATTAGCCGGGAGCAGTGGTGCACTCCTGTATTCCTAACTACTTGGGAGGCTGAGGCGGGAGGTTGGCTTGAACCTGGCAGGTGGAGTTGCAGTGAGCTGAGATCACACCAGATCTGCACTCCAGCCTGGGCAATAGAGCCAGACCTTGTCTCCTTAAGATAATAATAATAATAATAATAAAAGTAATTAATTCAGTCCAGCCAGTCAGCATAGGGAGCTAGCATGTTGGTCATAATTGCATGGCCCAGTCTGGAGCACATAGGTTCCTGTGATGAGCATCATGATGTGAAACAAAGCAGTCAGTGCCTTGGAATCATTACCCACTCCCCTTGCATCTCTAATCGTATATTGATTATGCTTATTTTTCATTCATAATTTTCTATGACTCCTTATTTCCCATGATACATCCAATTTCCCATGAAAGATCCATATCAGTCCTATTACCCCTTTGGATCTATTTGTTTGCTGGATCAATTCTCATTAAGACTTTAGTTTCACAGTTGTGGGAGGAGGGCAGGAGAGCTGTAGGGGAGGCATTTATTCACTTCTCCTGGTATCTGAGCAGGTAGACACAAAAACCTCTCCCCATGCCGTTTTTTCCTTATCTCTTCCTCTTGGATACTTTCTTGGTTTCCACTCTCTCCTCCTGTTTTCCTCTCCCTTCCAGACTGCAAAGAGGACCTGAAGGATGAGATCAGGGTTTGTGATAGAGGTCAAGCGTCTGCCTTACCTTAGGCAGCTGCCCCTTATCCCTCTTCCTGTTCTAATGATCAGCAAAGGAAGGAGCAGATGAGGGATCAGAAGAAGAGAAATAAGGACAGCAAAGCCAAAAGGTCCTGCAGGACAGGGGGTCTGGAGGCAGAAACTTGAGATCCAATGCTGAGATGGATGAGATGTTTGACTTGAGCAGTCATTCACCTCTCTGGGCCTCAGTTATCACAGCTGTAAATCAGAGGAACAGATTGGACGTGCTCTAAGCCTGGCTCTGGGGTTCTACGAGTCTATGAACTAGGAAACAGCAGTTTACAATTTGAAAACGCTGCAGG
Source organism: Homo sapiens (assembly GCF_000001405.40). Lineage (NCBI taxonomy): Eukaryota > Metazoa > Chordata > Mammalia > Primates > Hominidae > Homo > Homo sapiens. The sequence goes on along the minus strand of NC_000002.12, from coordinate 207,471,257 downwards.
ATGCTTGTAAAGTTAATTTACAAAAAAAAAAAACAAAACCAATAGCAACAACAACAAAACCCTTCCTGTGATATATGTATTTATACCCCATCACTGATACCATTATGTATGAATAACTTACTAGAACCAATCAAAAAAAGAAAAGAAAAAGCACCGAAGGGCAGAATGATGAAGTTGGCGATGATGCCACCAGCTCATTCTGGTGAGTGAGTGATTTGTTTATTTCCTCTGTGCTTGGGGTTGCCGCTAAATCTGGGCTGGAGAAACCAGTAAATATTTTTAATGTGACAAGAAAATCAGAGCATTTGGTGCCTTACACATTGTTGTTACTACAAGTTTTATTTCTTCTTTTATTGTTGGCCATAACCTTTTGAGCCTGATCTGGTACAAGAGCCCTGTGCAATCCCAAAAAAGGTGAGAGGCCAGATGTAGCCATCTCTGTGTGCTGGGCCATCTGCTGGTAATTCATGAGACAATGGCCAGGGCCCTTCTGATACAGTGCATGGAGCCGATTTGTTACACAATTCAAAGATATTTATTTTTATTCTGGTCTTACCATATATATCTTAGCCTAATCATGTAGAGGGGTTCAAAACCTCTTTAGACCAATACACATTTGCACCATTTACATTGTGCATCTTGATCTGCCCACTAGCAAGTTTGTTATCTTCTCTCCAGAGCATCAAGTAAAGGAAACACACACACACACAGAAACACACACACACACATACACACACCCTCAAACCATCTGCTCATCCTTGTGAAAACCTAATAAAAGTAACAGCAAAGAGAGGCAGGGTTTATTCAATTTTGTCTAGATCTGGGCAACATTAATTTCCTTGTCTCAAGACAGCCTATATCAGAGAAGGATTTGATAAAACTCAGGAAGGACAGAAGCAGGACTGGTGAGGTTCACTTAATTACTCCTTGTGGCACAGAGACAGTTAAACTTAAAAAAAAAATTGAAATGCAATCCTGGCTCATGTTACCCATTAGCTGGGTATATTGACCAAACTTATAGTCAGATAATGCAAACAATAACAAAGTTATTGATTGAGGAGATGTCAGGCAAATAGGTACTTATCATGATGCTGCTGATAAGCTCTGGATTTCCCTGCTATGGCAGCGACAGAGGCCTATTGATTTTGCAGTTGGTCATCTGTGGCTTCCAGCTGACATGGGATCTGTGGCTGATTCTATATGCAGGAGCTGCACTCATAGCAGGACACCGCAATTACCTAAGAGAATGCCACCCAACTCTGGCCATGGGGAAAGGAAGGGTTGAGTCCACATCAAAAAGAGGCACCTGCAAGCAAAACCTGGCAGTGCCACTAGGTCACAGAATGCTTTGGGGCTGTCTCCTCCTGAGCGTGCATTTCTTTCCCCTATGACTGGAAGATACACACAAGATCAGGTCCTTAAGCAGCTGGCATTAGCGCTGAGCTTTGAGCTGACCAGTAGGGGTGCGGAAGACAGATGAGACCTGCAGACCCTCCCCACTGAACACCAAATGTATCACCTCCACAGCACATCTGCTCCCCAAACCTGGGCCTTCCAGTTGGCAGGGAAATCTGGCCAGACGTATTATTATTGCTTCTCCCAGCATGTGATCAGCCTGAGGCATTCATGGTTGATTGTCTAAATTTTAGATGTGAACCAGCAAAACGCCATCTCTCTTAGCACTTTTAGTATTAGCCAATTACATGGCCGTGGAGGAGATATAATAATACTCATTATTTTTTGGATAGCCTTGCACGAAAAGGATGCTTGATGTCTGCCAAACAGACCCAGGCAATTGTTTGACATTCGAGCATGCGAGGGAGAGGGAAGCTGGTGTGGTGTGGAGGATGAGAGGAGTCGGGGGTTATTTATTTCTTACTTTCCCGTAGATAATTCTGGAGATGACTTGCGGGCCTCATAAGTGAAGGGCCAAAACATTTTGTGTTCATTGTTGACAGTTCTTTTTCATGCAAAATGATGTCAAAGGATATGTGATATTTAACCAAAGATTATACCCTAGGTAGGAAGAAGAATTCCATCTATTCATTCGTTCCAGCCATCATTCATTCAATGGACAATCTTTGGAGGATCTGCTGTGTGCTGGCATGGTGCATGCACAGAGCTGGCTAGAGCAGGTGGATGAGGGAGCCCTATCCTGCCCTTCTGTTGGTTTCCATCTGATGAGGGGAGAGCAGGGTGGAGGCAGTCCGTTCGCAAACATGCATAGCTACTTGTGGCTCTACTTTTGGAGATTTTCCTGCTCTTGTAAATAAGCGTGGACCTCTTTTGGAGGCCTGGGATTACTCTGTGGGAAAACTGCTGTTGGTCTTTGTGGTGTTATGGTATCTATACGGTTCTGGGCTCATTGCTCTCATAGCCCTTGTTCCAGTCTTTTGTTAGAATGCTGGGTGTATTAGGCCTCAGGGGCAGGCCTCTGACTTTCTCCTGCCCTCCTTTCACCTGCCCCAAGGCAGGACTCTACCCTTCTTCTGCCTTCCTGACTGTGAGTCTTAAGATCCTCCCATGAGAGGGTTTCACCCTATACTCTGGGGGAAGAAACACTGACGTCACAAAGCTTCCATAAATACCTAAGAGGACAGGCTTCAAGGAGCTTCCGGATAGCTGAACATGTGGAGGTTCCTGGAGGAGAGTGCCCAGGGAGGGCATGGAAGCTCCACACCCCTTCCCCATACATCGCCCTACGCTTCTCTTCATCTGTACCCTTTGCAATATCCTTTATAATAAACCAGTAAACATAAGTGTTTCCATGAGTTCTGTGAGCTGCTCTAGCAGATTAATTGAACCCAAGGAGGGGGTCGCGGGAACCTCAAGTAAGAAGTTCCGGAGGCTCAGATTTGCGCCTGGTGTGTGTGTGTGTGTGTGTGTGTGTGTGTGTGTGTGTGTCTTGGCAGAGGGGGCAGTTTTGGGGACTGAACTCCCAAGCTGTGGGATCTGACACTAATAGTGTTGGAACTGAATTAGAGGACACCCAGCTGGTGTCCCCTGCTTGGTGGTAGGGAGAAACCCTCACACATTTGGTCACAGAAATCTTCTGTGTTGATTGCTGTGGTGTGAGAGCAGAGGGAAACACGGTTAGGGAGTGCTCTCTACACAGTCCTAAAGCCGCCACTTTCTGATCTGGGGTGTCCAGCAATACAGATGTTGTTTTCTGTTTTCGAGACAACATCTTGTTGTTGTTTTGTTTTCTTTTTTGAGTTGTCTTTCAGAACTTATTTTTAATATCCTCAGTCCTTTGAGGGTGAGTTGAATTTGACTTTTAGAAACAGTGAAACGTCATCTGGCCTTACATCTGGTGAACGTGGTGGGGATGAATCATCACCATCTTTCTTCAGTTGTTGTTAAAAATGTGTGACTATAAAGTAATGCGATGGATTTTTTTTTTTTTGGGAGGGGTGATGGTGGGGTAAGGCTCCTGAAGGCATTCTAAAAGTGATCACAGAGGAGGGCTTCTGAAGCCTTTTAAACAATGGCAACATCTTTGTTACAGAAAAGCAGGACAGAGGAGAGAACACAGGCTCAGAGGTCTAAGAGCTGGGGCTTCTCACCTTGACACCTTCACATCCTTGCTGTGTAACATTAGAGCAGTTACTTAGCCCACTCTAAGCCTCAAGCTGATCATTTGCACAATGAAGCTAATTTGACCCACTACATGAGTTATCGTGAGGATTCAATAACATAAAATAACTAATGGCAAAGCATTGGGTTCAGTGCCTGACACATGGTAGTTGTTATTATCAATAATACATGAAGAGCTTCCCAAAAGGAATGTAAGGAATGTGTGTGTGTGTGTGTGTGTGTGTGTGTGTGTGTGTGTGTATTTATTTATTATTATTATTTTTTTTTAGACAGAGACTTGCTCTATTGCCCAGGCTGGAGTGCAGTGATGCGATCTTGGCTCACTGCAACCTCAACCTCCTGGGCTCAAGTGATTCTTCTGCCTCAGCCTCATGAGTAGTTGGGATTACAAGTGCCTACCACCACGCCTGGCTAATTCCAAAAGGAATAATTTGAAGGGAACGAATAATTTTTTTGGAACTATAATTTCCAACCTGTTTACAAAGTATATCCACGCCATGTTTTGCATCGCTGACTTCTGTGCTAGGCATTATCCATCGGCTGCCCCAGATCTACCCTCTATTCTTCTGCCCTTGCTCTGTGCTCTGTGTGGACTCTATGGGGCAGATTTTAATTTCCTAGAATTCACACTAGGGTGGCTCTGCCGAGTGGTCGGAGAGTGGTTGGTTGGAATGTTTACTTACCCAGCTTGCTTTGCCGGAGGGTGGAGTTCTTTCCTGGGGCCACAGCTCTCAAGTTCTAGCCTCTCTCTGGCAGCCATGGCTCTGCTCCCTTTCTGCCGTCTCCCCTAGACCTGGCAGCAGCACTGCTGTTGCTAGCCCCAGGGTGCTTCACCATCCTTATTGCTTTATTTTAGCTCTACCCATATCCACAAATAGACTCCTCCCTGAAGTTTCCTCAATTACCATGTCTGGATCCCTGACTGATAGACCCAGTTACTGTATAGTCAGTCTTCTAGTGTTGATCTATTTCTTTATAAGATAAAAATGGTTTGATTGGGCAGGCACATTGGCTTATGCCTGTAATCCCAGCACTTTGAGGGGCTGAAACGGGAGAATCGCTTGAGCTCGGGAGTTTGAGACCAGCCTGGGCAACATAGCGAGACGACGTCTCTAATAAAAAAAAAAAATTATCTAGGTGTAGTGGCATGCTTTTGTAGTCCCAGCTACTCGGGAGGCTGAGGCGGTGGGATGTGGGAGATCGAGGCTGCAGTGAGCTATGATCGCACCACGGCACTCCTTCCTGAGTGACAGGAGTCAGACCCTGTCTCAAAATTAAGTAAATAAAATAAAAATAAAGGATTTGACTGTATTGATTGTGTCTGGAAAGAGAATAGGATCTTAGAAATTTGGAACCATGCAGAAAACAGAACTTACAGAGAAACTGAGAACAGGCTTCAGAAATGGATACACTGGCACTCAGAATTTGCTTTCCGGGCAAATTGTGGGGTTTTGCTCTTTCTATTTTCCTCCTGTAATGTTACACATGTCTTCATGTTAAGTGCCTGCATTGTCAGAGGAGCACTCAGAATAAGTAATGCTACTCAGTGAGTCACAAATGGAATCCATGTCAGGCAGTGTCATGAAATGGATCTATAACTGGCTTTTTGTCCCTCAATTTGAGATGATCTAATTCAATTTCTGTGATTTATAGCTTGAGAGAAGACACTTTCTGTCCTCCTCCCAAACTTTGTTCTGTTTCTGTCTTACTCCCAAATTTCCTGGGATCTGAAGGAAATTCATTTTTGTTTTTTTATATTTTTAATTTTTTTTGAGACAGTCTTGCTGTATCGCCAGGCTGGAGTGCAGTGGCGTGATCTCGGCTCACTGCAACCTCCGCCTCCCGGGTTCAAGCGATTCTCCTGCCTCAGCCGCTTGAGTAGCTGGGACTACAGGCATGCGTCACCATGCCCAGCTAATTTTTTTGTATTTTTAGTAGAGACAGGGTTTCACCATGTTGGCCAGGATGGTCTCGATCTCCTGACCTCGTGATCCGCCCACCTCGGCCTCCCAAAGTTCTGGGATTACAGGCGTGAGCCACCAACATGCCTGGCTGGAAATTCATTTCTAAAGGCAAACCTGAGCCCATCTCCGTGGCCCAGTGATAATTATAATTACTTTGCTTTATCATTGCTTTGAACACAGGAGATATGAAGTATCATGGAAGCCAATCTGTGTGTCTGATATTAAGATGAAATTTCTTTTGCAGGAAAATCAAATGATTTTTTCTTTTTCTTTCTTTCTTTTTTTTTTTTTTTTTTTGAGACGGAGCCTTGCTCTGTCTCCCAGGCTAGAGTGCAGCGATCTGGACTCACTGAAATCTCCGCCTCCCAAGTTCAAGCAATTCTGCCTCACCCTCCCAAGTAACTGAGATTACAGGCACCCACCACTGCGCCCAGCTAATTTTTGTATTTTTAGTAGAGATGGGGTTTCACCATCTTGGCTAGGCTGGTCTCGAACTCCTGGCCTCATGATCCACCTGCCTCAGCCTCCCAAAGTGCTGGGATTATAGGCGTGAGCCACCGCGCCTGGCCTTTTTTTTTTTTTTTTTTTTTTGAGACGGAGTCTTGCTCTTTCGCCCAGGCTGGAGTGCAGTGGTGCAATCTTGGCTCCCTGCAACCTCCGCCTCCCGGGTTCAAGCGATTCTCCTGCCTCAGCCTCCCTAGTAGCTGGGACTACAGGTGCCCACCACCACGCCTGGCTAACTTTTGTACTTTTAGTAGAGACGGGGTTTCACCATATTGGCCGGGCTGGTCTCGAACTCCTGACCTTGTGGTCTGCCCACCTCAGCCTCCCAAAGTGCTGGGATTACAGGTGTGAGCCACCGTGCCTGGCCAATCAAATGACTTTTTGAGACATTGGCTATGCAAAGCAAGAGGACTGTGTTAAAATAACTGGTCTAATTGCCAACATGAGCTGCTATTTTAAAAATAGGTGTAGAGCTCAAGTAGCTACTGTCATGGATACTGTCCAACCTAATTCCTTCTACCAGGCTGCTGCAACATCTTCAGCAACATCTCCAGCTGCTGGGAGTGTTGGCTGCTAACGTCACACAGTTTCCCTTTCTCCAAAGAATTGCCCCCATCAACAGGAGGTTCTTTGCAGGAAGTTACTGCCCTCTCTGCTTAGCCTGTAGTGACTGACGTGAAGAGAACTGAAGGCAAAGCTCAAGTTCTGCACCTCTGCAGAGGCCTCCCTTCCTCCACCCTATTCCCACCTCTTCCCCTGCTTCCCTCACCCCCTCACAGTGGTTTTTGTCTCTATTTTCTGATGAGTATATGCTCGATAAATCATGTGTTCCTGAATTCCTGTCAGGAGTTCTAATTCTAGGGAACCCAGGCCTTCTCTCTATTTTGTGGCTGAAGAAGTGTGAAGTGTGAAAGGTAGAGAGAGAAAGGGGCGGCTCCTCTGTCTGCAGGCAGTGGATCCGCCCATGGCTGCTTCTCCGAATGCTCTCGGAATAAATAGATGGCATTTTGATGACTGCATCTGAGGCGTCTGTGGACATCATCAGTTGTTTGAGGTCTAGCTTTCACCAGTTGTGAGAAGACTTTAAATATTCTGACCCGAAACTGCTTCAGGATAGCGAATGTCACCCAAATTCTTGAGTCTCAGAATATGCTTGCCATTTGTTCTGCCGAAAGCCAGGTCGTTCGTCTTTGAGTCTTTGGTGTTTGTCGTAGTTATTTTTGATAACTTGGAAACACAGTCTTTCTCTATCTAGAAACCTCTTGGTATTCCTCATGGGCAGTGTCTTTTTTGCCAGGTCAAGTCCCTCATCATGCAGAAACCACATTTCTAAACAATTTCTGAGGGACAGTCCTCCTCCTTGGCCACTCCAGGCTGCCCTGAATCCCTCTGACTGTGTTAGTCTGTTCTTGCGTTGCTATAAAGCGATACCCAAGACTGGGTAATTTATAAAGAAAAGCGGTTAATTTTGGCTTGTGGTTCTGCAGGCTGTACAGGAAGCGTGGTGCTGGCATCTGCTTCTGGCGAGGGCCTCAGGAACCTCCCAATCATGCCAGAAGATGAAGGAGGAGCAGGCGTGTCACATGGCGAGAGTGGGAGTAAGAGAGAGTGAAGGGGGAGGTCTCACACTCTTTTTTTTTTTGAGATGGATTCTCCCTCTGTCGCCAGGCTGAAGTGCAGTGTTGTGATCTCTGCTCCCTGCAACCTCTGACTCCCTGATTCAAGCAATTTCTCCTGCCTCAGCCTCCCAAGTAGCTGGGATTACAGGCACATGCCACCACGCCCAGCTAATTTTTGTATTTTTAGTAGAGACGGGGTTTCACCATGTTGGTCAGGCTGGTCTCTCTCTCCTGACCTGGTGATCTGCCCTCCTCCGCCTCCCAAAGTGCTGGGATTACAGGCATGAGCCACTGCGCCCAGCCCAGACTCTCTTAAGCAACAGATTTCACGTGAACTAACTGAGAGAGAACTCACTTATCATCAAGGGGATGGTGCCAAACCATTCATCAGGAATCCACCCCCATGATCCAATCGCCTCCCACCAGGCCCTACCTCCAACTCTGGAGATCACATTTCAACATGAGATTTGGTGAGGACAAACATCCAAACCATATCTCTGACCTTCATTCGTTATAATTCCACACAGCTACGTTCAATCACATTTAAGGCATCTATAGACTTTCTTCATTTTTTTTAAATGTATGGATAACATACATAAAGGGCTTCCATCTTTATGGTGCCCTTGATGGCTTTTTACATATGCATTTGCCTTGGAAACCACTATCCAGATTAAGATCTAGAACATTTTCAGCACCTCCTGCCCTTTCTCAGTCCAGTATCCTCTACCCACCTGTAAGAGGAAACCACTACTCTAACTTCTAGTAACACAGATTAGTTGAACCTGTTTTTTTTTTTTTTTTTTTTTTTTAGATGGAGTCTTGCTCTATCACTCAGGCTAGAGTACAGTGACACCATCTCGGCTCACTGCAACCTGCACCTCCCAGTTTCAAGTGATCCTTCTGCCTCAACCTCCCGAGTAGTTGGAACTACAGGCATGCATCACCACGCCCGGCTAATTTTTTGTAATTTTTAGTAGAGACAGGGTTTCACCATGTTGGCCAGGCTGGTTTCGAACTCCTGACCTCAAGTGCTCCACCTGCCTCAGCCTCCCAAAGTGCTGGGATTACAGGCATGAGCCACAGCGCCTGGCCTAGTTGCACCTGTTCTTGAACTTCATATAAATGGAACCACACAGCATGTATTCCTCTGTATCTGGCCTCTTTTGCTCATTGTTATGCCTGTGAGATTCATCTATTGTTTACCTCTTTATACAACAGCATTTCTTGTTATATGTTTTTGTCTTATTATTGTGTGTGTTTTTGCCCTCTTCCTTTTTACCTTGAATACTTGTTAATGTATAGGCTGCGTCTTTTATATATTTTATATTTTAGCCTACTATGGATAATAAAAATATTACACGGGTGACCACTGACTATATTCCAGTTCATACGGTTACTTAGTGAAAGCGAGCTTTTGTCTTCTCTCCCTGGTTGTGTTGCGTGTGTAGCTGAAATAGTTGTATCTGGGGCTGAAGCATGTTTTCCTATAATAATAACAGCTATAGATATTTATAGGACCTTTATAACAGGGATTCAGAGTGACTTTCATTTTCTTTTAGAGTTTGGCAGGAAAGGCATTGAGGTCCTTTTGCCCATGGGTAAGTTAAGATGCTCTGAGGATAAGCCACTGACCAAGTCCTAGAGAATATTAGTGGCAAAACTGAAGGTGTAATTTAGTTTTAGCTCATTCTCTCTCTTGGTCTCATTCCCCGGGTGCCCACATCTCTGGCCAAGGGCTTTAGGACTATTCTCATGGGAGAAGAACCACAAATATTAGGAGAAGTTTAAAGTTTTGGAATACTGTTATTATATGAGTTCATAGTATGCTGTTATTTCATTCTATATGTGTGAGGGTTAATGGTCTGTCTTTAATGTATTTTGTTGTCTACCTTTTGTGACTTTTTATAGGTATTACTTTTACATAAACCAGATGTGGGAAGTTACAAATTTACTCACATAAGGAGAGGTACACATTGATACCTTTCCACATTAAAAATGCAAATGTTTTTAGTTTCCGAGGAGCTCAATATACTAGGGCCCACAATTCCAGAAAGGCCACAGAACTGGCCACGTTCTTACCATTATTATTTTGGGGGAGGGGCAGAAACTTTCTTTTTTGTTTTCTTTGGGAATGCATTTCTGATTTATAACAGAAATGAGTGGGAAAACCGGATTCATTTGACTAAAAAATAGAAGTGATTCCCAACTTGGCCAGATCATATTTGAAGTATTTTATAACATGCAAATACTTTATATATTATTCACAAATACATGCAATTGTAAATATTCCATCTAATTAATGTACAATAGGCACTTTTCATATGAAGAGTTTAAAGACATGGCTGCTAGAGACGAGTATGAACATATTTTGAGAGAATTTGTAAAACAGTTTAAAATCTAATCTGTCTTCACCTTGCTTGTCTCAAGTTTGAATTTTGTTTTTATTCTCGTTTGATTTGTGGTTTGTTGATATATTGAACGCTCTTGCTATTATCAGCATTTCATTGCTTCTTTATAAATGGATTAAAATGGAAATTTCTCCCAATTTCCAGTCTTTTGTGTTTTTTTTGGTTTGATTGTTTTTTGTTTATTTTTTAAATCAATTCAAATTCATGACTGGGATAATTGTAAAGTTTTTCTTAACTTCTAGGGTAATTTAACAAGAAACTTTAAGAATAAAAATATGTATTAATGGCAATTAATCTGTCAGTTTTGAGATCTGCTTAACTGCTTTTGATTCCTCAAGCTTGTAGGGGTGAAATGTATAATGAATGCCCTTCCTTACCCCTCATAAGAGTCATGGCCTGCACTCCTACAACAAGAGGCAGGTTAAAGCGTAACAAATTTATTTAAAGTTTTACATTACATAGGAGCCTCAGAAATGAAGACCAAAGACCCAGGAAAAATGATCTATTTGTATGCTTATGTTTGATGAAGAATGGACAGCCATATAGAAATGTGTTGGACAAAAAGGGTACGATTGAATGATAGTAGACTGCAGGGGAAAACCCAGCAAGGCCTGTCTGTTCAGAGTCTTCTTGGCCTCTCTGTGTAGCATTCTTTCCTCCTGGGTGTGGGACAGGACCCCTCTGGAATGAGGGTCTTCAAGGAAGAAGGGCAAAGGGAGAGAATGACCTTTCTAGGTTTTTTGGCTTGCTTTGGGGGATAGGGGTTCTAGTTTCTATGGCCCGCCTTGGGGAAGAGAAATTTTGGTTTCTATGCCTCACTTCAGGGGAGAAAGAGAGGTGAGAGACAGGAGGGCGGGGAAAAGGTCATAGAGATCATGCTTCCGAGGCTTTCTGATATTTTCTAGATCAAAGTACTCAGCTTGCCAAAGTGCCATACTTTGAGATTTCATTTTCTGAGCCCCGATAGTCCCCTGTCTGAAACTTCCTCAAGAAGTTTCACATCCAGAAATTGGTTTGGTGGATTCTCATTAGCTATTGAACCAGACCTCTCAGTCCTAAGCTCAGTCGAGTTAAACAGTTAGCAGTTGTCTCACTTCAGGCAGAGGTGTTGCAAATGGGCTTCCACTAAAGTTAGGCACTAATGCAGTGCAAACAATCAGATATGTAACAAGAGGCATTTCTATGGAAACAATAATAACAACAAAAATAAGTGTAATGGTTAGAACAAACTATAAACTCAGTTTTTAATTCTAGAGGGCAGCCAGTCAAGATTTCTAGATGCTGGACTTAAAGCCTTTCCAGCTGGAGCAGGGGCAGGCAGTGATGATCTGACAGATTTTCCTTGTTTACAAAAGTTTGCTTCAGGTGTTCCAGTGAGCTTTCTGAGTAGTCCATATAGCAGCAGGCCCGAAGGTTATCTCTACATAGCTGTTGTAGTGATTTCTCTGAAGTCTGTATCAAGCCATCTAATTTCACCTTGCAGGGCTTCAGAAAAAGGGGTGCTTTAATTTTTAGTGATTCCAAGCCAGAAGACTGGGATAAAAATTGGAAATATTCGTTTGGTGAGTCATAGCCAGATATTGGAAGAAACTAGAGAAATTCAGGATCCAGCACAGATTTCAGGTGGATAACAAACTCTCAAAAACAATGAGCTAGCATCTAATACTGGGTGCACTATACTTTTCTTCTGAAACAAAATTTTTCTCTCTATAGTCACCTTCATCTCTATCAAAGATAATCAAAGTAAAACTAATTTGTTTGCAAAATAAATTTAGTTTCATTAAACTTGACCTGATTATTTATACAAGTTCAGCAAGAGTAGTGATTGGCCACATAGGCTGTCTTTAAATTTGCTTTGCTGGAACGTTTTATAAGGAATCTCAGATTAGACATTGAAAAGCCTCTTGAGGCCAGGAGGCCAAGCTTAAGATTCACCATTAAAATTCACCTGAAGTGGCTGGGCATGGTGGCTCATGCCTGTAATCTCAGCACTTTGGGAGGCTGAGGCGGGCGGATCACAAGGTCAGGAGTTTGAGACCAGCCTGGCCAACATGGTGAAACCCCGTCTCTACTAAAAATACAAAAATTAGCTGGGCGTGGTGGCGGGCGCCTGTAATCCCAGCTACTCGGGAGGCTGAGGCAGGAGAATTGCTTGAACCTGGGAGGCGGAGCTTGCAGTGAGCCGAGACTGTGCCATTGCACTCCAGCCTGGGGGAGAAGAGCGAGACTTCGTCTCAAAAAAAAAAAAGAAAAAAAAAATTCACCTGAAGTACTTCTAGATTTTGCTGAATTCCTCTCTGCTTTAGGTCCCCAAAATATCCTGAGGTTCCTGGTCCTGCCAGGAGGTGACATTCTTTACCTACCTCTAAGGCAACCATATGAACGATGCTTTCAAAGTACCAGGCCAGTTTATCCAAGCGCGGGCTTTATTGGCTCCATAAAGTCAACCTTAGTTCTTTAAAGTTGTCTGTCATATTTGAAAATAGAATATTCCAGTCAAAGCCTTGGTAAGGTAACATAACCAGTATTTCCAATTGTGCCCTGTTACAAGGAGAACAGATTTTTATTAAACTAGTATAAATAATTATATTGCCATAAAAATAAGAATACTCACAAATAGTTTCTGAGTCCTAGCAGGATCAGGTAGGAAGAAAAAGTAATTGTTCCAATTCTGTTCACAAAAGTATATGCTACCAGATCTCTGCAAGCTCTAGAAAGCTTAAGAGAAATAGTTTCTTTAAATCTGTAAAAGGAAACATTTACAATAAGAACCAAATTTCAAATTTAAAAATTTCAAATTAAAAGTCATGAAAACATTACCTTCATCAGTTCAGTTTCACGTAATTAATTCTTGATCTGCTTGATCTTGCTTGGCAGTTTCATGAAGCCATTCATTTCTTCATTAGAGTTCTGAAAATTCTCACACAGTCCAATGGTATGATCTTATGGTTATTAGAAACCTGTATTCAAGGGTATTTGTCAAAGTCTTTTCTATGAATCTTTTCGAAGAAAAGCAGTTTTGGACTATCGCTGATTGCCAATACTTTTAGACAAAAATCAAAACAGTAATGGCCTGTAGATGACAAAGACTTAATATGGCCATGGTTAAAAATCTGATGAGAGTTCATTATAGTCAGCAGTTGACAAGGAAATTTAGTTATTTCTGTGGATACAACATTTTAACATAATTGCCAGAATTGTTACTGATAACATTAGACTTTTAAAAATCTCACATTTTCATATCAATAATACGCTCCTAAGTATAACTCTAGGTTTAGCATTACTCATTATTTGACCACACTTACTATATAATTTAATGCATCAAATATATGTAAGCCCAATTATTTTAATATCTTTCTTTTACAAGGTGAGAAAAACACATATTTTGTAGCTTTCAAGAGGCCTAACTGGTAAATCTCAAAGTAAGTTCAAGGTCAAAAAGACTTAATTTAGAATTTGATTTTGGGAAGTATGTCAAAATGTCAAAAGGTTTAAAAAAATTAAATATGATATTGGCTATCTAATTAAAGTGACAGTTTTAAATAGAAAAACAATTTTCTATTTTTTTTAACATTTTTTTAGAGACAGGGTCTCACTCTGTCACCCAGGCTGGAGTGTAGTGGCACAAGCATAGCTCACTGCAGCCTCAAACTCCTGGCTTAAAGCAATCCTCTCACCTTGGCCTTCTGAGTAGCTGGGACTGCAGGCATGCGCCACTGCACCTGGCTCATTTATTTTTATTTTTATTTTTGTAGAGATGGAGTTTTGCAGTATTTCCCAGGCTGGTCTTGAACTCCTGGGCTAAAGCAGTCCTCCTGCCTTGTCCTCCCAAAGCACTGGGATTACAGGTGAGCCACTGCACCTGGCCGACAACAAAAGATTTTAAAGGCAAATACAAAAGGTTGCATAGTTGTGAATAAAATGTAATCAAAGACCTAATAAAATACAGCATGAAGCCCAAAAATGATCTTGATAAAACACAAAATCTTTGTTTTCTAGGTCAGTTACTGAAAAGGAGAAAAAAAAAACCTTCACATTCTCAGACCAATACTTCTAGAAAACTTTGTTACTTTAACAGAGAAGACCAAATTCCACTTTTGCATTAGCGTACTATTAATACTAAAGCTAATTTTAAATAAAATCTTTTAATAAATTCATCCAATCTTAGTTTTGATCACAAAAGATAACATTTCCATAAATCATTTAAAACTTAAAAAAAATTCAGCCTTTTTAAAAAACAAAAATGTGTCATTTACATAACTTTCCTTATCAAATGCATCTTATTTCTAAGCAAAGAAAGTTTTCCCTCATATTTTCTGGCAGTTTAATTACATATGTTAATTATAACGTTTAACTCTTAGTAACCTTATTTCTTTTTTTCTTTTTTTTTTTTTTTTTTTTGAGACTGAGTCTTGCACTGTCGCCTGGGCTGGTGTGCAGTGGCGTGATCTCAGCTCGCTGCAACCTCCGCCTCCCAGGTTCAAGTGATTCTCCTGCCTCAGCCTCCCAAGTAGCTAGGACTACAGGCACGCGCCACCATGCCCGGTTAATTTTTGTATTTTTAGTAGAGACGGGGTTTTAGTATGTTGGCTAGGCTGGTCTCAAACTCCTGACCTCGTGATCAGCCGGCCTTGGCCTCCCCAAGTGCTGGGATTACAGGCGTGAGCCACCATGCCTGGCCAGTAACCTTAATTTCTAGTGAAAACTAGCAAGCATTATAAACTCTTTTATAACAGCATTCATCATTTCATAATTTCTAGAAGCAATTTTTCATGTTTTTAACCAACTTCAATCTATTTAGCTTCTCTGTACTATATAAAAACAAGATGCCAAAGTACATAAACTTGTGCCTAGTAATTAGTGTTTCAATATTTTTAACTTACTTAGAAGTGACCCAGATATTTAATAAGTATCTATTACTTAATTTCATTTTAAGGTTTCAAGTTACCAAAAAGATTTTAAAACTATTTTTAACTAGACATATTTTCTAAAACATAATTGTTATTGAAAAACTTTGCTTATAAACTATTATCCTACTTATATTCATCTAATTCACTCATTCTTTTTTTTAAGTTTCAAGTTTTAATTTTTGTGGGTATGTAGGTGTCTATATTTATGGGATACATTAGATACTTTGATATAGGCATGCAATCCATAATAATTACATCATGTAAAATGGGATAGCTTTCCCCTGAAGCATTTATCCTTTATGTTACAATCCAATTATGCTTTTAGTTATTTAAAAATGTACAATTAAATTATTATTGACTACAGTCACCCTGTTATCAAATACTAGGTCTTACTAATTTTTTCTAACTTTTTTTGTACCCATTAACTCTTCCCACTTCCCTACAAGCCCCCTTCCCAACCTCTGGTAATCATCCTTGTACTCTCTATCTCCATGAGTTCAACAATCGTTTTAATTTTTTTTTTTTTTTTTTTGGGGACAGACTCTCGCTCTGTTGCCCAGGCTGGAGTGCAGTGGCACAATCTCGGCTCACTGCAACCTCCGCCTCCTGGGTTCACACCATTCTCCTGCCTCAGCCTCCGGAGTAGCTGGGACTACAGGTGCCTGCCACCACGCCCAGCTAATTTTTTGCATTTTTAGTACAGACGGGGTTTCACCGTGTTAACCAGGATGGTCTCGATCTCCTGACCTTGTGATCCACCTGCCTCAGCCTCCCAAAGTGCTGAGATTACAGGCGTGAGCCACCACACCTGGCCAATCATTTTAATTTTTAGCTCCCACAAATAAGCGAGAACATGAGTTTGTCTTTCTGTGCCTGGCTTATTTCACTTAATACAATGAGTCCCAATTCCATCCATGTTGTTGCAGATAACGGGATTTCATTCTTTTTTATGGCTGAATAGTACTCTATCATGTAAATGTACTACATTTTCTTTATCCATTCATCTGTTGAGGGACACTTAGGTTGCTTCCAAATCTTAGCTATTGTGAACAGTGCTGCAATAAACATGGGAGTGCAGATATCTCTTTTTTTTTTTTTTTGAGATGGAGTCTCGCTGTGTCTCCCAGGTTGGAGTGCAGTGGCGCGATCTCGGCTCACTGCAAGCTCCGCCTCCCAGGTTCATGCCATTCTCCTGCCTCAGCCTCCCAAGTAGCTGGGACTACAGGCGCCCGCCAACACGCCTGGCTAATTTTTTGTATTTTTAGTAGAAACGGGGTTTCACCGTGTTAGCCAAGATGGTCTCGATCTCCTGACCTCGTGATCCGCCCGTCTCGGCCTCCCGAAGTGCTAGGATTACAGGCGTGAGCCACCGCGCCCGGCCCAGATATCTCTTACATATCCTGATTTCCTTCCTTTTGGGTATATACCTAGCAGTGGGATTGCCTGATTGTATGGTAGCTTTATTTTTACTTTTGTGAGAAACCTCCAAACTGTTTTCCATAGTGGTTGTACTAATTTATATTCCCACCAACAGCATACAAGGGCTCCCTTTTCCCCAAATCCTCTCCAGCATTTGTTGTTGCCTGTCTTTTGGATAAAAGCCACTTTAACTGGAGTGAGATGACATCTAATTGTAATTTTGATTTGCATATTCCTGATGATCCATGATGTTGAGCCATTTTCATATGCCTGTTTGCCATTTGTATGTCTTCTTCTGGGAAATGTCCATTCAAATTTTTTTTCCCGGCCAGGCGCAGTGGCTCACCCCTGTAATTCCAGCACTTTGGGAGGTCAAGGCGGGCGGATCACCTGAGGTCGGGAGTTTGAGACCAGCCTGACCAATGTGGGAAGCCCTGTCTCTACTGAAAATACAAAATTAGCCAGGCATGGTGGCACATGCCTGTAATCCCAGCTACTTGGGAGGCTGAGGCAGGAGAACCTCTTGAACCCAGGAGGTGGAGGTTGCAGTGAGTTGAAATGGTGCCATTGCACTCCAGCCTGGGCAACAAGAACGAAACTACATCTCAAAAAAAAAATTTTTTTTTTTGGCCAATTAAAAATACGTATTCATTTAGTTTTTGAGACAGGGTCTCACTCTGTCACCCAGGCTGGTGTGTAGTGGCACAAACACAGCTCACTATAGTCTTGACCTCCCAGACTCAAGTGATCCTTCTGTCTCAGCCTTCCGTGTAACTGGGACCACAGGAGTGTGCCCCCATGCTTGGCTATTCTTTTTTTATTTTTTTTTAGAGACTAGGTCTCACTTTGTTGCCCAGGCTGGTCTCACACTCCTGGGCTCAAGCGATCCACCTGCCTTGGCCTCCCAAAGTGCTGTGATTACAGATGTGAGCCACCATGCCCAGCCTTGCCCATTTCTTAATTGGATTGTTAAATTTTTGCCTATATAGCTGTTTGAGCTCCTTATATATCCTAGTTATCAATCCATTGTCAGATGGGTAGTTTGCAAATATTTTATCCCATTTTGTTGGCTGTTTCTTCACTTTGTTGAGTGTTTTCTTTGCTGTGCAGAAGCTATTTAAGTTGATGTGGTCCCATTTGTCCATTTTTGCTTTGGTTGTGTGTGCTTGTGGCGTGTTACTCTTAGATTTGCCCTTTTGAGGCTATTTTCTAGATCTTGTAGGCATGCTTCATTCTTTTTTATTATTTTTGTCTTTTGTCTCCTCTGTGCATTTTCGTGTAGGCTGTCTTCAAGCTTACTAATTCTTTCTTTTATTTGATCATTTCTGTTGGTAAGATACTCTGATGCTTTCTTCAGTATGTCAATTGCATTTTTCAACTCTAGAATTTCTGCTTGGTTCTTTTAAATTATGTCAATCTCTTTGTTAAGTTTATCTGATAGAATTATGAATTCATTCTCTGTGTTATCTTGAATTTCTTTGAGTTTCCTCAAAGCAGCTATTTTGAATGCTGTGTCGGAAAGGTCACATATCTGTTTCTCCAGGATTGGTCCCAGCACCTTATGTAGTTCACCTTATTTAGTTCATTTGGTAACTCACTCATTCTTTTTTTTTTTTTTAAAATAACTAAGTGCTTTTATTTTATTTTTTGATTTTTTTTTTTTGAGACGGAATCTTGCTCTGTCATCCAGGCTGGAGTGCAGTGGTGCAATCTTGGCTCCCTGCAACCTCTGCCTCCCGGGTTCACATCATTCTCCTGCCTCAGCCTCCCGCATAGCTGGGACTACAGGTGCCCACCACCATGCCCAGCTAATTTTTTGTATTTTTAGTAGAGACGGGGTTTCACCATGTTAGCCAGGATGGTCTCGATCTCCTGCCCTTGTGATCCGCTAGCCTCGGCCTCCCAAAGTGCTGGGATTACAGGCGTGAGCCACCACGCCCAGCCAGTAACTCACTCATTCTTAACAATTTTATGTGAACTGTTCATGACAATTTTATGAGACATCAAACAAAGCTAACCTCTGTCTCAAGTTGTTTTTGTTGTTGACAAATCAGGCAAGCAAAATATCATAGAAGCAAAGAAACAAGAAAGTTAAACATGGTTCTTTCCTCTTTTTTTTCTCCGTGACTGATGTGCATCAAGCAATTCAGGAATTCATTTTTACTGTGTATTCTGTTTGAAGGTTGCGTTTATAATTTTATGACCTTAACCATCTAGCAGAGACAATACACCTGTCTGGCCAGCAAACGCAGGCAAAAATATATGTCTGTATTATATTTAATGACATAAACATACAGATAGAAGCAGATCTTACATCTTTTACTCTAACACTTTTAGCCTTGCACCAAGTCTGATAATTCAAGACTCACTAGCTAGACCTGATAAATGATACAAGTTAAGATTATCTGCTCAGATGGCTAAAGCTTTTTTTTTTTTTTTTTGAGTTGGCGTCTAGCTCTGTCACCCAGGCTGGAGTGCAGTGGTGCAATCTCGGCTCACTGCAACCTCCGCCTCCCAGGTTCAAGCGATTCTCCTGCCTCAGCCTCCCTAGTAGCTCGGTCTACAGGCGTGTGCCACCACGCCCGGCCAATTTTTTGTATTTTTAGTAGAGACGGGGTTTCACTGTGTTAGCCAGGATGGTCTCGATCTCCTGACCTCATGATTGGCCCGCCCTGGCCTCCCAAAGTGCTGGGATTACAGGTGTGAGCCACCACAGTTGGCCTGGCTAAAGCTTTTTTACTAGTTTTTTTGTGGAAAAGGCTTTTAAGATTTTTTATTTGACCAATTTCTAAACAGTTCAGTTTTTTTCTTTTTGATGACAGTCATCTCCCTGACAGTCATCTCTTCTGTATCTATGGATTCTGCTTCTGTGGATTCAACCAATCAGGAATTGAAAATATTGTTTTAAAGAGCACGCATCTCTACTGAACATGGACAGACATTTTTCTTGTCATTTTTCCCTAAACAATATAGTATAACAACTACTTACATAGCATTTACATTATATTAGGTATTATAAGTAATCTAGAGATGATTTTAAGAATATGGGAAGATGTGCATAGGTTATATGAAACTACTATCTTATTTTATATCAGGGACTTGAGCATCCATAGATTTTGGTATTTGTGGGAGGTACTAGAACCAATCTCCTGTGGATATCAAAGGACAACAGTATTTCCAAATGGTAATGATCAAATTCTAGAGAAGAAAGGGTAGAAAATTTATATCTCAAAGGCACAGAGAAAGAATGCAAGTTTTTCCAAGAAGGAGTTTGAGGTGTGTCAGTTAGGTGACACATAGAGGAGGACTCAAAAGGATTCTGAGGCGACATAAAATTATAGGAATTCACTACAGGATTCTACAAGGATGTACATGGATAGTCCTAGGAGAAGGTCCAGAAGCCCACCTAAAGTTTGACTATAGAGACTGAAATTTTTCTTACCTTTGGTGTTTCCTGTTAGTAATTTTTCATCCACTGACCACTAAATGGAGGAGGTAAGGATTTGAAGGAGAATAAATCAAGGATTCGAGAGAACTGGATGGCAGATTGTAAGTGCCAAAGGGAGGAAGGAGGAACAGAAGCAAATGGAAAGAAGTCTTACAGGAGCTAGTTTGGGGAGGTCTCAAGTTTCCCAAAAAGGTACATGAATTTCCACATTATCCTCAGCGAAAATCATGCCAACAAGAAAAAAAAATGTGGACAGAGGGACTGACCATATGGTTAGCAGGGGTTCAGTAAGAGAGGTTTCAGTAGACTGAGACGTTCCTGTGATAGAAGCAGGATCCAACAGACAGAACAACAGAGGGGACTTAACAAAAATTGTAGCCTGAATATCAGCTTCCTATTAAGCTAACTTCTGACCATAGAGCTCTTAAAAAAAAAATTATTTCAAATATCTTATAATTTCAGCAAAGGCAAATAACAAATATGCCTGGCCTTTTTTCTTCTTATTTTTCTTTCTTTTAAACTGGAAGTATCTACCAAGAGATTCAGAACCAAAGCCAGTAAGTGTTTTTGGATTTATTGGACAGGACACACTATGAGGAATCAGAATGAACAGGCCTTGCTAAGTTTCTTTCAGAACCTTAGTTCATACCCTTTTGTCCTGTCATGTTTTTGCATGACTTTTCACTCTTTATCAAACCTGGTATAAAAACACTTCAGCTTAATCGTTTCTTTGGGTCTTCATTTTCTGATGAAGGCTCCTGTGTCATGTAAAACTTCCATTAAATAAATGTGTATACTTTTCTCTTGTTAATCTGTCTTTTGTTAGCCTAATTTATAGAGTCCCACCTGGAGAACCTAAGATGGATAAAGAGACAAAGAGATTTTTTTTCCTCTATCCTACAGTACATATTAAAATGCAGGTAATTATGTTCTTTTTCGTTTTTGAAAAAAGCTCAAAATGCCATGTAAGTGCTTAGTCCAGGAAGGAAAAAGCTTTATAATCTACTTTGTTCATGAGATGCAGTAACAATAAGCAGAACATCTGTTCTGGAAGCATCTGTTATATCAATTACATGGCAAATTTTCAAGTTCTAGAATGAATGAATTTGTAAGTGGTGAGAATTTTTGATAACCAAGAGAAGACAGGATCTAGAGAAGAGAGCAGGTAATGAGCTGAGAATATAGCATGATCTTGATGGTGTCTGTGTTTTACTGCAACCTAGAAATTACGTGCTTTTACATGCAATATTTTTTTCCCCCACAAAATGGTTCCCAAATAAACAGTTAAAGTGGTTTTAGGTGATTAAAGCAATATAGAAGATTAGTTTTGTTATATATAATCACCTTTGCTTCTCCTTTATTGATGAAAAGAGCTTTTCTCAGTAGGTTGTGTTATCTATTTTAGATATTGCCTGATCTTGTTTTTTAAATGTAAATCAGCTTTTTAATCTTTTTTTATGTAAATTTGATAGCCAGTCCCAGCAATTATTCTGCTTTGTTGTAGCTCCCTCTTTAGAGCTGTCTCTATTTTATGTTTAATTGTCCTAATTGTCCAAATTTGAATAAACCTGGAGAACAGCAATGGAGATCATTACTTGTTTTTAAATTTACAAAAAGGTTTAAGCACTCCTTCCTGAACTTCTCTTTAATTCTTTACACTGTTAATTATGATCTGGGAGATTGGAAAACCTTATTATTGTCCCTGGAGCTGCTACTCCAAATTATAGGTTTGTTTATTCTTGTGTTACTACTTTATATCAGACTTCTCTTTCTATGAACATGATAAAAAACTCATCAGAGAAAATTTGTTAACTTCGCTTTTTAATCAGTCAGGATTTTAGCAAGGGGGTATTTAGGTGAAGAGGTGTATTAGGTAGTTTTAGAGGTTGGAGCAAATAACTGCAGTCCTGGCAGGGGAATTCGTCCATTTCATCTCTCCATTCCTCCACCTACTTACCTATGTATCAATGTATCAATTTTTGGAGGGCTTGAACTGGATGACATATCAATTCAATGGGATTATATTCTGACTTAATAATTTTTAGAAAATAGTAGATTAGATTCTAGGTCAAAACGGTCTGAATTTTGAAGTTGATTTAGCTCATAATTAAATTTGAAAAACCAAATACAGGAGAAAACCAAGAAGGTCTTATCTCAGTTTATTGAGTTCTTTATAGTTTGGGTTTTATGCTTTGGTTCAACTCAAGGCCTTGGTCAGGAGGCAGGATACTTGATTTAGCAGTTGAGCATGAGGCTCAATTATATCTAGTACATCTATGTCCAGCGCATCTATGTCTGGTACAATGTCTCTAGCTAGAAATTTTTTTTCTGTCATCATGCTGAGAAGCCATCTTTAATTCATTCACAGGTTCACTAAGCAGCTAGGGATATTTGGAATGAACAGAATGCATGTTAATTTCTGGTGAATCTGACATGCTAGATTGGATGTGCTCAGTTATCAGTGAGAGAAATACTTCGTATAATATAGGAAGTCACATATAGATACGCAGATAACTAACTTCACTGATTTTTGTGGCCACACCTGTTCAGGACTGCCTAAAGAGATTGAACCTGGCGATGACCTTGGACAAGTCTCAAAAACTCTCTGAGGTTAATTTCCCCATCTATGAGGTCAGGAATAGGAATAATTCTCAGGGGCATAATATAAGGAGAACAGACAAGCATCAGTGTTTTAGAGAAGCTCCATTATCATACACAAGGTCAGATCAAATGAAAATGAAATGTTCTCTTATAGCATCTCTGAGTTTCAGCAAGTAAATTCTAGTCATGCTTTGTATTCACAGACAGGAAATGTCTGTTCAGAAGGAATGAATAATAGATAACTACTTTCTTTGCTTTACACCTAGTTATAATTCTACAACTAACATAATATTAAATGAGTTCCCTTCCTCCCAGTGATGTTTCATATTCTGGTTACATACTGTAACCTTAAAACTCAACAGCATGAAAAATCAAACAGCTGGAGAAAATGTATCTTTAATTTTCCCACCAATTTACCACCCCCTGCCCTCTTGCTCCAGATTATCTGCCCAATTCTTAGATAAATGGTGTATTCTAAGTCCGTCTACCCTCATAAAGATGATGGACCCCAGCCAATCTTAGGTCCAGTTTCTCAGATCCAGTTTTTATTTGCTGGGTTTTAAAACTAAGGTTTGCTTTGACAGTGGTGTGTTAAATACCTCATGTGCTGAATCATACCTCAAATAAAGCTAACAAAATTTTTTTTTTGTAATTGCATGTTAAGTGTTCATTTTTGGTGTTAAGTAATTCATGAGTAGTAATTTATGTTTAGTAAGAAGTAGTAATAACTCTTAACCTGGCTCATAAGAATTGTAAACTATGTTATTATATATGATATATTACCAGTAAGAAGAAAGGGAATTAGGGTGAAAGAATGACATAATTTTGACCTGGAAGAAATCATGGACAAAATCTTATTAACTGTTCATTGAAGCAGTGAGGGAACAACGGGTCTGGAGGAGAAATGACTTGTTCAAGGTCACACAGCTGGCTAGCTTCAGAGTTGGCCCTAAAAGTCACAGTTTTTGGCATCTGGTCCAACACACTTTCCATCACAACATGCAGCCTCTTAGTTTGTTGGTTTTGGGTCAGAAATATAATTAACACAGGGCAGGAAGCCTAGATTATGAAAGAGTTGGAGGAGAATCTAATGAAAACCAAGCTTTTCTGAAAGTCCTGGGCAGTTGACCTGTTCTGTGATATATTCATGGTGTCCACCTGCAATTGGAATTTGGCAAGTGGCTCCTCTTTCCTCTTTGACCTCCTAGTTCTCTTCCTAGACTGGTGATTTAAGAGCTTACAGAGAGTGCACAACTTCTAGAAGAGTGAGAAAAGTAATATAATAATAAATAGCAGTAAACAAAAAAGTACAGAGAAAGAAAAAAAAGAGAAGAAAGTAGTACAGTAATAAAAGTACAATTTCAACAATTCTGATGTGAGATGATGAAGCAGTGGACGGGGAATACCCATTCCAGAAGTTGAGCTGTGATAAAGAAAGAAAAGTAGGATGTGGTGTCTAATGATAATAAAAAATAATGGCAGCTTGAAAACCAAGATGCTGTAACTACAAAAGGAGCAGGGTTTAGGGTTCTGATGCAGACCCATTATCCACACAGACGACATGGGCTGCAACCAAGTCACAGGGGATTGTAAATCAACCCCATACCCACACAGATCCTATTTAAACGCACACACACATATAATACATACATGCATGTATATATATATTGTAGGACTTTCCCCTTGGTTCAGCTAAAAGCTGGGTTCTTTTCACACAACCTTGAAAGATTAGGCTCATAGATGCTTTGAAGGGTGAGAAGGGCAGGGTTTACTGGGTGAAAAGGAAAAAACGGGAAACAGGGACTCTCAGCAAAGTGAGAGTTTTGCTAGCAGGCTTCCCGCCTCACAGATTGATTTCCAGGTACGACCCCAGAACAGGAGAGGCCAGGCTCCTCCCCACTGCAAACAGCAGGAACTTCCCGAGGCTCCACCCCAGTGTGCGCTTCTCCCAGTGCGCAGGCTGGTTGGAGGTTCTCCAGTGACCCCTTTATGCTTGGCTGTCTCCTATATACATATATGTACATAGGTTTGGTTCCCATACCATAGTGTGGGAGTCTTTAGTTACCTGTATAATATCCATTGATAAAGAACATCTCCAGGAATTGTTTGAGATGCCTAATGGAACTCCTTAACAATTACAGTCAAGATTCCAAGAGAGGTAGTGAGGTAAGTTGCACCTCTTACAGGATGGCTTATTCTGCATTACTCTTTGTTCAGACCTGCTTAGTAATCACCAGTGTGCTCTCACAAGGTCCTGGGCTACTGGCTCTTCTGTCTTGATAGGCACTCTTGGAAAGCTTATGTGCTTATGTTGTATCAGTTAGCATCTGTAAAAATTATCTTCCAATATTCTTCTTTGATACTGATTTTCTGGGGAGGGGGACTGTGATGAGAATGTTGTATGGGTCTGATGACTCAGTCATTCAGAGGATGACCTCATTTGAGCCACCATTTGAAAGTCAGAAAACTGGATGTTTTAAGTAGTCTAAAACATGATCATTCTTTTGGTTATTGGGTTATATTACCAAATCCAGTTGACACCAATGTATAAATCAGAATGCCATCATTTAAATATATGTGTTTAATTATCTTAATATATTTATATTTTTATAGTTTAAAATTATTTATAGTTTAAAATAGTAAGTTTCTAGTTTAAAATATAAACATAAATTATGTTTATACTTTAATTAGTATATTAACGTATATTTAATATATACTTAGATTTCTATTGACCTGATTATATGCATCCTCCATCCTAGGAAGCATCTTTCTGATATCAAGTTACCTGAGAAGTGAGTTTTAATCAGAATGCTACTTGGTGAGCATAGAGTTAAAATTGCTCTGGGAGAGTGTTTTATAGAAACTCTAGAAAAACCCAGGGAAATATGCCTACTCCACAATTGTATATACTGTTTTAATAACCAGGTAATGGAATCCCCAAACACATTTTTTTTAACTGTTGAAAGCATGAGTTGTTTTGGAACAGAGAGAGTGATGAGGAGCAGAATTGATAAGCTGTATGGGATAGGCAGAATCGCCCTTGAAAGATGTCCAAGCCCTCATCCCTGGAACCTGTGAGTATGTTACTTTGCATATCACAGTGGACTTTGCAGATGTAATTAAGGTCTTGGACATGTATTATCCAGGTTGGTCCAGTCTACTCACACAAGCCCTTCAAAGCAGAATTTTTTCTGCTTTGAAGTCATAGAGATGTAGTGGCATAGGAAGCAGGAGAGGGAATCAGAGAGATTGCAAGTGTGAGAAGGGTTTGAAGTGCTGTTGCTTGCTCTGAGATGTGGGGGGCCACCGGCAAGGACTGAAGAGGTCTTTGGGAGCTAAGGGCAATCCCCTGCTGACAGCCAGCAAAAGAAAGCAGGAACCTCGGTCCTACAACTCCAAGAACAAAATGTTGCCAGCAACCTGAATTTGGAAGCAGATTCTTCCCCAGAGCCTCCAAAAAAGAATGTGGCTCTGCCAACACCCTGATTTGGCCTTATGGAACCTGGAGCAGAGGAACTAATTGAGCCAAGATCTGCCCAGACTTCTGACCCATGGATATGGCAAGATAATAAACGAGTGTTGTGTTAAGCCTTTATGTTTGTGGTAACTTGTTTTTGTAGTAATAAAAAATCAAAATGCTGTATTAATATGTTCAAGTTCAGTCTAAGAAAATAATCTCGGGGTGGGGGTGGGGGAAAACACAGTTGTGCATGTGCCCACCTCCCTTTCCCCCAAACAGAATGCAAGAGACAAGGACAGTGAAACACCAGATAGGGCGTTCAAGCACCAACTGTTATCTGTAAGATATAATGAAAAGTAAACATCTGGTTCTTTGCATAATTTTGATCAAAGGAGCATAATATGGGTTGTGCACATTTGGAGGAAAACCAAGTGCATTAGGATTTTCATCAGGGAAGAACTGTACAGGTGTCAAAAAGGGGTCTGGGACATTGAGCCACTACTCCACACTTCACGTTATTGTGATCGAGGAGAGAGATTGCACACCAAACTTGGGTGAGGGAGTGAGCAGTCATCGAGCACCCAATAGAAGGTCCAGGCTTCCTCAGTTGACATACTGGGTGGAAAATATGATGGAATCAAAAGAAAGAGGAAAGAGAGGAGGGCTTTCCTCTGGGCCCTCTTTTTATGCTCATCACTCACCTGCAGTTGACACACGTCTGCTGACTGCTGCTCAGGCCAGTGTTCCTGTAGTGCTCTTATCATGGGTTAGTTTTATTTATACTTTCTTTATTTTTTGTTTATTTATTTATTTTTTGAGATGGAATCTTTCTCTGTCACCCAGGCTGGAGTGAAGTGGCGCAATCTCAGCTCACTATAGCGTCTGCCTCCTAGGTTCAAGCAGTTCTCCTGCTTCAGCCTTCCAAGTAGCTAAGACTGCAGGTGTGCGCTACCATGCCCAGCTAATTTTTGTATTTTTAGTAGAGACGGGGTTTCACCATCTTGGCCAGGGTGGTCTTGAACTCGTGACCTCAGGTGATCTGCCTGCTTGGGCCTCCCAAAGTGCTGGCATTACAAGTGTGAGCCACTGTGCCTGGCCTATTTATACATTATAAGAGCTCCTTTCAGAGTTCTAGGGAACTTGAGTATGGTATCCATATAGCTTTATAATGGAATTGTGCTGTTTCTGCTCACCTAGTATCTTTTCTTCTGGTAATAACACCCTGACTGTTTGGGAGGGTATTTTTTGTTTGAACCACTCCTGACCCCTCCTTGTGGATCTGGGGTTGGGCATATATGATCCAGGGCTGGCTCATCCGTATGTATTTTTCTCTCTTGCCATAGGAATTTGTTTGCAGATGTGGCAAAACAAAAACAAAAACAAAAACAAAACAGTTCAAAGAGCACCAGGACTTTTTCTGGGACTGTTGCAATGGCGGTACTCTTTTTCCAATGGCATTGCTAAATTTGTAGGATGAATGCTCAGATCACTGGTGATCCTCTTGCCATTTATGTGACAAGGGCCTCTCTGGGAGTGAAGTCAGCACAGACAAAGCAGAACTGGGAAAATGAGATGAAACAACTACTTGACACCATTGTCTGAGCATCTAGATCCAGCTGAGTCTCTGGATTTTACCCTGGACTTTTTCAGTGCCTTGGTTTAAACTAACTAGAAATGGGTTTTTCTCCTGAGACATAGAAAGATTCCTGACAAACCTACTTCAGTTAGCGTGTCAGTGCTGAAGACTTGCAAGTCTCATTACCTCTGTAATAATTCATTTGCAGTTACCTTTAGAGCATTGACAATGGAGACAACTTCTGACACCAAGACTTGAATGTATTTAAAACTTAGCTGGGCCGGGTGCGGTGGCTCACGCCTGCAATCTTAGCACTTTGGGAGGCTGAGGGAGGTGGATCACCTGAGATCAGCAGTTCAAAACCAGCCTGGCCAACATGGCAAAACCCTGCCTCTACTAAAAATACAAAAATTACCTGGGCATGGTGGCAGGTGCCTGTAATACCAGCTACTTGGGAGGCTGAGGCAGGAGAATCACTTGAACCTGGGAGGCAGAGGTTGCAATGAGCTGAGATCGTCCCACTGTACTCCAGCATGGGCGACAGAGCAAGACTCCATCTCAAAAATAAATAAATAAATAAAAACTGAGCTTATGATGGTCTTCTCTTTACTCTTCTTCCTATCATTGGTTATGCCCCCTCCTCTCATGCCCCTTGACCATTTCTCTCTTTCTGTTAGGTTTGGAGATATTGTAATGGAGCCTTTTTTGGCGAGTGAGCATTTCTTCACCCCCTTCTTCTGTTAACAGCCTCTCCCACTTCCCTTGGGCCTCCTCTCTCACACTCTCTGTTGGTTGGGTGGCTCTTCCACCCACAATTGGTGCATCACTCTGCTGGTGACTATAATTGGGCCAGGGATGGACACGTGATCCAGGCTGGTTTTTTTCACTTGTAATCTAAATAGTCCTAACAACAATAGTTCTAAATAATCCTAACAACTGAAGTTTCTGCCATGTCTTCCTCTGCCCATCTCCAAGCAGCCTGCTCTATTCTCAGGTCCTACAGTCTTGGGAGTTATTTTCTATTTTGTTTTTTTCTTTTCATATAAATTAAGAACAATTGTCCTAATTATGTAACTATATATGTAAGAAGTAAATATTCAATGTTGAAATGTAGAAAATATAAACAGGTGTAGAGGAGATTTCTTTTCTCACCCCCTGCTAGGTTCACAGCTAGGGCTCTTATAATAAAGGCAGATTAATAAGGGAAAAGCACAGACATTTATTTAATAGAAGTTTTACATCACATAGGAGCCTTCAGAAATAAAGATCCAAAGAGACAGGGAAACCCATGTATTTCTATGTTAAGTTTAAGGAAGAAAAGGATAGTCATGGAAAAGTATGATTAGACAAAGAGGCTATGAGCTAATGGTAATAAACTGAGGGGACTTAGCAAGGCCTGTTTGTTCAGATTCTTCCCTGTCTCTTCAGCGATAAAGATGTTCCTTTCTTCCAGGTATAGGGTGGAAAGAAGGTTTTATGATCTATTTCAGGGGAAGTTCAGCGAGGTGTCTTTTTTTTTTTTCTTTGGCAGAGTTTCGCTCTTGTTGCCCAGGCTGGAGTGCAATGGCGTGATCTTGGCTCACTGCAACCTCCGCCTCCCAGGTTCAAGCGATTCTCCTGCCTCAGCCTCCCAAGTAGCTGGGATTACAGGCATGTGCCACCACGCCCCAGTTAATTTTTTTTGTATTTTTAGTAGAGATGAGTTTTCACCATGTTGGCCAGGCTGGTTTTGAACTCCTGACCTCAGGTGATCCATCCACCTCCGCCTCCCAAAGTACTGGGATTACAGGCGTGAGTTACCACGCCTGGCCTCAGCTAGGTTTTATAGCCTACTTTAGGGGAGAAGAGGCAATGTCAAGGTGAGAATGACCTTCCTGCTTCTGTTGTTTTCTCAAATGCCAAGGTACCATATTTTGGGGTAGCATGTACTGAACTTCAGCACAGGTATACAACAGAAATATGATTCACTCCTCCTAAGGGTTCATTTAATTAGATTAGGGCCACCTGGATAACCATGTCAGTAACCTTAATTACATCTGCAGAGTCCACTGTGATATGCAAAGTAACATATTTCACAGATTCCAGGGATGAGGGCTTGGACATCTTTGGAGGGCGATTCTGCCTATCCCATACAGCTTATCAATTTTGCTTCTCGTCACTCTCTCTGTTCCAAAACAACTCATGCTTTTAATGGTAAAAGGCTACTGTATTTGGGGATTCCATTATCTGGTCATTAGAACAGCATATACAGTTGTGGAGTAGGCATATTTCACTGGGTTTTTCTAGAGTTTCTATAAAACAGTCTCCCAGAGCAATTTTTACTCTATGATTCTGATTAAAATTCAAATAGCATTCTGGTTAAAATTCACGTCTCAGGGAACTTGATGTCAGGAAGGTACTAGGAAAGAGAATGCAAATAATTGACTCGATAGATATTAAAAATATATATCAGATGTAAGTGTAAGTTAATATACTAATTACAGTATAAATATAAAATCTAAATTATAAATATATAAATTGGCCAAGCGTGGTGGCTCATGCCTATAATCTCAGCATTTTTGGAGGCCAAGTTGGGAGGATCACTTGAAGCCAGGAGTTTGAGACCAGCCTAGGCAACAAGGCGAAATCCTGTCTCTACAAAAAATTAAAAAAATTAGCCAGGCATGATGGTATGTGCCTATAGTTCCAGCTACTAAGGAGGCTGAGGTGGTAAAATCACTTGAGCCTGGAGGTCGGGGTTGCAATGAGCCATGATTGTGCCACTGCACTCCAGCCTGAGCAACAGAGCAGGACCCTGTCTCAAAAAAAAAAAAAAAAAAAGGCCGGGCGCGGTGGCTCACGCCTGTAATCCTAGCACTTTAGGAGGCTGAGATGGGCGGATCATGAGGTCAGGAGATCGAGACTGTCCTGGCTAACACGGTGAAACCCTGTCTCTACTAAAAATACAAAAACTTAGCCGAGTGTGGTGCAGGCGCCTGTAGTACCAGCTACTCAGGAGGCTGAGGCAGGAGAATGGTGTGAACCCGGGAAGCGGAGCTTGCAGTGAGCCGAGATTGTGCCACTGCACTCCAGCCTGGGCGACAGAGCAAGACTCCGTCTCAAAAACAAAACAAAACAAAACAAAACAAAAAAATATATATATAAAATCTATTATCTGTAATCTATAAATATAATTACATAATACATAATTATTATAATCTATAATTAGACCATTGGCCTAATACACTGACATTTTTGTTCATTTCCTTTAAGTTAGTTTATGTATTCATTTATTTACTTAATGTTACTTCAATTTATTCATATCTGATACATTCAGGTCTAGTGGTTGATCAGTTCATTAGAATATTCAGTTGAAACAAATTATAAAAAATGATAAATACAGTCAGATGATATATAAATTACAGTCCTTTAGTTATCTTTTGACATAGGGCTGAGGCCTTTTCTTTGAGCATGGGTCTGCTGTGTAAAGTCTACATTGTCTTTCTTGCATTAAATACACACATAACATTCTTATTTTCAATTTTAATCTATTTAAAGTGGAGGGAATTCACAATAGCAAAGACATGGAATCAACCTAAATGCCCATCAATGATAGACTGGATGAAGAAAATATGGTACATATACACCATGGAATACTATGCAGCCATAAAAAGGAATGAGATCATGTCCTTTTCAGGGACATGGATAAAGCTGGGAACCATTATCCTTAGCAAACTAATACAGGAACTGAAAACCAAATACTGTATGTTCTCACTCATAAGTGGGAGCTGAACAATGAGAACACATGGACACAGGGAGGAAAACAGCATACACTGGGGCCTGTCAGGGGGTAAGGGGAGGGAGAGAATCAGGAAAATAGCTAATGCATTCTGGGCTTAATACTTAGGTGATGGGTTGATAAGTGCAGCAAACCACCATGGCACACATTTACCTATGCAACAAACCTGCACATCCTGCACATGTACTCTGAAACTTAAAATAAGACAAAAATAGAGTGAGAACATAGAATGATTTGCAAAGCAGTTTGAGTAAAAAATTCTAGAATTTTATTCATTTTGCCCCCAAATTTCACAGTTGTCCACATATAATTGACAGCATATCTCCCAATAACTCACCTCTATTGAGTCCAAGGATTCAAACAAGTTTTTATAAAAGCAACTCTCTTCACATTGACATTTCCTTTGTTTTCATAATTGATTAAATTATAACAAAAATGAATGGCGTTGACAGTTTTGGGAAAGTACCTGATTTTAGGTAAACTCAGAAGAGTTCAATTTATAGAAGTAGAATCACAGTCTCTTAGAGATGAGTTTCCTGACAAGTTAATTCATTCATCCATTATTTATGTATTTGCTGACTACTATATGCCAGGCACTGCTTTGGGACCCTGGTATACAGAAATGAACAGAAGTGGCAAAAACCATTGTGTCCTTGAGCTTCCGTTTGGCGCTAGCATGCACTATGCTGGAACATCAGCTGTACATATTACAGAGGGAATAATAGCATTAGTTAATGAAATGAGTTGGTCCGTTTAAAAGACCTTTTATTGTACTTCCCCGTTTTTTTAAACCTGCTAAACTTGAGATCATTTGAAACCCTCTTTCTCCTTTATGCCTTACGTCTTATCTATTGTCATCTTCTCCCAGATTCTTTTCTGCAATATCTCTTCTCAAATTACAGCAAGAGTTAACTTTGTGGATCTCTACCTCAACTATTAATATTTTCCTTTTCCAGTGCATCTCATGAGTAGATTCTAAAATCACAATCCTTGGAAAGCATTTTCACCATTACGCTCCCAAAGACAGGGCTGGTTTCATGGTCATGTGACCTGTGCATTGCCACAGGGCCCTGTGCTCGGAAAAGAACCATGCTTGGTTTAATACTTGTCCCTGTCTTGAAATTTTTAACAATTTTTGAACAAGGGCCTCCACATTTTTGTTTTGCTTTGGGTCCTACAAACTATGTAGCTGGCCTGTCAAAAGAACATACAGTAGATCCTTATTTTTTGACTCTATTGAATCTAAACTCCTCTGCCTAGCCTCAAAAGTGAATGTCCACCTTCCTAACTAGATAACCTTTTATTTTAACTTTTCCTTGATGGAGGAAAGCCTTGTTCAGGGCTAGCTAGATCTGCTGCCCTTGCATAAAATCGACCCACTTCTGTCACTGTGTTGTGGCTTGAACAGCTCTCTCTTATGGAAATGGATCCTGTCTTCTCTGCTCCAACCTAACTCTCTAAAACCCAGAACTCATTTCTTTCTAACCTGACTTTGTTTCCTGCCAGCATTTATGTAATTATGAATTTAAGTTTCTAATAAAATAATAATAGTTACTCCTCACTTTGTGTTTACTGTGGGAGACATCTCCTTGGCGTGGAACTAAATGCTTTGTATTCATTATCTCATACAGATATATAGTTTTAGAGGTGGGGCCTCATTCTGTTGTCCAGGCTGTAGTGCAGTGGCACAGTCATAGCTCTCTGCAGCCTGTAAGCCCCAGGTTCAAGCGATCCTCCCTCATCAGCCTCTTGAATATTTGAGACTACAGGTGCATGCCACCAATTCCAGCTAATATTTTAATTTTTTGTAGAGGCAGGGTCTCTTTATGTTGCCTAGGCTGGTCTCGAACACCTAGCTCAAGCGATTCTCCTGTCTTGGCCTCCCAAAGTGCTGGGATTACAGGCATGCGCCACTGTGACTGGCCCCTTATCTCATCTTTATACGGAGTTCTGTATTTTCTCTTCAGTTTTGGGCATGCTTATTCAGTACAGCGTGACTCTCCGTGTAGACGTCAGTGTTCTGAGCCTGAGGGTCATGTCTTCCTCATTCATTTGTGCTCTCTCGGCACTGTACACATGGTGTTTGGTGTAGTGCCAGGGCTCTGTGCCTGTTGCCAATTGACAGACAAAATGTTAATAAAGGCTGAAAGTATAAAGTATTGCACTTCTTTCATCTACTGATTTTTGCAGCTAGCAGCATCACAGGAAGACTTCGCAGGCCTGAGGACTTTGAACACTGCTCTGCACCATAACTTGAAGTAATTGTTCTTGTGATCGAAACTAACAACTATATAATGCCTGCTAGGCATAATGCCAGGACATGATTTGATTTCTGGTTAAATCTGCAGCTAAGTTGATTTTGCAAAATGTACCCACATGTGCTCAGGCAGTACGAATGCCCTCCCGCCCTCCGTTCACTCTCAAAAGTGCACTTGTCCAGAGAGTTGGATGTCCCTCACTTGTTGGAATATTTGACCCTGTGCATTTAAGTCTGAAGCTTCCAAGGCTAATTAGAAAAAATTGTTGTTGATGAGCTTCTGCCAAATGTAAAATGCCATGTTCAGATGCCTTTAGGACATCCATTAAAACAGCCAGAAATGGGGCCATGGTATTTATCAAGTCAAGGGAGACTCATGCTTAATAACAGTGACTTGTTTTATGCCATTAAGAAATAAGCAGACCTGTCAGGAGAATGTTCAACATAAGGTAATGTCAAACTTGCTGGAATAACTTACTCACTGCAGGGCTCCCATCTGTGAAGTCGCTGGGGAGGTGGCTGCTTCCATGTGATTCCTCAGATTTGTCAGTTAAATTAGATGCCCAAAGGCAAAACCAACTGACAGGGGCATTATGGGACACTCCTGGAGGATTCAGAATCCATAATCCCATGAGTAGGTCCCATTCACAATCTTGTTCATGCTGATACTAGGGGTCATGCCAGATTTCTAAGGAAGTAAATGATAAGAAAGAAAGCCAGCAGGCCAGCCCCCTCAAGGCTGTCAGTAGCAATATGGTTAATGTATAGTTTGTGGCGAGAAGGAAATGGCTTTATTTTTAAATTAAATTAAATTTTTTTAGTAGGAAAGTTTCAGAATATTGTCTTGAAAGAAAAATTCACAGGTTTTTTGAAATTGAATGTTTTGGCCTACACCAAGTCAGGCTACTGTCAGGGGAATTGTATTAATGGGATGCTGACCAAAATGTTTTTAGTGTTTCTCCGTGACATACCAACCTGAGGGTAAAAATAGGGTACAATAGCAAAAACACAGCAAGTCTCTGTTTTGACCTCCTTCAGCAACTGTAAGAAAGGCAACCATTTTATTGATTCTAGTTTATTTTACTCCCTCTTTTTCCTTGCCCTCCTTTCACTCGCCCCTACCATTCCCTACTAGAGGGCCTTCAGAAGACCATGGGTATGGGGTAAGGATATTTTGAGTAAGAGAATGTAAAAGGTACACAAAGGCACTACTCAAACCCACTTCCTCTCCTCCCAACAACACTGATCTAAAGTCCTTGGACCAAGTTTGTAGATCTCAATTTTTTCCTTCTCTTAGGGTAAGTTACTTTCCGGGAAGTTATTTGAACTTTAATGAAAACAGACTCCTGGCAAATCTACTCCCTTAGCCCCCAGATCTGGCTCATAGAGTGAACACAGAATTAACTGAGAAAGCTCAGCTCCCTTCATGTCAGGGTAACTGTTGTCACAGTGACCTCAAGAATTAAGTGTCAGGTGGTGAGAGCCAAAGACTAACTAGATCATGATGACTGTTTTGCTTTAGGTGCCTCAGAAGCAGACTCTGGTACAATGAATCAAATGGAAGTAGTATATTTGGGAGGTGACTCCAAGACACACTGATAGTGGAGTATGGAAATGAGACAGGGAACAAAAACAAGCCGCTGAAATTTGCATTGGCGCGCCAGTCATCTCTTTAGGCAACTTGAGCTTGTTCTGCCCAGGAACTCTGGGAAAGAGTGTAAAACATATCTCAGAGTTATTCCAACTGGGAGGTGAGAAATCTGGGGTATTTATCAACCAAATCCCATCTGTCATTGATGGAAGGTTGCTTGCAGGGTCATAGACACCCTAGCACTTCCAGCTTGCCCTGTAGGAGGGCTGACCTGTCTCTTGTAGCCAGAAAACATAAGCAGAGAATGGTAGGTATTCACAGTTAGCACTTTTTGATGTATATAGAGAAGGGATATGGACAGGGTGCTGACCAAGCCTGCTATAGCAAGAATGGGAGATGGAGTAATTAATGATCAAGTTCAGCAGAAAAGCCATCTTTTGGTGGTTTTCCTATCAGTGCATTAACAAAGTTCACCTCAGTCAAAGGAAAATAGAGAGACAGGCAAGTAAAAACTTTAGAATGCTTAGGCTATTTAATTTCTGCAAGGTAACTAATAGTCCACTTGCTATTGGGTAGATGTGCAAGAAGTGATAGCAAGAAAAGAAAAATTTGACCAACAGATAGGCTCAAAGAAATCTGATTGTACAATACACTTTGAAATTATTCATTGTGAACTTAATCTCTTTGTACAAGCCCAGTAGTCTTTTAGCTAATTCCTTTCCCAATGAAGGAGCCAATCAATGTTTTTCAGGGGAGAAAATTACTAGAGAGCCTAGTATGTGTTTTGATGCCCTAATGAGGCACTATGAATTACCCAACCCAAACCAATTAAGTCTCAGCCTGGATAGAGGGCTACTGAGGAGATGAGGACACAGCATGCATTTAGGGCAGAATTAACTGCTTCCATAGCCTGGAAATATGCTTGGGGAGAAGCCAAACCTTATAGGCACTCTGCTCTCCTTAAAGCTGGCAGCTGAAACGTGATCCAGCCCAACGTTAGCTTTTGACGCTTTTGCTTCTTTGGCTTTAAATTTAAAAAATGTCTATAAAACATAAAATATGTTTTGAACATTACATAAGGCTATTAAGAGGGGGTGAATCATGAAAACATGGTATGTCAGAGACAATAAAGTAAGTGAAATGAACTGCTGTTGACTAGCTGCTTGACCTTGGGCCAGTCGCTTAGTCCTTTCTTGTCAATCAAATAGAAAATTATAGCCCAGTAATGTGGTTTTGGATTGCACCTCAATAAGCAAGCTCTAATATCTTGGTTATGCCTTACTGTACCATGGGAAACCAAGCACTTATTTTCATTTTAATGTGATCTCTTTCAGTGGACTGTGACTTTCTTAAGCACCCAGCACAATGCCCCGCTTGCCTTAGAAACTCAGGAGCTATGTGTTGAATAAGTGTGGAATGAATAGTGGAGGAAGTTATTTAGAATATTATGGAGCACCTAGAAATATGCAAATAAATACATAATCAATGCAAATAACTTTTTCATCAGAGAAGAAAATGATGAATATTGAATTTTTACACTACCAGTGTACATTAGTGGGGTAGAGGAAATGTGGCAGGAGAATTGTCACTGGTGAGAAGGTGTGTAGGGTAGTGACTAATACATGGGCTTTGGAGTTAAGCTGCCCGGGGCTGGAATCTTGGCTCTGCTTCTTACTAGCTAAGTATTCTTGTGCAAATTACCTAACTTCTCTGGGCTTCAGTTTCTTCTTCTGGACCTTGTAGGTCCAGACAAGGATCTTATAGCCATGCAACATCTAGAAAGTCTTGAGAAACAGTCTATTGCTTAGAAGAGCTCAGTATAAGCTGATCATGGAAAAACACAAAGTCCAGAGTGAGGTATAAGACTTCTTCACTGGGTTGCCTTTCAGCCCTACTGTGTCAGCCTTTGATGGGTTTCCAAGCAGACTTTTTGTTTCCTGATTTCTTTTTTTTTCTGCCTCTATGATTTCCCTACCCTGTCCTAGCTCCATTTTCCTGGCACTAGACTTGGCCAAGGTTGAAACTCTTGTACCTTTCTCCATCTTTAGAGGGTGGTGATGGTGGATCATTGGAATAGATGGTGGGTCCTCAGGTCCTCCATGGTATAGGCATGGGTATTCCAGATTCTTCAGAGTAGAGCATCCATAGGACAAACTTATTGAGTTTCCTGTAACATCACCTTGAGCAACTAACTGAAGTCATCTGCTGGGTGAAGATGGAAAGGAACAAGGGGCATGGAGAGAACAACCCATTTTCTGCCATACTATAATAAGGCAGTATAGGTCGTATGTCTTTCTAGTATCTGCCACATAGTAGATGCTCTAGACATACTGGCTATGTCCAGTCTTCATGGTATTAGATAGTGATCAAGGGACTTTCCTTACCTCCACTTCCTTCACCTCTTTAAGCTTGTGCTTTGAACATTCAC
This sequence comes from Homo sapiens, assembly GCF_000001405.40. Lineage (NCBI taxonomy): Eukaryota > Metazoa > Chordata > Mammalia > Primates > Hominidae > Homo > Homo sapiens. Next base: position 207,433,697 of record NC_000002.12, on the reverse strand, counting down.
ACCATCCAGAGTTGCGAGCAGGTCTCCAAATCTGGTTAGGACAGCAAGGAGGATGGATAAAAATTCCATCATTTGGGTCAGCACCAACCCTGGGTAAAGGTCCTTGATCCATGGATGGGATCCACATCCATCAGCCTCCAAGTGGAGTTTGAGATCTTGTCGGCCTTTTTGACATGGAGGTCTGTTACATGATCACTGGCTGTGAGCATCTTCCTCTGGAGGAAGTTCTTCCTTTTCCCCACCATGACCAAGGAAATAATCAATAACCCTTGTCCCAGAAATCCTGGGATCCTCTCTGCTCTCAGGTCACTTTGAAAAAAGGCTATCTATAGAAAGACTTTTGAAAAATATATATTTTATCTTCTATTATGAAATAATTAACTGTCCAGTGTACTCTTTGTTTGTGTATTTCAAAAATTTAAGCAGTATGAGCATCCTAAAGCAAATCTAGTCCAATTCCTCTTCACTTTAAAGAGGAGAGACTGTAAACTGGTTTGCTGCAAATTTTCCCTATCTTTTTTTTTCTCCTTCTAGTATTTCTAGTTGCCAAGAGTTTTGTTTATGTTTGTGGGGAAATCTAAAAATTATATGCCTGTAGACTATCTTATACAGACTGATGTTTAAAAAAATTCCTTAAGATAAAACAAATTTCACAGTAGAAGTTATTTAGCCGCTTGGTGAGGTGGTGACATGGCATAGTGCTTCATATTGCTTATTTTTATTTATTTTTTTTTACACCCATGTAATAGCTAGAAGACACAATGACACGCAGAGCCATAAAGCCAAACAACTCTCCCATTTCATTTTACAGCACAAGGCGGAGAAGGGCACAATTTGGTATCCTGACCATTTTTATAGGGGTTTGGAGACAGGTTAGACACATCTGAAATATGTCCTTCAGTTCTTAGAACTCTTTCAGGCATTCCTGCTGAAGGATGTTCCTTGGAGAAATACTCCTATAAATACAGGATGTTTTCATTACTGCATGTGGTTGATTCAGCCTGTTGGCTACATGACATTGAGGAGAAGTGCCTGAGAAACGACTTCATATAGACCACGTGCAAACAGTCCCTAGAGCTCCCCGGATTAGAATTACTCTAGTGGGAGTGTTTGGAAATGAATGTTCATATATCACTGAGGTCTTTAAAAAAAGGTTTAAGGTTCTGTAGGCTGTCTCCCTTAGTGCTGTGAAATGATGGAATGATAGCCTGTATGGAGATGAATTTCTGCCTATGAAAATTTTCATTTGTCCTCATTGAGGAAAGCTATAAAATCAGTACTTCAGATAGCAAAACCAAAACAAACAGTGACAACACAACACCCACAAGACACAAGGATGTAGCAGAAGGATTTACTGGGGCACAAATAGTAACTACAGGAGCACATAGTGTAGGTTCAATTTCAGTGTTACCTTCAGAAAGTTATAGCCACAGGCCCATGGAGTGAAAGCTGGGCCTTTAACGTTTATGTTATTTTAAATAATAACATTTCATATTTATGTAGCTCTTTACAGTTTACAAGTATTTTTACTTCATTTATTTGAGCCTCAAAATCGCCTTGGAAGGTGGGTGAGATTTTTATACACGGTGAACCTGAAGATCAGGAAGATGAAGAGACCTGCCCAAGGTCGCACAGCTAACAGGCCTCTTGATCTTCCAGCTCCCAATCTGATGCTCTTGCCACCACTCTGCACTGACAAATAAAATATTGCTTCTCAAGTTTCTGTAATATTGCCAGTGTTATGAAAGTATTATAACCCCCACTTCCCTGATCAAAAATTAACTACTCTTTATTGAATAGAGATTTTACAGTGTGAAAGACTGAAGAGTATAGCACTTTTGATGCAGGGTAGGTAAGGAATGGACTTAGAGATGCATCATTCAGAGGGATGTTGAATTGGTAATGAAACATGCAATTTTGTAGTGCTTATTGCAAAAATATAGAAAATAATGAGCAGGTTGGAGAAAGCAGAATTGTGAATTGAGAAAATTATTTACTATAGTTAGATTAGTCTGTGGGCAGGATAAAATTTATGAACAAGGGCAACCTTTGCCTGCCAAGACAAGGGTAATACAATCTAGTGTGCAGAATAAAGCTAATTACCATCAGGAAGGAGTCTTTTTTTCTCTCTCATCTTGTTTGCCCTGGGTATTATAGAAATATCTATCTATCTCTTTTCTTCCAACACCCTAAACAATTTTGGGAACCATTGTGTCAGAGAAGTCTAAGAAGACACAAATACAAATAAGTTTACGGAAGAATTGGATTCTAGCTTAATATAGATAGTTCATTATCTATGAACTTGTTTGTCCTTTTAAAGAGAATGTATGTGAAACTGTAGATTGAAGGGTGATTTCTGGGTATTTCACAGACACAAAAACCAACCAATTGTAAAAAACAAACTGATAACCGAGTGAAAAATACCACTAACTCATTATAATAAGTAATTAAAAGAGCCCAATGGTGGCCTTCCAGGTGCTAGACCCTTCATCCATATCTTCACTGACTTTCTTTCTGTATGTTTGATCTACTTGTCCTTGATTTTCCTGCCTACCGCCTGATCATCCTAATTTTAGGGTCCAGAACAACTTCTCAATGAACACCCTTCAAAGCAGCTTCCTAAAGTTTCTTTTGAATTTTTTTTTTTTTGAGATGGAGTCTCGCTTTGTTGCCCAGCCTGGAGTGCAGTGGTGCAATCTCGGCTCACTGCAACCTCTGCCTCCTGGGTTCAAGCGATTCTCCTGCCTCAGCCTCCCAAGTAACTGGAACTACAGGCATGCGCCACCAAGCCTGGCTAATTTTTGTATTTTTAAAGTAGATACAGGGTTTCACTATGTTGGCCAGGCTGCTCTTGAACTCTTGACCTCAGGTGATCCGCTTGCCTCGCCTCCCAAAGGGCTGGGATTACAGGCATAAGTCACTGTGCCTGGCCTCTTTTTAAATTTTTTGAGAAGTTAAAAAATGTACAGGAAATGCAAAAGATATTCTAACAAACACCTGTGTTCCTTCCACCTAAAATAAATGCTAACATTAGTTACAAAGCAAATGTAACCAATAATTTATTTAAATTTACTTCCAACTCATAAATGTCCTTAAATCATGATAACCAAAAACAGTGGTGAATTTATCAGGTATGAACAGTCTGGATCTAAGAATATGCATATTTAAGACCAAAATTGAAAACATGAATACTGGTTTAGCCCAATGAAATTTTACTAGTTCAGATTAATTTGGGGAAAGGACTGAATTAGTGAAACTCTGAATCATACCACATTTTGTAAAGAAGTGCAGATGTGAAGTTTAATAACTTAATAGAAACATAACTACAAGAAAGTCAGCAAAAATTCCCCAATACCCAATTTTTGATGTGTGTACTAGCTGGTCTAAGTAAATGGATTCAGAAGTATTCCGAGTACAGTACTTGGAAACCGCAAGCCTTTGGTTAACATTTACTGAATGAATGCATATTGTGTGCCAGGCCCTGCACTCGGCACTGTATATAAAAACATGTAAATTCCCAGCTTTTAATGGACAAGGGTTCAGTCCAGGAAAAAAGACACATGGATAGGCATTTACAAGTAACCGGTTCATAAAACTATACAGATAGAGACAAGTTCCATTTTTTAAAAATGCACGATGAGTTTTCTTTTTTGAGACGGAATTTCGCTCTTGTTGCCCAGGCTGGAATGCAATGGTGCGATCTCGGCTCACTGTAACCTCCGCCTCCCGGGTTCAAGTGATTCTCCTGCCTCAGCCTCCCTAGTAGCTGGAATTACAGGCGCCCGCCACCACACCCAGCTAATTTTTTGTATTTTTAGTAGAGATGGGGCTTCACTATGTTGGACTGGATGGTCTTGAACTCCTGACCTCAGGCGATCCACCCACCTCAACCTCCCAAAGTGCTGGGATTATAGACATGAGCCACTGTGCCCGTCCGAACAATGAGTTTTCTTTCTTTTTTTTTTTTTTCTTTTTCTGAGACAGAGTCCCACTCTGTTGCCCAGGCTGGAGTGCAGTGGCGTGATCTTGGCTCACTGCAACCTGTGCCTTCTGGGTTTAAGTGATGCTCCTGTCTCAGCCTCCTGAGTGGGTGGGACTACAGGCGTGTGCACCATGCCCGGCTAATTTTTGTATTTTTAGTAGAGGCAGGGTTTTGCCATGTTGGCCAGGCTGGTCTCAAACTTCTGACCTCAGGTGATCCACCCACCTTAGCCACCCAAAGTTCTGAGATTACAGGCGTGAGCCACCATGCCCAGCCACACAATGAGTTTTCTTAAACAGCTTTCATAAAATTATGTTTATATTACTCATTTACATGATAAATCTTTTATGTCTCATACTGTCCTGACAAAATTATAAATTTCAAATCAGTAGAATATAACATAACAATGGTTTACTGTAGAACAATAAAAAAAGAGTGTATTTGTCCATCTTCCCACATTAAAGTGTTTGAGGGGACTCATATGCCCATATAGCCAGCATTTAATAAGTATTAGGTAATACTAAGGGATAGCAAAAGGGACAGGGTATTTGCATTTTAAAATAGATATATTAGATACAAATTTTTTCTATTATACGTGCTTTAAATCAGAAAATTACATTCCCTCCCCACTGCCTGTAACCCATGCCTCCACACCGAGTTGAGCATCCTATACCTTCCTTTTCTCCTAATGGTAGTGGAATTGGCTGTTTTAAGCAGATGGGATATTGCCACATTAGTATTTCAGAGTAGTCATAAATCTTACATCTCTACGGTATTTTACCATTATTAATACTGCTAGTAATAATTGCTTCCTACCACAAGCTAGGAACTATGCTGGCTTGAAAGACATGCTCTTTATGAAAGCCCCTAATTTTAACTAAAATCATTCAGATTTTATCAATAAGGAAAATAAGGTTCAGAGAGGGTAAGTAACTTATCCAAAGTCACAGAGCCAGTAAGAAAGTGGCAATGCTAAAAGTAAAATTTGGGTCTTCTGAATATCTAAACTCTGTCTGCAATTCACAGAACACATTAATGTGGCAAGCACTTTCATGTAATTACCTTACTTAATTCTTAACAACTCTATTAGGTACTTCAACTCTTTTTTATTATTTTTTAAAATGAAGTTTCAGAGAAGTTAAGTGACTTGCTCAAAGCACCTCGTTATTAAATATTGAAGCCTTCAAGTCCAGGATTTTTTCTACCAGACCACAGGCTATTTCTTACGATAACATTAATATTATCTGAAATATATCAAATGCCCAGAGTAATGTCCTCAGTATTTTTCAAATGTAGAAAATGCTTTCTGGCTTATCAAAAGATAATAACATGGGCTAGAATTAGTGAAAATACTCCTAACAAACAGAGAGAGGAGCTTCAGTTAGATTAAAAAAGTAAAACGTTTTTTCAACATAACAGCATTCTTGAGATATAATTCACATACTGCATAATTCACCTATTTAAAGTGTACAATTCCATGATTTTTAGTGTATTTTACAGAGTTGTGCAATCATCACCACCAGCAATTTAAGAATATTTTTATCACCCCAACAAGAAACCTCATGCTCATTAGCAGTTATTTCTCATTTCTCCCGCTCAACCTCTCCAGCCTTAGCAACTATTAATCTACTTCCTGTTTATATGGATCTGTCTATTCTGGATATTTTATACACATGGAATCATACAGTATGTGGTCTTTTGTGATTGAATTTTCATGTAGCATAATATTCTCTTTCCTTTTTTCTTTTTCTTTTTTTTTTTTTTTTGAGACGGAGTTTCACTCTCGTTGCCCAGGCTGGAGTGCAATGGCGCGATCTCTGTTCACCGCAACCTCTGCCTCCCAGGTTCAAGTGATTCTCCTGCCTCAGTCTCCCTAGTAGCTGGGATTACAGGCATGTGCCACCATGCTCAGCTAATTTTGTATTTTTAGTAGAGACGGGGTTTCTCCATGTTGGTCAGGCTGGTCTTGAACTCCTGGCCTCAGGTGATCCGCCTGCCTCGGCCTCCCAAAGTGCTGGGATTACAAGCATGAGCCACCGTGCCTGGCCTTTTTTTTTTTTTTTTTTTTTTTTTTTGAGGCAGGCTCTAGTGCCGTGGTGCTGTCTCAGCTCACTGCAGCCTCTGCCTTCTGGGGTCAAATGATCCTCCCATCTCAGCCTCCCAAATGGCCCGGCTAATTTTTTGTATTTTCAAAAAAGAGAGAGAGGGTTTTATCATGTTGCCCAGGTTGGTCTTGAACCCCTGAGATCAAGCAATTCATCTGCCTCGGCCTCCCAAAGTGTTGAGATTACAGGTGTGAACCACCGTGCCTGGCCAGCATAATGTTTTCAAGTTTCATTTATGTTATATCATGTATCAGTACTTCATCTCATTTTATGATATGGATATATTACATTTTATATATTTATTTACCATAGTTGGTGGATATTTGGGTTGTTCTACTTTTTGGCTATTATGAATAATGCAGTTATGAACATTCACATGCAAGTTTTGTGTGTGGGTATAGATTTCATTTCTCTTGGTGTATACCTAGGAGTAAAATTGCTGGTTCATATGGTAACACTAAACTTTTTAGTACTTGCTGGGCTCTTCTTTCAAAGCAGCTGCACCATTTCGTATTTCCATCAGCAGTGTATGAGGGTTGCAATTTCTCCATAACCTGGCCATCACTTGATATTATCTTTTTGATTCCAGCCATCTTAGTGGGTATGAAATGGTATCTTATTGTAATTTTGATTTGTACTTCCCTGATTGTGTTGCATACCTTTTCATGTATTTATTGTATATCTTCTTTGGAGAAATGTCTATTCAAATCCTTTGCCCATTTTTAAATTGGGCTATATATCTTTATTATTATTAATTATTTTCCACATCTTACCTGGATCTTTTTATTATTGAGTTGTATGAATTCTTTATACATTCTAGATATAAGTCCCTTATCAGGTACATGATTTGCTAACATTTTCTCCCATTCTGTGGGCTGTCTTTTCACTTTCTTGGTAGTGTTCTTTGCAGTATAACATCTTGATGAAGTCCAATTTATCTGTTTTTTTTATTTTGGTGCTTTTGCTTTTTGTGTTGTATCTGACAAACTATGGCCTAATCCAAGATCATGAAGGTTTATGTTTACATTTTCTTCCAAAAGTTTTATAGTTTTAGAACTTACGTTTAGGCCTTGAATCCCCTTTGAATTAATTTTCGTATATGATGTGAGGTAGGGAGTCCAACGATCTTTTGCCTGTGCTTGTCCAGTTGTCTTAGCACCATTTGTTGAAAATACTATTGAATGGTCTAGGTGCCCTTGTTGAAAATCAATTGACCAAGTACATAGGTTTATTTCTGGACTCTAAATTCTATTGCATTGACCTGCCCTTATGCCAGTACTGCATTGTCCTGTTTGTTATAGCTTTATAGTAAGTTTTGACATTGAAAAGTGTGAGGCCTCCTACTTTGCTTTTTTCTTTTTAAGATTGTTTTGGTTTTCTGGATCTCTTGAATTTCCATATGAATTTTAGGATAAACTTGTCAATTTCTGCAAAAAAGCCAATTGGAATTTTGAGAAACCAAATTGGAAAAATTTGTTTAATTAAAAAATTTCACTACTCTGTTATTTTAATTTGTTTTAAAATAAAAGCTATAAATGCTAAAGGAAACATTTAAATACCCAGTAGTTTTACAGCACTACAAAAACCCATTCATCCATTAATGAACTTTGGTAACATGGACACAAGGTTGATCACTTGTTTCTAATTAGATATGCCTTCTGAAGAAGTCACTGGGCTTCTCTTCTTTATTCATCTACTAAAAAGTGAGATAAATTGAATTACATTAAGAACTGGTTACAATTAGAAGAGTGAAAAGGCAAGCCACAGAATTTGTAATATATGCATTTGTTAAAGGATTTGTATTCAGAATAATAAATTGTAACAAATCAGTAAGAAAAACAGACCACCCAATAGAAAAATGGGCAAAAGACTTAAGCAGGCAATTGACAAAAGAGGACATATACATTTTTCCCACCTGTAGGCTGAAAAATATCCCTCCACCCAAGGATAGATCTACTTTTTAATCCCTAGGACCCATGAATATTATATGGCCAAAGAATATATATTATATGACAAAATATGTGATTAAGGTAAAGGATCTTGAAATGAGAAACTTATCCTAGATTATCTGGATGAGTCCAACATGCAATTATATCCTAGATTATCTGGATGAGTCCAACATGCAATTATATCCTGGATTATCTGGATGAGTCCTTATGTAGAGAGAGACAGAGGGAGTTTTGATACAGACACACACAGGAAAGGGAACATGAAGGCAGACAGAGATTGGAATGATGTAGGCACAAGCCATGGGATCCCAGCAGTCACTGGGAGCTGGAAGAGGCAAGAAATAGATTCTGCTCTAGGCCTCCAGAAGGAATATATCTTTACTGACACCTTGATTTTGGATTTCTGGCCTCCAGAACTGTGAGAAAATACATTTATGTTGTCTTAAGCCACAAAGCTTATGGCAATTTGTTACAGCAGCCATAGTAAACTAATAAACCACCATTTATTAATTATAAGGGATAAGCAAATTAAAAGCACGATGTGATATCACTACCCACCCCCTAGAAAGCTGAAAGGAAAAAGACAGATGATTTTAAGTGCTGATGAGGCTATGAAGTTACTGGAACACCTAAATGTTCCTGGTGGAGTGTATGTTACAGCCACTTTGCTAAACTCTTTGGGTTTCTTCCAAAGCTGAGTATATGCCATTCCATTTATACCTAAGAGAAATGTATGCTTTCACCAAAAATCACAAACATAAATGTTCATAACAACACTGTTCATAATAGCTCCAACTTGGAAACAACTCAAATATTCATCAATAGTAGGACAGATAAATACATGGTAGTGTATTCATGTTATGGAATACTATAAATAATGAGAATGAAAAACTACAGCTTCACACAGCAACATGGATTAACCTCACAAACATAATAGTGATGAAAGAAGCCAGACACAAAGAGTATATACAGTATGTTTCCATTTAGATAGAATTTCAGAAATAGGCAGAACTAATCCATCATACCAGATGTCAGGATAGTAGTTACCCTTTAAGAGGGGTAATGGCTAGGAAGGAGTATAAGGGACTAGACTTTAATTAAAGTTTATTTTAATAAAAAGGAATGAAGTTAATAAAATCTTTCCTAATCATAGGGTTGCACCTCATTCAGTTATTTATTTATTTAGCAGATATTTATTGAGCTTCTATTATTTTCCAGGAACTCTTCCGGTGCTAGGGTTACAGCAATAAACAAGATAAAGTTTCCATTGTCATAGAGTTCACATTGTAGTGGTTCCCTTTCCAAATACTGGGGTATACTGTCACATTGTTAGCCCCTAATGACTTATGACACATGACATTCACACCCTTGGGTGGTCCTCACCCACACACCTACACTGATTCTGGATTCGGCTATGTGACCTGCTTTAACCAATGGGTGTTAGCAGGGGTGATGCAAACAGAAGCTTGAAAAGTGCTTACACGTTGGGGCGTTAGCTCTTAGAATGCTCCTTTTTGGAAGCCAGCTGCTGCACTGTAAAAAAGCTTGAACTTGATAGCTGAATGTTAAAAAACCACATGGAGGAAGTGCCTGGAGGGTGAGTCCATCTTGAGTGTTTCAGCCTCAACCAAGCTCCCAGCTCAGTGCAACCACATGGGTGACCTCAGCTACACCATGTGGGGCAGGAAAATCACTCAGCTGAGCCCAGTCAACCCACAGACTTGTGAGAAGTGATAAAGTATAGTTTTTTTTCTAAACCACTAAGTTTGGGGTGATTTGTTACATAGCATTAGATAACTGAAACAAATAAAGGGATGAGTAAATAAATAAGGAATATAATTTCAGAGTATGATTTGGGCTATAAAATATTAAATGGGGTAATGGTATAAAGAATGACTTAGGCTGGGCATGGTGGCTCATGCCTGTAATCCCAACACTTTGGGAAGCTAAGGTGGGAGGATCACTTGAGCCCAGGAGTTTGAGACTAGCCTAGGCAATGTAGGGAGACCCTGTCTCTCTTCTTACTCTCTGTCTCTGTCTCTCTGTCTCTCTCTCTCTGTCTGTCTCTCTCTCTCTCTGTCTCGCTCTCTCTCTCTCACACACACACACACACACACACACACACACACACACACACACACAGCCCAGCGTGGTGGCATGCACCTGTGGTTCTAGCTACTCAAGGGGCTGAGATGGGAGGATCACTTGAACCTGGAAGGTTGAGGCTGCAGTGAGCCGTGATTGTGCCATTGCACTCCAACCTGGGCAACAGAACAACACCCTGTCTCAACAAAAACAAACACAACAAAAAAGAATGATTGAGGGGAGATTTCAGAGAGTGATGTGGACACATTTTGAAGACTTTAAAGTCACATGTACTTGTAAGGTATTGGTAGGGCGCTCTATACAGAAACTGGGGAATTAAGTTTCTTATTGAGACTGTCAGGTACTGTGGGAAATCAACAATAGAGGAAAAACACTAGAGTTGGAGTTAGAAGAGCTGGATTGGAATTAAGACTCTGTTTTTGATCTTGGGCAAAGTGCTGGTCCTTTGTGAGCCTGAGTTTCCTCATCTCTAATATAGTCGTCTTGTTTACTCTCCAGTATTGCTGGGGATGTTATACTTGGTAATGTATGAGAAAATACTCCAAAGTTTTAAAATGTTATTTAAGTGAAAGGCATTTCTGGCTGGGTGTGCTGGCTCACACCAGTAATCATAGTACTTTGGGAGGTTGAGGTGAGAGGATCACTTGAGCCCAGGAATTTGAGACCAGCCTGGGCAACATGGTGAAACCTCATCTCTACAAAAAATACAAAAATTAGCCAGCTGTGGTGACATGTGCCTGTAATCCTAGCTACTTGGGAGGCTGAGGTGGGAAGATCACTTAAGCCTGAGAGTCGAGGCTGCAGTGAGCCGTGTTCATGCCATTGCACTCCAACTTGGGTGACAGAGCAAGACCTTGTTTAAAAAAAACAAACAAACAAGAAAAGAAAAGCATTTTCATGAAAACAAAGATATTTTGACCACCCATTCAGTTTCTGTCTGAGGTTTCTGCTCTGTCCACAAGATGATATATTTAAAACCAATGAAATAGATGTTATCTGCCATAACCGTAGTCTGTCTGCACATTCTACTGGTCTGGTCTGTGTTACACATGAGCCTTTTAAATATATTTAGCATCTACTGGGACCATGGTTGGTCAGTTTTGAATCATCCTTGAAGTTGTCACTGAAAGCTGATATTCTTTATTTTGACAATGAAGAAAAACACCAATGAATAGCCTGATTAGTGTAAAAAGTCACACAACCAAGAGCCTCTATCCCATTAGGAAAAAACTCAACATCTGTGATGCCACATCGATAAATACTGCATGTGCAAAGGGTACCTGACTTTAACAGTAAATTCCTTTATGCAAAAATTGATTTGCTTTTAAATTTTAATTTATTCTTTTTACTTCTATAGATCCTGGTTAGGCACCCTGCCCCCCGACCCCACTTCCCTTCTCTTTTACAAATAATGTAAATTTGTGTGAGAAATGAGTCATTCTCTAAACCAAACAGCAAAAAGAGAAACAAAATGCAGAAAATAGGAGGTAAGGAGAAATAAAAGGGAAAAAATAACAAATTGGTCATTAAAAGGATGCACGGGATAAAAGGGAGAGAGGCAAGACGAGCATCGACTCTATCGGGCTTCGGTGCAGATGTAAGTATAAAATGCTCCACAAGTCCTGTAATTGAGAAAATCTATCAAATGTCCTGACAGCTGCTCGGGCATTTCCAGAAGCGATAAAACTTGAATTTATTTCACTCCTAGAAAAGGGGTAGTATCACCTTCTGGCGGCTTTAATGAAATGCCATAAAATTTGAGGAAAAACTGTGTTGTAAAGTCATAAAAAGGTAGTCGGAAGTGGATTGTTGAAAATGCTGTGGGGGGCCGGGGATTGGTGTCTCTGAAGAGTGGCCGAAGGGGACCAGAGGCCTCTTGGCGTGGTCGGGAGTGCGGCATGCAGTCTTCATGTGGGGTTCTGACCCCTGCAGCGCTGAGTGCCAGGTCGATGGGGAATGAAATGGCTTTATCGCTCTCTGACTTTTCACATGCAAAACCGGGACTAATAAGCCCTTTTTGGGGCTCATCACCCGATTTGTGCTTTGAGGAGGTTGCCAGCAGGAGTACGCTCACCTGCATTTTTTTGGATAGAAATAATGTAGTACATTGTGATGGACGGTCCCCAAGCATAAGGTCAACTTTCCAAGTTGCAGACCTGTATAGGGGAACCCATACGTATGGGTTCTCAGGGCAGGATTTAGAACCAACATAAGCAGACACCCCTATTCTGCTTTGGAATCTGATTATTCAGAGCGTGCCCCACACTTAACCTCCCAGTTCCCTCTGGCCTTGCTTCTACGATCTGACAGTATGTCCACGGGTCTGCGTTTTCTCCTGGATGATGAGCAACTGCAAGGGCCGGGGTTGTCTCTAAGTTCCTTTTCACCCCTTTGGCACTTTGTCTCACACTTTGCACATGGTAGGAGCTCGTTAGATGTTTCCAAGGGGAATAAAAGGTCTTGGGAGCTTCAGGTTGTCAGGTAATATCTTCATTTTTTTAGCCACTTCTGTGGTTGAATAACTACCCTTGGTATCATCTATGGAAGAACAAGCTAAATTCATTTAAGATTATTGTACAGGGAGCAGTTACATAGTATTTTACTTTATATTTTCTAAGTTTGATATTTTAATAAAGTCATATTAGATCCATATAAAGAAATCAATTTCAAAGATAAGTAAACAGAGGCCTTGAGTCTTACAGTGAATTTTCTTGGGCAATCCAGCTTTCTGCAAATATTATGAAGTTAAATTTAAACACTGAGAACAAGGGCCCTAAAATAAGAGAATTTTTAAGTGATTCTAAGTGGTAACAGCTGTAAGAAAAATTTTAGCAAAGACTTCTTGAGAATGTCCTACTCAAATAAATAAATAAAATTAAAAAAAATAATGCTCTTGGGATAGTGCAAAGATGTGAGAGGATCAATGAGGTTAATGCAGACAAAGAAGATAAAAATGGATTGGGAAGTTTGAAAATGGGAATGGGTATTTTTTTCCTTGGTGAACTGATGACCTTGAACCTAGTACATAAAGGGAGTTTCCACAGTCTGGATTTGACCCAAACCATAGGCTAAAGGAATCTCAGTAAGAATGTCAATCTTTGGAAAATCTTCTGAACACTGTTGTTGAGTTATGACTGTCACTTGAGCAGTGTCTTCAATGGAATAGGGTATAAATTTCCCTGAGGCGAGAGCAAGTGCCTGAAAGCCAACAAAGTTTAGTGATCATCCTTTCAATTTTTGATGCTCAAGTCCTTTGTCAGCTTCAGAACTGGGAAGTCAGCTATTAAATTAGAGATGAAATAATGCCAGAGTCCAGATGTGGCTGCCTCACACTCCTGACTTTAGCCAGATGTGCCAAAGCCATGGCATTCATCATGATTAGAGAGACGGTGGAGGGAAAGCGTCATGACACGCCCAGTGAAATCCTGATTCCTGGCTCCTTCAAGCAGGGAGACTCTCTTCCAAGTACAGCATCGCTGTTCAAGGGACAGGGGATAAGAGTAAAGTCTCTTCAAAAGTCCCGTAAAGGAGGGTTACATTTCATTTTTATGGATAATTGATCCTAGTTCTAGCTTTCAATGGTCTTTATTAGGTCATTTAAAAAACTCTTTGCACAGACACGTTTAAACAGCCACCCCTTGTCCTTCAGTATCCTGACTCCTTGGTGTAGAATATATCCTTGCCAAATTACTTGCTATTTTGGAGAAAAGGCTTCCACTTTCCTCCCAGCTCCCTTCACTCACTTTTGGGCACCAATTGGTGTGGGAACCATGCTGAGGGCACCATGGAAGTATCTTGGATCTCAGCAAGTTTTTAGTGGAACTTGAGGGGCTAACTGAAGCACATGGTGGTGGGGCCTGGGCATGCTGAACTAAAGTCCTATTGCAGCTAAGGGCACTTGGATATCCTGGTCCAAGCATGAGTTGGTCTCCAGGGTGATAAAGAGGTCACAGATAATCACTGTTCCACCTATTAGAATCTATAACTCACCCGTCTTTCACAATTGGAGATGAGACTGCAGATAACCGAAAGGGCATAAAAGCCCAGCAGCTGGTGATTGGACCTGTGTAAAATGAGTGTGTGCTTTCCATCATTTCCTTCACAGCCTGCAGTCCATGTAGCTGTAACTGCTTCTGTTAGGTGTGCGTTGAGCCGTTGTCAGGACATGATTGGGAAGGAGTGAGCTGTGTCCTGTGTGTAGTTTAAGGGTCATATTTATCAGAAATGATTTTACTTAGAGCTATAAACTATCCTCTGAGAATTCTTGGCTCAGACAGTGACTTCTTTGTTGAATGAAATCATAGTGACTACCTGGATTGAAGGTCCCTTCTCATAGGAACTAAAAAGAAATGGACAATGACAGCAAAGAAGGTCACATATAGGTTCTAGGTGTTTTATGCTGACCAAACATGATTGGTCATCCAGACACCATGGTGCTTTTTATTAGGGCAAGAATATTAGGATTATTTGGAAAGAATCTTTGGGACATTCTAATATTTTAATTGATATTCTATTACTGATACAGATGACACATTACTCTCTAAAACAGTTTCTACCAATATTCTTTACCTTGACGGTGTGAAAAAGCATCAATTATGTTATTCTTTTTAAAAGGTTGAGAGGGAGTGAGGGAGTGAGGAAGAGAGAGAGAGAGAGAGACAGAGAGAGAGAGAGAGAGAGAGAGGGGGATGGCAGTAAGAATCATGAACAATTTTAGTTCATTCGGAAGTTGAGGAGACTTATTTTTCAAATGTATTCTCTCAAATACAGATTCATATAACAGATGCTCTCAACTCCCAAGCTCCTTCCATCTGTAATTCAATTTTCTTCTAAACGTGATGCTGACATCTGTTGCAATGCAGATACATACTCGAGTACCTGCAATTTCTCTGTCAAGCTCAGTGTCATGTTAAAGACTGTGAACTTGGCAGGAATGGGGCGCAGACACCACTGCCACAGGGCTGCAGCAGAAAGAAATTTAATGTCTCTTTCATGGTTCTGATGCCTCAGCATCTTTTCCTCTCTGACACTGAGGCTCTCATTAAAGGTTTTCAAGGGAACATAAAGTGTTTGTTTAATAGTGCAATTAATTGTTTAGCTTCACTTCTGGAGCCACCTCAAATCAGCACACGCTAAGACTTAGCAGGGAGGCAGAGATTGCATCTTCAGATTCTTCCTGACAGGGTGGATTAGATAAATTACCATGCAATTCTCTAAAGTATCTTTAAAAAAAAAAGCACTGCATGCTGCATTTTAAGATGCTCATCTTTGTCGTCCTTTCTTTTTGATCCCCTTTCTCCAGCATGACTATAAATCAAGACCATTTGAGGCATGGATTGATTTCTATCATTTCATCATTAATTTATTCATTAAACAAATATTTGTTGAGTCCCTGTTCTGTAATAGTATTGTGCCAGGTGCTGGGGATAGAAAGGTTGATATGACATGGAATTCATCTTTAGGGGATGTCAGTAGTGTTTTGTTTTAGAAAAAGTACTGAGCCTTACCTAGGCTCCAAAAGTTGAATGAAGATAGAGTTTTATGTCAAAAAAAAAAAAGGCTCTGATAAGAATGCAAACCTATTATTGGTTAAATAGTCTCCCTATTATTGGTTAAATAGTCTTCCTTTACCAGGGACATGTTTTTGCTGCTTCATAGGAAGGTGGGAATCTTTGCTATCTACCAACCAATTTGGAGCTGCTGGGAATGGGGAGAATGGAATATTCCTTCTGACCCTGACTGTCTCTCCCACTGCAGAAAATCAGCTGATATCTGAAATATGACACTTGATTATCTATGTTACTTCTTTAGGTAACTTTGCTGGGACTATGATAGAATCATGAAATCATCCAGGCCTTTAAAAATGTTCATCACAACATTTAATCTGGACATCATTTGTAGCAATTACCACCATTTCAGTTTTATACAACACCATGAAAGGGCTCAGCTGGCAGTGTGAGTATGTGGTTTTTGTTATTCTGCACTGACTCAGGGATGAGTTTTGCTGTGACAGCTAGCCCAACTGTGACGGGCAATAGAGGGGCAGAGCATGGGCTGTGGTCATCAAGCTGCTTGAAGGTGGGTCTGGTGTAAAAGATAGATAAAGGGGAGTTTGAATTACTCATCACAATTTCGTGGAAAGTTTTCTTTAAGATATTGCAAACCGTTGGTCCTGGGGTGAACCTGGTTCACTGATGTGTTATATTGGGCCTGCACTATGTTAAAATTTTTATTTTTTTAATTGATTGCCAGCACTTAAAAGCTGGGAGATTTCACATTAAAATTTTTTCCTCTATCTAAAAGTGGGAACATCTAGTAATACGGGACCTATATTGCCACAGGGCAAAGGTAAGCCAGAGCTGAATTCCAATTACCCCCTAGATGGGACATGCAGTTTTCATGTAACTGCAGTCGCCACTGCTCTATATTGTCTTATACTCAGCCTCCATCATTCAGTTACCTTCCTGGTCCCCTGGTCTGTATGAATCAATTAAGCAAAAAGTATTTTCAGTCAATTAGTTAGTCAAGTAAGTTTTTATTGGGACACTTCTCTACTTTTGTGGACCTGTTAGGTACTGTGGGAGGGACAAGAATATTTTTGCCCACAGGAGGAAGAAGATAGTGACATGTGCAACAAATAGAGACAGGCCTGGAAGAGAACACAAGTCCACGTAAGAATTCAGAGAAAAGAATGCCATTGTTGTTCCTGGTCATTAGGCTTCTGAATTTTACTACTTTTATTTCCCAGAAAAAGAGAAAAAACATTTCTTTCATGAAAAGGAAGTTCTTAGGGAGTTAAGAATGTAGATATTTAACACATCTAAGTACATAAAGCATTTGTACTCTAATCACATTTTCAAGAAAATCTTTTTGTTATGCAGAATAAGAACACAAGCCCAGGCCACAAGTATCACACCTGGGAGACTTTAAAAAGAAATGATGCTGAGTAGACTACAGAGATTTGGAAGAAGGTTTAACAATACTAGTTCTATTCTGCAACTCTTTGGGGGCCCCATAAAGAAAGTCTAATGCTTAAAAGAAATTGTAATTGTTGAGAAAGACCTGGGCAATGTTTTAAAATTCTAGGCTTAATTTCATATCGACTGTCTGGCTAGACTTGTGGTCTGGGTTTGCTTTATGAGAGAAGGGCTGGCATAGAAAGCAGGAAAGGTCAAGGTCTTATTGGCATTAAATAAGGAAGAGTTGGCTACTTTCCCTTGGAGCAAACTCATAGTCCATTAGGTCACCGGTTTGCTTATATTTGAAAACAAAGCTAGTCACCACGGCTGGATAAGCCATTGCCAATGGCTAGGACACTGTAGTCTCTCACATGATTTAGTACATATAGGTCTATGCCCAAAATGCCATGCTTCTAGTAGTGAATGTTGAGCAATGAAGACATAGAGCAACTAGAAATACCAGACAGGTCTTTGTTTGAGACTTAATAAAAGTTAACATTAATTGACCACTTACTATGTCTCAGACACAGTGCTACCTGCCGTATATGTTTTATTTAATTCTTATAAGAATATTAGGAGGGTAAGTTTAACTAATATTCTCTTTTACAGATAAAAAACTGAGGCATAGAGAGGTTAAGTAATTTGTCCAAGGTCACCAGCTAGCAAGAGGCACTAACGTGAGCTGAACCGAAGCAGTTGATGCCAGTGTCCATGACTCCTGTTCACTGTGCCTTGATTTTTCACTGTATGGATTATCAGCTCTCAAACTTTTCCTCTTTAGAAGAAACTGGATAATTTAAACACTCTGGTAAACCCATGAGTTTGCAAGAAACCTCCAATACTGAGCAAAGGACTCCAGTCATTTTCTTTGTTCCCAATTCTGTACTTCTAGCCACTGCTAGAGAAAATCACAAAATCAGGGCCAACAGTTTCACTCTAAAGATCATATAAGCTCAGAAAGGGCCTCTAGAGCTGCTGAGCAATACTTGCATTCAAAGAGTCCAAGACAACAACTATTTCAGACATGCCATTGTCTTAAACTCTAGCTCCAACTCAACCCCTCTAGGATTAAAGACCTTGGCAGATGAACTTTGTTTTAATTTGTTGAGGAAATGAGACCCATCTAACACGAGCCAGTCTTTCCTTTCTTGCTAGAATGTCCTTGTATGTGCACTTCATCTTTACTTTTTCCCTCTTATCTCAGGGGAAGAAAAGATCTCATCTTTCTTTTTAAAGACAAACCCTACACTTGTGCCTGCCAACCCCTTCCCTCTGCTGCTTCCAGGCCCAGGTTATCGAGTTACTTTTGGTGTTTCTTGTACCTGGAATCTTTCTCCCTTCTCCATGGACCCTTCCAGGGAGGCATGAAAGTAGAGTTGCCTAGACTAGGAGCACAGCCTCTGGATTAGCCTGCCTTACCACATGCCCGTTTATTAAATGCTACCTCTTAACCTCCTGTGTGATCTTGGGCAATTTACTAACTTCCTGAGGACTTCAATGAAAATGATTATGAAGCCTCATATGGTTGGGAGGATTAAATGAGATAACCTATGTTGAGAAACACCCAGATCCTTGATCTATTTTCCCTTGGTGCCAACTTTCCTCACTCCCTCTCCTAAGTAGCTTACATTCATGATCATCATTTTAGCCACTCTCTAGTCAATGATGCACCTGCCTGCCCAGTGTCCTTTGGTTTTAACCAACTGTCTTCCCCACACTGAAGTGGGCTGCTGGACCATAGCTAGTGAATATTTATCATCTTCATCCCTCACTGAATCATCCTCACAGCCCTACATTCTTTCCAGCCTTCCAGGAAGAGCCAATGGCTTTTTCTCCCATTTCAGAGATTCTCATTATTATCACCTTAAAAAAAATCATTTTCTTGTCAGCTCTTGTTATGCTCTCAATTTCCTTTTTTTAAAAATAAAATAATTTTTTTTTGACAAAGTCTTGCACTGGTGCTCAGACTGGAGTGCCGTGTTGCAGTCATAGCTCACTGTAACCTAGAACTCTGGGGCTCAAGCAACCCTCCTATCTCAGCCTCCTGAGTAGCTGGGACTACAAGTGTATGCCACCATGCCTTGCTGGTTCTTAATTTTTCTGTAGAGAGGAGGTCTCACTATGTTGCCCAGGCTGGTCTCTAACTCCTGGCTTCAAGTGATCCCCCCATCTCCACCTCCCAAAGTGCTGGGATTACACGGGTGGGCCACCATGCCCAGCTTCTCAATTTTATTTGAGACAGAAATCTCGGTAATACTAAAGAATCTTGATAGAACAGCAGAGTGGCTATGAAGTCAAACTACCTGGGTTCAAATCTCAGCATTTCCTCTTGCTATCTGTGTAACCTTGGGCAAGTTTTTTAATCTCTCTGCCTTAGTTTCTCATCCACCTTGTAGGGTTTTCATGATGTTTAAAATGAGTTACTATGAGTGAAGTGCTTGGAGAATGCGTGTTATGATTAAGCACTCAGGTAAGTGTTATTAATACTTACTTTTTGGGCCGGGTGCGGTGGCTCACGCCAGTAATCCGATTGCTCTGGGAGGCTGAGGCAGGTCAATCACTTGAGGTCAGGAGTTTGAAAACAGCCTAATCAACATGGTGAAACCCCGTCTCTACCAAAAATACAAAAATTAGCCAGGTGTGGTGGCTTACATTTGTAATCCCAGCTACTCAAGAGGCTGAGACAGGAGAATCGCTTGAACCTGGGAGGTGGAGTTTGCAGTGAGCTAAGATGGCTCCACTACACTCCAGGCTGGGTGACAGAGCAAGACTCGGTCTCAAAAAGAAAAAACAAAACAAAACAAAACAAAAAAACCATCAACTTATTTTTTGGTTGGTGTAAAAGTCATTGTGGTTTTGCCATTACTTTAAATGGCAAAAACCGCAATGACTTTTGCACCAACCTAATATTATGAGAATTAGCATTTGGGTTCTTCTCTCTTGTATCTGTAGATAAAACAAATGCACAGAATTACATCACATCATCACCATCAGAGTCACAGGAATCTGGAACCAGAAATCTGATTTTCAGGAGTCACAGTGACAGGAAGCAGAGATCATCATCAAGAGACCCTGTTTAAGAGATAAGAAAGTACCAGGTTATCATAGTTTAAAATTCAGAATAATAAAGGGCTAGAGCATTGCCTTATTCCCAGCCGCTATGGCTCGGGAATCTTGATGAAGTCCAAGGATTCTTCCTGGTTTGATTTAAAGTCCTCCTGCTATTCCAATTTGATTGGTTCTGTTATAACTCTGATTAGGACAATCTGCCTCTTAAGGGAGATTGGGAGCACAAGCGCAGAGCATACTAAAGCTTAAAGGGCCCTTGGGGATCCCTAGTCTAACTCCTCAGTTTCTGCAGGTGAGGAGAGCACACCGTCATCTTGTGAGCTGGTCCCCCCATTCAGAAAACAGCAGGTTTCTAGACCCCCACTGGGGGCTAGGTTCAGAGAGACATGTGCTGTGTGTGGACTCATTTTGTGCATTTCCTGTCTGGTTATTGTGCTTTCCATCGAAGTTACTGACTCGGCTTAACCATGCTTAGTTTGCAAGACCTTTCAGGGAAATCAGAGCATGAGATGCAGTCACTGCAAGTTGTCACACATGATTAAGGAGCTGGAGGGAGTGATTTATGTGGAAAGATTAAAATCCCTAAATATGTATGGCCGGGTGCTGCCCTGATTGAATGGGGCGTCAGGTATTTGAAAACTGCCCTGTGGGAAGGCTGCAGTCTTTTAATAGGAGTAATACTGCTTTAAAAGATTAGAAGAGTGATACAGGTGGCAGAAATGGGATGATATTAAAACAGGCTACTACTTCCCAGTGGAGCTGAAAAGACCAGATTCAGACAGGAAATTCTGCAACAGCATTTATTTTTACACTAGCTTTCTCTGGAATTTTCTACATCCAGAACTTGATGTTCTGTGCAATCAGATACACAGTTCTCAGTAGCCCTTTGGAGTTCCCCACTTCTGGGGGTCCCTTTGCTTCCTCTCATTATCCCTCCACTAAGATCCCCCACTATCTTTCTCCAGCTGCCCTTTGCTCCCCAAGCCCTCACTGTCCTCCTCCCATCACTCCCAATCAAATGGAGCCCTGATTTCAAGTGAGGACTGTGAAGCTAGAGGTAATTGGATAGATAAACTATTTCCTATTAAACTACCTGCCAGATAATTAATGAATCTCCAAGTAACACTGACCAAACCCTTAGTGAGTGTTGAGACATTTCAACATTGTGTGTGTGTTTGTATTTGAGTGTATAAAGAGAGGAGGGCATGGACATGGGATCGTTGACCAATCATAGTGGTTCGAGGAAGACTTCTTAAGGAAGTAATATTTAAGGCAAAAGCTGAAGGATGAGCCCGAGTTAGCAGGTCAGGAGGATGGGAGGGAAGGGGTATATCTTAGTCAGCTCTGATTGCTATAGCAATATACCACAGACTGTGTGACTTAAACAACAGAAATTGATGGCTTACAGTTCTGGGGTCTAAGAAGTCCAAGATCAAAGTGTCAGCTGATTGGATTCCTCCGGAGGGCCCTCTTCCTGGCTTGCAAATGGCTGCCTTCTCACGGTGGCCTCACGTGGTAGAGACAGAGAGAGAGAGTGCTAGTATTTTTTCCACTTCCTATAAGGGCACTCAGCCCATTATGGGGGCTCCACCTTCATGGCTTCATCTAAATCTAATTACCTCCCAAAGACCCAGCCTCCTAACCTTGGCCTGTCTGGGCTTTCTGCATGCGTTCTTCACTAAGCTTAATCATTTCTAGCTTTTGATTTAAATTGAGAGACAGGGGATTCTTCCTCTCATGTGAACACTTAGAGGTCATTGTAGGGTTATTATTTGGTCTAATTTCAAGATTTATGTGTCTCAGGGAATAGGGAGGCCTGAGGAGAGGAAAAGAGACGGGGGAGGGGCTGGTCGGTGGAGCAGTCAGAACACACACAATATTTATTGATTAAGTTTGCTGTCTTATAAGGCATGGTTTGTAGCACCCCAAAACAATTGCAATAGATAACAACAAAGATCACTGATCACCTATCTCATAACAGATATAATAATCATGAAAAAGTTTGCAATATTGTGAAAATTACCAAAATGTGACACAGAGACAAGAGGTGAGCACATGCTATTGGAAAAATGGTGCTGATAGACTTGCTCGATTGTAAGGTTGCCACAAACTTTCAATTTATATAAAACAATTATCTGCGAAGCATAATCCTCTTTTCTGAAGAGCAAGTCAAAGATAATGTGCCTGTGCTTCTTCCCTGCTCCAGTGACCTTGCTATGGCACTCTAAGCTCTTCATAGTCTTCTCCTGACCCTATCCTAATGAACCTTGTCTACATTCTTGCGGCTGCCAGATCCTACCATATCCTTGAATAGCCTTTTCTTCGGTTCCTGGATTATCCCCCAACTGTTTGGGTTTCTCTGCCGCGCTCTTGACTTTTCTGCTAAGACCCATCTTAAAAATCACCTTCTCTAGGAAGCCCTCTATGATGGAGTTAAAGGCATCTTTCTTTACAGCACTGTAGTTTCTTGTGTTTATCTCTATTTAGCACATATTTCAGTATTATACTTACTTGAGTTTATGTTGCCCCTTCTAGTTGCTCAGGAGTGTGTATGTTTAGCTAATATTTGTTGAGTGAATGAACAAATGGTAGCATATATATGCATATAGCATGTATATATAAGCACTCATGGA
Source organism: Homo sapiens (assembly GCF_000001405.40). NCBI lineage: Eukaryota > Metazoa > Chordata > Mammalia > Primates > Hominidae > Homo > Homo sapiens. Next base: position 207,410,894 of record NC_000002.12, on the reverse strand, counting down.
TTAACAATAAACCAGAGATTAGATAGTATAATATTTTGCAATTTCTATTTTGTTGAGCAATTGAAAAAACATGCATACATTAAATCACTCAGCTCCATGTAGTATAACTGATTTTTTAATGTGTAAATTGCAGGTGTCTCTCCTTCAAAATAATTTCCTTAAATGTGATAAAATTTATTTTTTGGCTCATATCTGTTAGGTTATTATAGTGTTTTAAAATATCTGGCTTAGATCACTTGAAATTCTTAAATTATACTTTAGGCAGCTATTAGCATAATAATATTATCTATTAATAGCAAATTCTAGAGGAGTAAAGTTACCTGCAATTTACATGAATCAGAAAACTTGGTGTGATTAGTAGCATCACAACAAACCCAGCATGACTATTGTAATGACTATGCTTCCCGTCACTGTAATTATCTCCTAAAACTTTTATTGGGAACATTGATTACCATTTGCTTGTCATTCACTTTGAGAAAATGGAATGATGAACAAGTGCCAGGAGTGAAATGGTAGCTGTGCAGGGCCTGTGGAAAATACACGTGGGATGGTTTCAAAGCAAACCACTTGTATTGGCCAGGAGAACTGTGTGACCTTTCTGGGTTCAAAATAAATGATGGATTCCATATTTCTTTCAATTACCAAGAATTGCAGTGAAGATGAATGGGAGATGGTGATTTTCTAAGGGAAAATGTGGAATGATAATTTGTGTTTGAAGAATATTAGGCAAAAAATGAAATGTCTCACTCCTCCTCCCCCCAAGCTGTGCATCATTTCTATTCCCACGGTTGAAGGAAGGCAGGGATTCTGTTTCCTCATTATTGCTTGAATCTGTTCACTTCTCGCCATTGCCATGCCAAGTCTGTAAGCCAGGCCACCACCATCTCTCCCCTGGGCTACTTCAACTGCCTTAAAACTGGTCACTCCACCACTAACTGTACTTCTCCTAAATTCATTCTCTCTACTGCAGCCAAAGTGCTTTTTCTAAACAGCAGATCGGATCATGTCACGCCTCTGCTTAAAGGACTTCTCTGACTCCCCAAATCTTTATCATGGCTAAGTATGGGTCAGATAGCAAAAGGACTTGTAGGCCATGATCAGACTGTCCTGAAATTGCCTCTTGACTTGTCTATTTCTGCCACTGTTCTGTGAATTCGATGAGAGCATAGACTACATCTGTCCTGCTCATCTTGTATCCTTAGCACTTAACGTGGAGAGCTGACAGCCAGAGAGGCTGAGAGAGAGAGCCATTCTATTTTCCAATTCTGCTTTTTGCTGCCTTTAATTCAGGTCAAAGGCAAAAAGTGTTCATTTGGCCTCAGTATCTATTTCTAGCCATTGTTCTAAACTTTCCCTAGACAGGTATATTTTCTTTCTGGAAGATGTCTCAAAGAACAGAATTAAAAGTGAGATCTGGCTCTAATCAGGTTGTTCTGAGTACAGAAAATGTTAAGGGTGGGTTAAGATGTTTAGTCTGTTTCTCCCAGAGCCAAGTGGGAAGAACTAGAGGCTGATAGAGCAGAATTGCAGGGCACATGTGAGTGTGTGTGTGTGTGTGTGTGTGTGTGTGTGTGTGTGTGTGTGTGTCTGGGAGTACTGTGCTGCCAAACACTACATGGGTTAGCTTTGTTAGAAATTTAATGCCTGTGAGTTCTTCTGATAAAGCAGTTGCTGAGCTCTGCCTTTTCCTCTCTCTCTCTTTTTTTTTTTTGCCAGAGAATGACCTATGTATGTCAAAATGCTTTGCTTCAGAAAGGGAAAAGTAGCAAATCCTAGAAGGTTACTCTTAGATGTTTGATCACTACTGTAGCCCAGATTTTAGGACTAAAAAAGATTTTTTAGTCTTTTTGAATGTGGCTGTATGTGTGTGTGTATGTGATTGGCATTGGATCAAACCAATTTAGGAGAATGTAGCTTATATCAAATACATGAAATTATAGAGTATGACAAAGGTAACCCAGAATATGCAGTTACAGGTAGGGTGTAGACATCTTGAGTCTTTTTCCATTTATTAAAATAATTTTCTGTAATATATTCTTTTATTTTTTTCAGTGTCCCCACATCTCCCATTGAGACTTCTTGGAAAGGTCGGTAAACAAACTTTGCTGGCTCCTTTAGGTCTATCACAGACTGAAAGATAATTGTGGAAATGTTCTCCTGCCATTGCTTAACCCTGTATAATGCCACAGGCACCTGGCACAGCTTAGCTCCCTTTGTCTAACAAATGGGTAATATGTTTAAACAAGCCTGGTGGATTCCTGCCAGGATGCAGACAGACTAAGAAGCAAAATAAATCTAAAAGATGCCTCTTTCACTTCCTCCCTGCCCTTACCAATGCTGGGTCCATATAGTCAAATGCAGAGGGTTAGCAAACACCAAGCAAGTTGGCTTACTGATAAACCACAAAACAAACACGTATCATTTGCGTTTCTTCTTGAAAATAATCAGGTGTTGAGAGCCAGCTTTGAGTTGCCGGAAAGAGCTTCAGTGATTGTTTGTCACCCAAACAACTGCTTTCTTCTCCAGTTTTCCATTTTGGGCTTTCGGTTTTGTCTTGCTCCTTTAAGTAAAACAGCTGACTTGACTTGTCTGTGACTTCTGGGAATAATTTAATTCTTACACAGGGGCTAAGTAACTGGAGAGCAGCATGGGAGAATCCGCTCTGATGCACCCCGCACTCACTCACACACAGACAGACATTCAGGCTCATCTTCCCTGCTTTCTGTGGCTTGGAGAGAGAGATTTGGGGAATCTGTGTGCGTTATTTGCCTTTTTAATATTCCGACCTATCTTAGAGGTCACAGTTACAAATCTCAACAAAGGGTGTGGAAAAGTAAAGTTTTGTATGATCAAGAGCCATGTGGATTTTTAAAGTTGAGAAACAGTGTGTTAGAGAGAAGTGGGGTCTTTCAGTGTTCTAGCGAGCCTGTGCTTGGTTGAGGAGGAAAAACTGTCTTGGTTGAGGAGGAAAAACTGTGTCTTGGTTGAGGAGGAAGTCAGAAGGGGAAAGAAACTAACATTAATCGAACACTCAGTTAATGTCAGTACACGTTAAGTGAATTAGCATATTTAATTCTCACAATAAAGCTGCTATCTCTTTTACAGATGAGGAAGAGGAACATTAGAGACAATTAATAATTTGCTCAAGTTCACCTACATGATAAGAGACAGGACTTCAACCTAGATTTCTCTGATGTCTAATAACACTCCAGTTACATCATTTTAAATAATTGGGGAAAAAAGCTTAGCATCCTATACTTTTGCTGTGAATCGTGGAGTTGCTCCTCCAAACCTTATCACAGCAGTGTCTTTTTCTCTTGCTGTCTGGCCTGCTTTCAAAAGCCTCATCCCTGCTTGGTAGCTTCCGGGAATGTTCTTTGCATACTGCAGGTCTTGCTTCCTTTTGGAGAGGTGTGTGTGGCACCACCACCCGTGCCTTTATACAGAATTAGGAAGGAGCTCTGTATTTGTTTTCGTTTTTTTTTTTTTTTTTTTTTTTAATTACAATTGAAAGGGTAAGGATGTGGGATGATTTTTCAAGCTCACCATACTTTTCCATCCATTCAGAATTAGCTTGTATATTTATTTACATCAAGTCATTAACCAACATGCGTTTATGGAGGCCTCTTCATGGGCAAACCATAAATACTTGGGAGATACAGTCTTATGAGCTGATTTGTGTCGCCTGCAACTATATATGTTGAAGTCCTAACCCCTGTACCTCAGAATGTGACTGTACTGGAGTTAGGGCCTTTAAAGAAGTAATTAAGGTAAAATGAAGTCATATGAGTGGACCCTAATCCAGCGTGACTGGGGTCCTTATTAAAAGAGAATATCAGGATACAGATAGTTGTGCACAGAGAGAGGAAAGATCATGTGAGGACACAGAGAGAAGGTGGTCATCTACAAGGCAAGGAGAGAGGCCCCAGAAGAAACCAAACATGCTGACACTTCAGTCTTGGCCTTCTAGCCTCTAAAACTGTGAGAAAATAAATTCCTATTGTTTAAGCCACTCAGTCTGTGGTGTTCTATAATGGCAGCCTGAGCACATGAATACATTGATGAAGACTCTAGCTATAGTTAGGATTCATGAGTTTAACAATCTAGTTGGGGAGATAGATGAGATATATGTCTATCTCTATATCTCTTTACATATCTATACCTATATCTGCATATATGTCATTGACTATAAAATTAAGGCAGTAAGAAAGCTTTTCAGGATTTCAAACCCTTGCTAATTGAGAAAGTGGGTAAATACAACCAGAAGGTTTTTTTAGAAGCCTTGAAATTGAACACGTTCTTTTTAGACCTGATAAGACTAGCTTTTTAGCTTTCATGAGGACAGATAAGAGTTATTCTTTTAAAAACTCCTCTAGTGTACACCAGTAGGCTGAACAGGAAGGAGTTGGCGAGGCTTTTTCTGATGTTTATTGGAGCAGCTGTAGAAATAATTTTGTACCTTGGATTCTGTGATTTCTTTCCATTATGAATAAATTTGGAATTTATTTTAAGGCTTTCAAAACTGGGAGTGCTGTGGTCTCAGGACTATTTTTTTATTAAAACATTGTCTTCTTCACTGTTGGCTGCATTTCAGGTGCTGGCTGAATCCTGCACAGTGGGCAGGATTCACATTCAGCTTCAGAAATGCCGTTGAATGATAATAATTACAATAATTATATATACACACACACACACACACACACACACACACACACACACGATGGAATTGGGTTCCAATTCTATTTGGCTGAACTTGATACTTGACTTTACTGACTCAATTTTGGCATCTTTAAAATGAAGAAGGTTGATAAGTACCCTGTTATCTCTGAAGACTGGGCACAATCATGCTGGAAAAGGAATTTGAACCCTTGAATAAAGATGTGTTGAACACAAGTTGTTGTTTATTTATATCAATGTATTTTATAGGTTGACACTGTGGACCGGACGAAAATCTTCCATATACTTTTGGCTCAAGACTGACTTCCAAAGAACCAAATAAACATGGTAGACAAGAAGGCCAGTAAGATCTAGTGCTTCAGAAGTGGCATGAACACCTTGCTATCTCCATGAACTAGAATTGCCACCTTTTTCTCACAGAATCTTATTCATGAAAGACAAATTGCATTTTTTGCTCCTATTCCATAGCCAAATATCCTCTTTCCTGCTCCCTTCCCGCTCTCTTCTTCCCGCAAGCTTGTTAATTCTCCATTTCAATGGGAGCTTCCAAGAGAAATGGAAGGAATCATTCAGCAAGGAGAAAACATTGACCATCTAGAGTCTTCGATATTGATTTAGAATCCACTTTAATATGGTCTAAATTATGGCTAAACAATAAACAAGGAAAAGATGGTGGAGAGAACAAGAAGAGTGGCTAATCAAGTAAAGCCCATGGAAACAAACCAGAACCTAAGTGCACGCTGAGCTCAGGGCCTGAGGGACAGATAAAACACTTCAAACTAGTTTTTGGCCTCCAGGAGTTTAGAGTCTGTTGGGGAGAAAAGGCATGCTAACAGTTTATGAGACTCAATGAGATGATTTATGGCTGTCACCAGAGCATCACTTCCCTTTCATCTCCAGAATATGGAGCACTTTTTTTTTCTGATTCCCAAGGGGACCTGGAAACTCATATGTAGTCTCTCTTCATGTCTAGGAAAGCATGCTGGTAACAGAGAGACACCTCGTCTGGGTGAAGGGAACCACAGTTGTGCTCATCTCCTGTGGATGCTACCTCTAACAGCATGACCTATTGCAGTGGACTCTTCTCCTGTTCAATTCACAGCCATCTCCAGCACCAGAAATGAGTCCTCCAGTGCTTGGCCATGATGGGTTCAGATTCTTGATCTGAGTCCTGACCTCTTTTCTGTCCCTGCTCCTCCAAAAGGAAATCTCATAGATCTTTAGAGCACACAATTTATTACATCCCTGTTCCCAGAAAGGGATGATGATGATTACTATTTTGAGAACTATTTTAAGGTGACTTTCTCTCACATCTTTTGTTAAAAGGGGAAGAAAAAACAACTAAAGAAAGCAAACTAAAACACAGGGATGTCAATTATCAAGTAAGCAAAGAAATATGTGCTGAGCAGCAACAAAATGATAAACATTTTCATAATCCTGATTTTATTTAATTTCCACAATAAAGCCTACAAAGTAGCTATTCTTCTTCTCGTTTTATTGAACAGAAAGCTGAGGCTCACAGGAGTTAAATATCTTGCTCAAAGTTACACATTTAATACAGCCAATATTGCATCTATTTTCTGTTTCAGGACAGTGCTCCTTCTAACGCACCACAGCTGCTCCTGAATCAAAAGAGGACGCACTTCCATTGGGTTGGAATGTTCCGCATGCAGGTGTATGAGGAAGAGTTATTTGAACTGGTTCTTGACTGAATTATAGGGTTTGGCTAGGTGGTGGAAGAAGACAAGTTTATACCTGGACTGGAGGGATTAGCATGACTGAAGCCACAGGTTGGAAAATGCAAGGTGTATTTGGACGACTGTGTGTAGACTGTTTTGGCTGGAGAAGAGGGCTCATTCCTGTTACAAAATGGCACCCAGCCAAAGAGAGGAGAACAATGAAGATTGCTTCTGCCATTGTTGCGATTTGGGATTTTCAGGCACCTCTGTTAAATGAGGACAAACAGTGCTGACCTTCTCTTGCAGGCAGGCTGGGATTCTGAATCATCAGTGACTGGGAAGTGGTGTGCTCCATTATCTGAGGCATGATATTATATCCACCAGCTATTTCGTTCATGCAGTTGGATTTCTGCTCCATTGAAATGATTCTCTCAGTGTGAGCTCAATAACAAGGGGCATGATGGTAGTTTTTCTGTGTTGCCAGAAACTAGGTCTGAATTTCTTCCAGCGCCTCCTGCTCTAAAGCACCTCTTATGATTAATTAACCTTTTGTGGAGTAACTAGGACATCTGTGTGGGATGAGATGTACTTTGGTCAGACTTCAGTTTTTAGTTGTTCAGCAAGAGGATAATTAATTATAAGAGCTGAATCTGAACAGAAGATTGTTGGAGGAAGTCCAAATGAAGCAAAACATCTAATTATCAATGAACAGGAAGTTTTTTTTTAGTTGTCGTTATTGTGGGAGTGAATAAAATACTTAATGCAATATAAATAAGAGGTAGTAACAACTTAAGATGCCTGCTTTGAGTGTACACTTCATGTAAAAAATTTGGGATATTTGTTTTTTGGAGACAAAGTACAATGAACTAACCATAACTAGAAAAATTGGCAACAGAGGCCAAGTTAGTGTCTAAAATAAATATTGCCCTTTGAGATAATTGTGTTGCCTTTAACAAAGGTATATCTAGAACATCTGGCTATTGCCACTGACAAATAACAATAAACATCTCTTGTCTAGAAAAGAATGTTAGATTAAGATGGAAAGAAATAAAATACAGGAGGCTAAAAACAGTGCAAAATCAGTTTCTTTAACATAAATGGTTACTGTGATAGAGATGGTTTCCCAATGCTTAGCTTTCTGAAGTGAATCACCTCCAGTATTTAGCCCACATCTCCATAATACAAATTTTCTACAAAACCCCGGAGGCTGACACAGTCAGAGATTCTAGCTTGACTTGCTTGACTATGGTGACAGGGTAGGTTAGTGGATAGTGTGAGAAATTTCCACTGTCAAACAAAATGATCCCACATTCACTGATAACTTCTTCAGAAGTACTGCACTATCTATTTAATGAGAGAATATGATTGCAGCTCATGTTTATAGATATCAACACACTTCCATTGGCATGATGATGGTATGTCCTTTCTTGCTTATTTCTCCTGCCGCTAATGCAATAGCTTTCATTCCTTTCTTTCTCTCTACCTCATGGCTTCTGCTGTCAGTACTTACAGCCTATTCTTTGTGTTTATCTCAGTGTCTGTAGCTTTCTTTTGTCTGCTGCTGTTGGGAGACAATTCTCCTTGGGTCTCTTGCATTTCTGCACATCTCGTGATCAGGGGCATTGACAACTTTTGTTTTGGACTATCTTTTCCTGGGTGTTTACATGGCAAATGGACTCTCCAGAGTGAAAGATGGCTTTACTTTTTGTTTCGTATAATAAAGATAATATCTCCTTTGGGGCAAAGAAAGGGCAAGTTTGCTAGCAATTCATTATAAAAGATTTAGGTTTTCTAGGTTCAAGGTTCCTTGAGTGTGATGCAAATCTACTATTAGGCTACTCTGGCATTGCTATAAAGAAATGCCTGAGACTGGGTAATTTATAAAGAAAAGAGGCTTAATTGGCTCACAGTTCTGTAGGTACTATAGGAAGCATGGCACCGGCATCTGCTTGGCTTCTGGTGAGGCCTTAAGAAGCTTACAATCATGGCAGAAGGCAAAGGGGGAGCCCATGTATCACATGGTGAGAGTGGGAGCAAGAGAGAGAGAGTGCAGGGGAGGTGCCACATGCTGTTAAACAGCAAGATCTCATGAGAACTCTCTCACTGTCATGAGGACAGCACCAAGTCATGAGGGATCTGCCCTGCATGACCCAAATACCTCCCATCAGGCCCCATCTCCACAAGGGGGATTACATCTCAACATGAGATTTGGAGGGGACATCCAAACTATATCACCTACTACATTGCATGGCTGTTCCGTGTCACACCTTTGGAAGTTAGAGGGGTGGGGGACAAGAGAAATTGAGGCAAATATGAAGTTTATGCTCGCTGAGCTGTGAGTAATAAGTCCTTTGTCTCTTACACAGATGTCTTTTTTTTTTTGCCAGCATCCATTAAAGCATGGCCAACTAAATTGTTAGCTTGCAAGGAAGGTTAGACCTCTTCACTATTTTTGACTTGTATATCTTATAGTCCAACACCCTATAGGATCTGACAGAATCAGGTAGTCACCATCCAGAATAGAAAATCCCGGTAGCACTAAGCTCTTTTGTTAGGCCATTTTGTAGGCCAGTCCATAGATTGCTGCCTTTGGATCAGGTCCCTTTCTTGGACCAGTCATCTGTGGTTAAGTTTTTAAGGTCACTGTGTTCAAATATTTGGGCCCATGAATGAGGAACTCATTAAAAGGGGGCTGTAGGAAAACGCTTTGAGGTTATCAGAAGCAGACATGGAAACTTTTGCCTTTCGTAGACTTTCCTGTGCTTTCTGAGATTTTTGCCAACAGCAATGAGTGTATGTCTTCTGCAGCTCATCAGTTTTCTGCCTAAACAGGAAGCCTTTGATAAATCTTCTGTTTCTAATACTGAATATCTGAATGAATGCTTGGGTTTGCTGTCATGCTTCTCTTAGCATTTATTTCTCCATTGGAAGAGCAGCCATGAGGTTGACTGGGACTACCCCCACTGCCAGGTTCAGGTATGTACCCTCATTGGCTTAAATCAATCAGCAAAATTCCTTCCCTTCTGTCATGGTGATTGATGCAGAGGTAAATGTCAATGGCTTATGACTTTAGGCCATTGCTTGGGAAGCTTGATTTTTCTGAATAATCTGGTATGGGAATGTGAACCCTAAACTATAGCTTCCATTTTGTCCTCAAGAGGGAAGCTAGCCTAAAGTTAAAGGTGGCACTTAAAAAAGGAAGATCCAAGAGAATATAAAAAATTGGAGCCAGAGCCCTCATCAAACTGTCTCATGATTTCTGGGCTTTCAGTTGTATCAGCCAATAAATTAACCTTATTGTTAATGCCAGTTTGAGTTGGGTTTTCTATTACTTACCACCAAAATCATCCTGAGTGATACATTTACCAGTTTTCTTAACATCTGAGACCACTCATGGGTTAATGTTCTGAGATTATAGAGGCGATGCAGACATCTTTCTGAAGTTAGGTCAGTGCACTTTGAGCCTGGAGCATGTCACTGCTCTTTTTCCAGCACCTGGCACATAGTATGTGCTCCTACACATTTGTGGGATGAATCAATAAATACTGCCTGTTGCTCCCCAGAATTTGTCTGTTATGTTCCTGACTTTGGTCACTCTTCAAAAATTTCTGCTTTTTCCACCAACAGTGGCTACCCATGTCATCTCGGGCTCCACGTTCTCCAGGGATGGGTTTTCACACTGGTGATTCAGCAGCCAAGCCATACTACTTAATCAAAAGTTATAATTTTGGTTGGAACTGTTCAGTGGTTCATTATAATCTACAGCTCACATCTTATGGTAAAAGGACAGAGTAACTAGTTTTGCTTCAGTACAATGTTATTTTCTTTTTTTTTTTTTAACTTTCTTTTCTTAAAATTAATTTTAATTTTAATTTTAAGTTCTGGGGTACACGTGCAGGATGTGCTGGCTTGTTACATAGGTAAACGTGTGCAATGGTGGTTTGCTGCACCTATCAACCCATCATCTAGGTATTAAGCCTGGCATATATTGGCTATTTTTCCCAATGCTCTCCCTCCCCCAACCCCACCCCATGACAGGCCCCAGTGTGTGCCATTTCCTTCCCTGTGTCCATGTGTTCTCATTGTGCAGCTCTCACTTATAAGTGAGAACATGTGGTGTTTGGTTTTCTGTTCCTGAGTTAGCTTGCTGAGGATAATGCCTTCCAGCTCCAACCATGTCCCTGCAGAGGACATGATCTCATTCCTTTTTATGGCTGCATAGTATTCCATGGTATATATGAGGTACAATGTTATTTTCTTCAGAAAATAATCAGACCTAGAGTTTGTTTTAGATCTCAGCACTGCCCAATTTAAGTACAAAATAATCATAATAATTATAATTACAACATCTTTATAAGTGAAAACTTCCAGATAAAAAAAATCAAGACACAGATGACCTTTCCCAATGTACAGGTCACTCTTCCATCTGTTTTAAGTGGAAGGACTAACAGGAATCACACCCAAAGTGAGAGAATAATTAGAATAACAAGGTTAGAACCGCCTTGCTAACCATGGCCAAGGCTGTGCTAAAATGACGAAGAATCCTGGTCAGACCACAAGTTAATACTCCCAGCTCGCCAGGCCACATGCTTGCTGATACTAAGATTTTCTAGTGGATGTGGGAAACAGTTGAAATTGGAATATCTGGGTCAGCACAACTTAATGTGCACTATGACAAAAATCTAACTTGAGCAGCCTTCCCCAATGTTCACAGTTCTTTTCCTCTCGTTCAAATGTTTTGGTACACCCCAAACATGAGACAATTTCTCCTAATGTCCTCTATGAACAGGAAATTCACAAGTGGCAAAAAGTAGGTAGCAGAGTTATTATGCAAAGACCAACCATCTAGGAATAAGGCAGAAAGGCTTCTCTCCTCAAATGGGGCACTATTTATACCACTCAACTCACCCATGCACCTCGAAATGTCTTTCTGGAGTCTTAAAGGTAGTTCACAGAGAAACCCAGATTAAGTGATTGACTTAAAGCTAAGCTAGACTTTAAAGCCATATGTCACTGGGGAGAACAAAGGGCCTGCTGACGTTTCAAACAAAGGGTCTCTGTTCTGCTCAAATTTGAATTCAAAGAAATCCTTTTGCCAACTAAATTCTCCATAGTTTCTCTAATTGGGTTGCATTTCAGTCTTTATTATTTCATTAACATAGCTTTAGGTACACTTATTTTCCTAAAGTCCAGGTTATTTCTAATTCATTCTATATTTAGAAGTCCAAAATATCACCATCAGTTTCCCTGAAGCCTCCTGACTGGTTAAGATTATCAACGGACTCTTCTGGCTAGAAAAAAAAAATCCTGTTAACCATTTCCCCATGGTATCCTTCCCAGCAGTAAAATTCACAGCAAAGCTACTTGATTTCTTAGGCACTCATTTTTCTTCTATAATGAGACTGCCGACAGATGCCCATATAATGGAAATCTCCATTGACTACCATGGATCATCTCTATCCGAACTTTGTAATCTGCATCAAGAAAGAATTTTCAATATCGTCTGTCTTTCTGGATGGTCTATTTCCCCTTTTGTCATTTATACAAATCCTCTTCACCATGCTTCCACCTTCATGTGTGTGCATTTCTGTACAGCAGTATATCCTCTTACCCTTATTATAGCAGTTGATTGTATGTACTTTGCTTTATTATTCTTTTCTCTAGTGTTTTTTTTTTTCTTCTAAGCATGGATTTATTTCATCCAGCTGGTTCCAAGAATAGGAGCCATATCTTCTAATTCTTCTTATGCCTCTAAATACCACTTAGCACATTGAAGATGCCTAATAAATATGCTTCCCTAGTAATATCAGCTTTCTGGTCTTAGTTTCATTTGCATTAATTTGCTTTCCCTTAAAAAATTCCTCAAATTTATTTGTTAAATTCATATGTAAATTGTTTAGAAAACATTCTCAGGCCTCTTATAAACTCATTTCACCTAGTTACAGATACACTGTAGCTGGATTTTGACTGGAAAGGAATTTTGGATGTATGAGCTGTGACATGACTGTATTCCTATCTTAACTCAGCATCTCACCGGTGGCTTTTCATTACTACAACTCTAACTGGTTTATTGAGGGTGGAGTTTAACTAAGAAACAACTTTTATCCTTCTTCCACGTCTGGCCTTAATTATTATACTTGATCAGATTTCCTTTCTTTGCCTCCTTGGTGACAACTTGCACAAACCGCACAGTCTTTCAGTCAATTTCAACGTGTTAACAAACAGGCTCATTTTCAAGTATAAAATAAAATAGCACAACCCAATCTAATGTAAAAACTTAAATCTTCCATTTAATGGAAGCTCCTTCCCCAACACACCCCCTTCTCCACTTTGTCCCAGGGTCTCTCAGAGGAAATGTGACTCCTCAGGGCTGTAGACAGGCAACGAAGCATGGCCTGATTCCCTTTTTTGGTTCTCCACTTGGCTCTTTCATTCTCAGCCCCACATCAGCAGGTTGCTCTCAGACTCTTACAGAGTTGGGCTGTCAAAAAGGGAGGAGGGGTAGACGGTGACCGAGTTTCTAATTTGGCTGCTACTCATACAACGGTGTCAGAGTTCCCTGTGTGGCAAATGCCCCATTGCCGAATTTCTTTAGTTGGTGTATTTTGTAGGTAATTGGGGACCCTCCCCACCAGAACCCCCGACACAGGGGACTCTGTCCTGCATAGGGGAGTGTGTTCTCTGGCTGACCTCTTGTGACACCCTCTCAGTTCTTTGCTCCATTCATATACTCCACTGAACTTTCCTTTGCTGGGGGGTCCCTGATCCTGATTCCTGTCAAGAGGCCCCTAGAATGGGTACCCCTAGTGGCATCACATGGCCCAGAAAATCTTCATCCTGCCTTGGGCTGATAGAGGTGCAGTTGACTCACTCTATTGTCTTTTCAGCTCATTTATTCTCCAGGGACAGTTATTATCTTGGAGGGCAGTCCAGGTTCTCTCAAGGACTCTTTCTTGCTCCATCTCCTAAGATCATTTCCTAGTGGACTAAGATGCTGGTCTCTCCAATGCAAGGGGTTGTGTTGAAGCCCCTTCCACTTGACTGGGAGGGTTTGTGGGGAATTGGGGGAGGCAGACCACCCTCCTTTCCTTTTCCATGGAAATGGAGACTGGAAAACCCACTCCCATGAATTTCTCTGAAGAATCTTCTCTCTTGTGTGCAGCAGGCTGTGAATGATGGGCTAAGATTCCCAGACCAGTTCGGGCCACTTCTTACCTCGCTAGTCCTGCAAGGAGGGTCTTTGAAATATGGGACATGTAACTCTTCTGGTTTTAGTCTTGGAGATGTCAGATGAAGTCTCAGTTAACACCATGTCATGATACAAAAACAATTTGTGGCACTAAATGTCTCATGTTCCCTTAGTGAAAAATAAAGTATAACTACACACATTCCTTCAATGTTTTTTCCAGATTCTTCTGCGTGATCCTTATAGGTGAAGCAAGGCATTTCCAAAGCCCAGATGTTTATTCCTTTCTTATTCTAATATCATACCTTTTACCACCAAATTCAAAACATATGATTACAAAATTAGATAGGTAAATATTAGAGTGTAGACTTGTTGAATAATATTTGAGTTCAGTATTCTTCATGTTGACACCTCTTTTGGTTGAACAGTTAATATTTACATTGAAATATTCTTTAGTGAAGAAAACCTGCTATAAAGAGAATCATATTGTGTGCAATTCTTGGCTTAAGCGATTCTGATTTCTCATATGTTTTTGAGATATCTTAATGCTGAGAATTGGATTAACTCGCACAGAGCTTCATATCAGGTGAACTGCTCAGGTTTGTAACCTTAGACAAAGCATTTTTATATGGGACTTGGTTGTATAATTTTTAAATTGAGAAGATTTCACTGGGTAATCTTTAAAGTCCTTCAAGCCTCGAATAGTTTGCCACATTTGGATAATATACATTCATGTCGGTGTGAGTTGAAAAGGAAGCTTAAAGAATGGTAACTGGTTTTTAAAATATATCTGATTCAATATTTGCACTGACAACAGTGTTGTTAGACACAGAACTTCGTCATTCACAGATTCATCATACAATTCATTCAGCCTTTAATTTTGTTATTTAATGTTGCTATACTTTTAGTAATGAAAAGCTAATGATCAGTGACTTTAATTATGTGCGTGTTCTTTTTTTTTTTAATTATACTTTAAGTTTTAGGGTACATGTGCACATTGTGCAGGTTAGTTACATATGTATACATGTGCCATGCTGGTGCGCTGCACCCACTAACTCGTCATCTAGCATTAGGTATATCTCCCGATGCTATCCCTCCCCCCTCCCCCCACCCCACAACAGTCACCAGAGTGTAATATTCCCCTTCCTGTGTCCATGTGATCTCATTGTTCAGTTCCCACCTATGAGTGAGAATATGTGGTGTTTGGTTTTTTGTTCTTGCGATAGTTTACTGAGAATGATGATTTCCAGTTTCATCCATGTCCCTACTAAGGACATGAACTCATCATTTTTTATGGCTGCATAGTATTCCATGGTGTAGTATTCTGTCTTCACTGGTTGTAAAAGAAGTTACTAGATGTTTCTCTTAGGCTATATATATGTGTATGTGTTTACATATATATATTTGCACAACCACTAGATAATAGATTAAGGTTTCTTATGAACAGTGAGCATAACACCACCAAAACTAAACTCAGAATATCTCCCTTGAGTCTGCTCCTCAGGCTTTCCTACCAGATGAAATGACACCAAGCCACAAACCAGGAGTCTCCTATGACTCTTTTCTTTCCCTCACCTTTGACATCCAATCAGCTAGAAAATCCTTGGCTCAGCTTTCAAAGTTGATCTCAGATTACTTCATTCCTCTCCACCTCCTCTGTTTCACCAATCTGCCAGTCCTTCCATGGATTAAGGCAGAAACCGCTTCAGTGTTCTCTCAGCTTCTTTTGCCCCTAGGCTCTGCATAGCAACCACAGTGGTCTTTCAACACCTAAACCACTTCACTTTCCTCCTCTCCCTAAAACCTTCCAGTGGCATTTGCTTGCACTTAGAATAAAATCCAAGTTCCTTATTGTGGCATGTTAGTTAAGGTGATACTGGCTGTGGTGGTGAATACAACTCTAATGTTCAGTGCTTCCTTCACACATGAAAACATATCCCTGGCTCAGGTAATAGTTTGGTGCACGTGTCCCTGGTTTTGAGCAATTTTCCTCCACATGGTGATTCAGGGACCCAGGTTTTTTCTTCTTGTGATCGTGTCGTCTGCTATGGCCTCAGAGCCTTCTACATCCAGCTGGCAGATGGAGGAAGAGAGAATGGAAAAGGCACACCCATTTTTTAACTGCTGTAACATTAATATGACCCCATTACAGCAACTCACATTCCACAGATGAGAACTGGTCATGATAACCTACAGGCCACATTTGGCAGGCTTCCAAATTACCACCCCACCCCGGGGGAGGTCTTATGATTCATGGAGTATATCCTGTCCTGAGTGAAGAATCTTATTGTGAGTTCTTCAAACTGTTAACACACTGATTAATACGTATCCTACTGACAGTGAAAAGGATGCTGATGTGTTTCTGAATCACGAAGTTTTGCTGATTTGTTTCTGAATCATGAAGTTTTACTGATTGTCTTGCACGTAGCACATTTTAGCCTGTATGATGTCACCTGCAGCCAATGATTGTAACCTCTGTATTGTAGCCTCCACTGAACAGGACAACTCTGGTATAAGGAGTCCTCCTCCCTTCTTCTAAACTTTCCCATAAAAGCCTTCCAGCTTGTAGCAGCCTCTGGCACACACACAACTTTGTTGGCCTGTCTTCCCGGGGGGACCCTCACAAATTATTTCTGTCTCAACAGCCTTAATTTCAGTTAAGAGTCACATGAACTTCCCTAGAAGCTAGTGGGGGGAGTGAGAAATGTAGTCTCTGTCAGGGAGATGCTCTCTAGGCAGTGAAAAGCGCTATGGAGGGCAGTCTGAATCCTTGGTGGCCAGCCAGCTAGCCATCCTGCTGCACATGGTCTTCCAGCCCCCCCATGACTTGCCCTTGCCCTCCTTTCTAACCTCCTCGCAACCCCTTTCCCTGGCTATGGTCCAGTCACACTGGCCTCCTTCCTTCTGTAACCTCAGACTCATCCTTGACTTAGGACTTTTGTGTTCTCTCCCTTCTGCCTGGAAAGTTATTGTTCCCAGACCTTTGCCTGGGTATTTCTCTTTAACACTCAAGCCTCAGTTCAAATGCCATCCCCTCAGGAGCCCTTCCTGACTATGCAATACAGACACATCACCAGGTTTAGTTGTCTTTACAACATGAATCAACTATCTGGAATTATCTGTGCTTTTTAACTCGGTTATTGTCTACTCTGCCCCTACTCGCCATCTGTGTAATGTAAACTCCATGCCTGACTGTCTTGCTCTCTGCTGTCTATATGTCCAGCACACAAAACCTGACTGGCACATATATGTCACTAAATACATATTTATTAAATGAACGGATAAAATCTTTTGGTCCTGGGTTCATATCAGTGAAGAAGAGTTGGTATAGGAACACCAGTGCCACTTTACATTTTCAATCACTAAGGTTCAGTTGTGCTGATCAATCATTCAACCAGTAAAATCAACCATTTCTTCTGCATTAAATCCTCATTGTACCATCCTGGAAGAACCTGGTGGTATATCTTAATCTAGTCAACCAACTAACCAACCAATCTATATCCTGTTAGAAATCCTTCTGTGCAAATTATTTTAAAATGTACTTAGTCTTTTGGAATTTTTTAAATAGTCTTTTCCTGACTAAATGTGAATCTGCATTACAAGTGGTACATTTTGCTTGCAAGTAATTCTTATTGCCACTAATAACACTACCGGGGAATACAAATAAACCAATGCAAAGCAATTCTAATGTCTGCTCCACCAGCCAGTTTTAAAGCTGCTAATGGAACTTGAGGCGTTAGAGTTTTGTGTGTGCTCAGAATTTCAGAATGACTTCTTAATTCCTTTTCCTTATTATTTCCAGGGTGGAAATTCAAAGCCCTTTTGAATTCTTATTGATGAAATTACTGGCAAAAATATGGAGTTTTATGAGCATATATTTTATTCTACTGCGAGGCAACATTAGACAATGAAACAAATATTTGTTTCAAAGCCAAAAGTCCTGAGTTTGAATTTTTTGGGTCTGCCATTTGTCAGCTGTGTGACCTTGGGCAGGTTGTTACTTTTTTTCTGTGCGTCATCAGTTTCTCAATCCATACAAAAACAGTGATAATCTTCACAGGGCCTTTGTGAGGAATAAATATGAGTGTTTAGCTTAAAGCCGACGCTTAGTAGGTGCTCAAACGATGTCAATTTTTCTCCTTTATGGTGTTCTTTACTCCATTTAGCCCAAAGTTCTTTAGAAGACAAAGTCTGAAAGAGCAAAAGTTTTAAAAAATATAGAACACTTTAACATAAAATTTCTCATATATGCTCAGGGTTGAATTAGAAATGTTGGGGTCATTTCTTTCTGTCTTGCTCATGTATCTCATAAGTTATAAGTCATGTTGAGTCTACTCCTGAATTATTCCTGGAGACCATCCACTTATCTCTGGATACTATACCTCCTTTTTCAGTAGGATAACTCCCAACTGGTCTCTTCAGCGCCTTCTTTTTCAACTCTATCCTCTATATTGTGTTACTGTTAGTTTTCTAAAATACTGATATAAACATATTACTTTCCTTCTTATGGCTCAGAGCCTTCAGTTGCCCATAGGTTAAAATTTGTCCATGTAAATTCTTAGCACGGTTTAGCTCTAAATAATTTCATTAGCCAAATTTTCTTCCTTTGTATTCTCACTCACCCTACATTCTTGTTATACTGACCTTTTCATTATTCCCCACTCTGTCTTCTGTGAGCCTTTCTGCCTTGAAAAGCAGTTTATTTTCTATCTAGAATATTCTACCTTCTCTTCTTTGCCAGGTTAACTCCTACTCATCCTTCAGGATCCAAGTCACATATCACTTCTTCAGCTCTGTTGTACATGTGGACCATGGCAATGTCTGTGCTCTACCACTATGTCTACTGCTGGAGTCCAGGCTTGTCTGGGTGAATCCTAAGGACTGGGATGGGGATGGGTGGCCCCTTCTGCTGACAACCCAGTAATGGCACATAAACTTTCCATAAAATTTAAAACATTATTAAATTCATTTTACATTATATTGCTTAATAAAGCAATTCATGTATTTCAGATTTGGAATCTGAAATAGAATTCAAATCAAAATATATAATATTAAGATGCTAAAAGAAATCACATTTAGCAATAAGAGATCTGCAAGTTCAGTCAAGGAAAAATAACATAAACCATCTTCAAAAGCAACTTACTCAACAATAAAATTTGATCAAGGGTACAACATTAAAATCAGATACTGCTGTGTATGATAATTATAAAATATATAAAATTTTAGCCTGTGATGAAAACCTCGAGTGAAAGGCAGATAAAAGAATAAGGCTTAAGTCGATGATATTGCATCTCCTGATAATAAAAGTATATAGCATCTATTACAAATGTGGTCTGGAAACTTAAAAAAAAAATAGTTATTAATTGATCTGCATGGAGAGAATGTTGCTTTTTACTGCTTTAGTCTGTCTGCCAAAAAGCAGTCAACAAACAGTTTCAGGGTATTCTCTATGCTTCGGGCACTGTGCTAGGCATTGTGGAGATTATAAAGAAGTGTAAAAAGGTGGTTCCTGGCCTCAAGGGGCTTTCAGTCTGTTTCTTGTTCAGCTTAGCTTAATCTCAGATTCCCTCTCCTAACCTTGTATTCAAGGGTTTGGTTAATGAGTACCATTCTCTATCCACACCCTTCTTCTAAATCCAGTATCAGCACTTGCATTCTTTCACATTTCACATCAGCTTGTCAAGTCCCACTCCAGTTAGGAGCACTCTGGCCTGCATCTGTCCCTCTTCCACAAGGGGTGCAATTAACTGGTTAATACAGCCCCCATCTTGCCCCAGAGCTTTCACCACTGTTTATAAGAGTTAAGGCCCCCCATTTATATCTAATTACCTTCACCTCTATTACCCTAAATCTTTCTCTACATACTCATGTTTCTGGAAAGAAATGAATCTTAATCCCATCTTCAGTTCTCATCTAGAAAGAGCTTTGTTTTCTTCTCCTTTTTTCTCCAGAAGACTCTTGAACTCCAAAATTACTCAGGGGAGGTGCTGTGTTACAAGTTAAGCTCTTTGACCTGAGTTTTCACTAAGATCTTATCGGGAGAGAGGATGAATGAAACATAGGGTAGGTGGAGGGAGGTAATTTAAGAACTTGGAGTGGGGTAGAAACTCCTGAAGGCACGAAGTAGCAGTTGGCAGAAGAGGTGGGAGAGAGAAATAGTGATATGCTATTTAGTTTACAGTTTTTTCTAAAGTCTGGTCTTGAGTATTGAAATGGCTCCTCTCTTTAGGGTCTAGTTTCATGAACTCTGCTGCTAGACATTTTTTTCCAGTGAATATTTATTACCCCAACTGTAATCCTTCATTTAACATAATATAAAAATTGTGGAAAAAGAGAGCAATTAGTAATAAATCATTATCTCATCCATTAGCAGTAAATAATACCACTTTGTCAAAGTCAATCATCAAGCAGTCAGCTAGAGGTGATTATGTGTGCTACCCAAGTGGAATCAGTCCAAAAACAAACCACAGCTCCCGTTTATTATCCTAATTATGCCGTAATATGATGCCATCTTTTTCTCCCATAAACTTGATGACAATAAGAGGGTAACAATGAAAATTGACAGGATAAGTGAGCAAGGAAAGGTAGCCTGAGATATGTCCCAGCCCTGCCACTTATCAACCTCTCTAATTTCTGATGCTGAAGAAAGCTCTAAGACTCAAGGAGGGAGTTGAACAGAACAGGGAAACCCTTGGTGTGTTGTATGTACCATTATATGGAATAATCTTTTGCCATGAGACTATTAATCAAATCAGAATACAGGCAGTTCTCACTTTCCATGGTACCATGTCGACTGAATTGTGTGCGTAGCAGAACTGTGTCATCATTTTACATGGTTCAGTGGCAGCTGAGATTGTTACCATGGAATTGTGCAAAAGAGAGGACACAGTGCCAATATGCACACAATTCAGTTAACATAGAACCATGCAAAGTGAGAACTGCTTGTAGTCTGTGTAAAATAGCCCTTCACCCCAAACCTTTATTAACTTGAATTTTATCAGACTCTTGGAAGCAGTGGCATTGATGGGTGAATAAATGCAAAAGGTTTCTATGACATCCTAATCTGTTATCTAGGATGAAAGATGCACATCAGCTGGATTGAGTGGATCCATGATAGGAAGATGAGACTTCTGTGCTGGAGAAGGTGAGAGAAGTATAGGGTAGGGGCCCAAAGCATAGTTTAAAGATCAGAGTTAGTTGGAGAAACCAGGTTGAAGGCTAGAGAAAGAATACTGGTATGGTGATTAATATGAAACGTCCAGCTAAAGAAAATTAGGACATTCTCCAGAACCAGGAGAAGGCCAGTTAAAGATTTGTTGGGTTAAAGTCTGGGGAATCCTCCCTGAATTAGCTGCTCAGGTGATGGTGCTGTTGGGATTGCAACCTGTCGTGGATACCTCCATAGAGGATTTGCACAGCCTAAAACACCCTCAACTGGTCCAACCAGCCCCAGTGGTTTGACCCGTGGGGACACTCCTGACAAGGTGACTCTGCTCCCTGGGCACATGGAATTGTCCAAGGGTATTCCCCTAACCTGAGCTGGACCAGAGTCCTTTCCCTGTAGATTTGGAATTGAGAATGATTGAAAACAGTCAGATTCCTATGTGGGGGCTGGATCATTGAAAGCTTCCTTGCTGTGTGGTGGGTATTTCTTCTCTGCCATGCACACCAAAGATGCAGAGCATGCCTTTTAGCTTTATTCTTTGGTCTCTGTGACTTGCAGATGGAAGCAGAGATAAGAGATGAAGAGATGCTCTTGAATGTTCTTCTGGTTCCTGAATCCACTCTCTTTTGAGGCCAAGATGTGCCCCTGTCTTGAGTTTCTGTAAGACATTCATGTACCCCATGTTAAACTCAACTTTTTGATTTAAACTTGTCTGAATACATTTCTGTTACTTGCAAGTAAATAATTACAACATATGATAGGAGTCTAAAGGGCATAGGATAGATAGAATGGGAATTAATGAGATCTTGATTGGGAGGAAAAGCAGTTTAGATGAACAAAAAAAAAAATTACTGTGATCCCCATTCCAAGGGCTGAGTCTGGGAGAGTGGCCTGTGGTCAGAAGGTTCACAAAAACCTTCAGTGAATAGAAATAGTCTTCAATGATCCAAGCTTATGCCATGTTGAGTGATGTGAGATTTATTTATGATGGGCCTCAACTGTACATAGTCGGTGCCCTGTAATTCAAAAACCCCACCAAACGAGGTCTAAGATCTCTGGTCCTTATTCTTGAGTTTCATGTCCAGTCATTTTCTGCCTCACGTCCTTTGCACCAGCCAATGTCCAGCTGAACTTCTTTCAGGTCTTTTAATAGACCATGCGGTTCACAGCCCCTGTGCCTCCCACATAATATTCCTCCTGCCTGGAAGTCCTGTTTCTTTTCACATTTTCTACCTGGTGGTCTGTGAGATGTCCTTCCAGGCACCTCTTTTCTATATACCTTCCCTGAACCCTCAACGCAGAGTAGATCTTTTCTTCCTTTATCTTACATACTGTCTTGTCTACTTGTTTATACGTTTTCCAAACAGACTCATAGTTCCTTCAGGGCAGACAGTATATCTTAATCATTTTTATTTCCTCTATGTGAGCACAGTTCCTGGACCATATTATATGCTCAATAAATATCTATTGACCCAACTTAATGAACCCCCTCAGGTTAGAATACAGATGAAGATTGTGCATGAATTGCATCAGTGTGCTGATGTAGACTTGCTGAGGAAGGTAGACCTCTAGCAATCTGGAGATGAGAAACAGTGGTAACTCTTCAGGCATGGCTGTTTTGAAGAGAACAGCTTCTCTCTATCTGATTTTAAAAAACCTCTTCCAGGTTATGGAAGTAAAATGTCACTCGGGTAAAAGTCAGAACATAGGCTGTAGGAACCGTCTTTTTGGGGGAGGCTCTGAAAATAAGCCATCTAATCACACAGACACAGACAGCCCAGGATTGGATGGAAACAGGATTTTGCTGATGCCTATTAAGCTGCAGTGTCTACATCTGAATCTCTAGTCATGACTTCTGAGTGTCATTACCACATTTTCAACCGCTGAACGGACATTGCCATCTTGAGTGTTTCCATAACTTCTGACTTAATGAATGTAAAACTAACTCATCAGAATACCTTCTACCCCAACTCCTTCTCTAGCCTCATTAAGGTGTCATCATTCTCTCATTCATCCAGTCTTAAATGCTGCAGTTTTTTCTCGTAGCATCTGATTAACCTGAATCTTTTCTTTCTCCTATTGTGATGTCTTTTAATCCATTCCCCCTCTCCAGTTTTACTGTCACCATCCCCCTTCATTCTTGGACTTTTACAATAATGCTAAAGTCTCCTAGCCTGAAGACATTTCACTCTACAATCTATCCTATATGCCACCACAACTAAATTAGCCTTCTATTCTCCTCATGTCAGTCTCTTGATAAAAATACTCGAAGCATCTAGTACAGTGTCATACAAAAAAGTTAATTAAAATTATAAACTTTATTGCAAGTGGGAATTCTGTCCATAATATAGAGCATATGAATTGCTGCCATGCCTATATTATTATAGATAAAAACATTATTTTATAGATTGTTAATACATTGTGCTATAAAAAAGGCTTTTTCAGTATTCTATGACCCTATGAGGTGGAAGCTGTATAAAGAGAAAAATAGTAATCATTCATATTGAATGGAGCAAGCAAGATACTTACAATGCAATTTGTTCCATTCCAATGTATCTATTTATTCCGTATATATTTATTGAGTATTTACTGTGTGCATGGTGGTAGGCTCTTGGGAGTGTTGAGGAGAGAAATATTTGAGTGAGGGGAGAAAAAGGAGAATGAGACCCAGTCCCTGTCCCCCTACAGCTTATTGTCTTCTGGTCTTATCTTTTCTATTGGATCAGGAACTATAAGACAGAAGACAATGTCAGGATGATTGGCAGTTTGATAGGTGGATATGGTGGCAGCATGAATGTGGGTGGAGTAGATCGGTTGAAGTTGTGGTGACAGAAGGATCAGCTTGCCTAGAAGTGTGGCGTGAGCAAAGGTTTATTCATCATTCATGATCTCAAGAAAAAGTCAAGGCCATCAAACTTGACTTTGGGTTTCTGTTTCTATTAACTGCAATAGTGATTCTGCATGAGAAGCAGTAAGTTGGCTGTGATGACACTGTCGGTTTTTTGGGAAATTTTTAAACTCTTGTAATCCCACTGCCTTAAAGGCTCAGATGACATAATAATGTGCCTATTAGCTTGGTCTGGGCTTCCTCTGAAAGCAGAGCCTAAGATGTGAGTATAAGTAATTTATTTAGGCAATGATCTCAGAAAACAGAAGTGAGGGAACAGGGGAACAAGACAAGAATGGAGGAAAAACCTGATAAAAGAGCATTCCTGAGTTGTTTAACACTGGGACAATTGGGGCTCCATCTCTCTGGGAGACCCTCTGAGGAAACTTGTAGGCCATCTCTCAAAATTGTGCCTAGGAGGGGGACATTTATGAGCCAACTTTGTCCTCCTTTGGAAGAGTACAGTGCCCTACACTTCCAGAGTGTCCTACTGCTCTGGCAGAGAGAGCATCATTGGCCAAGGCAGAAAATTGGAGATATGTCACTGGACCCTAATGACTTGCATAGGAATTGTTAACCCATGCTGGAACTTGAGGCAGCTGAGGACATATGGCTGGATGCAAAAGTTGCCTACCATGCCTATGCATCTCACCTGGAGTGTGTATACCTCTTTAGAAATGAGGCAGAGTGTCCAGAGTAATTAAAGAGGGCTAATAAACATGGACTACCTTCCTGAAACCACCATTTTTATCCACAGATTTTTTTTGGGGGTTAAAAAGCCTCCACATTATTTATATGTAAGAACAAATATGGATATACTCTAGACTAAAATGTTAACTATGCAAAAAAATTTAACCCAAAAACCAAGACTTCAAAGAAATGCTGCTTCAGACTGGCCTCAAAGATGCCTGTATTTTATTTTTATGTTCACTCCCTATGATGGTTAGTTTATGCCAACTTGGCTAGGAGATGGCAACTAGTTACGCAGTAAACACTACTCTAGATGTTGTTGTGAAGGTCTTTTGTAGATGTGGCTAATATCTATAATCTGTTGACTTTAAGTGAAGGAGATTATGTTCAATAATATGGGTGGGCTTCATCCAGTCAGCTGAAAGGCCTTCAGAACAACAGTGAGGTTTCCTGAGGAAGAAGAAACTCCGCCTCAAGATTACAGCATCAGCTTCTGCCTGAGAGTTCCAGCCTGCTGGCCTGCTCTACAGACTTCTGACTCACCAGTCCTCACAACCACAGAAGCCAATTCCTTGAAATAAATTTGTGTTTATATATGTGTGCATATATATAGTATATATGTATATGTGAGTATATGTGATATATATGTATATATACTCATATATGTGCATATTTGTATATATATAATCTTCATACATTGGTTCTGTTTCTTTGGTAGAATCCGGACTGATAATACAGTCATACTTCAGTATCCATGGGGTATCAGTTCCAGGAACACCCCAACCCTGTGGAATGCTCAGGTCCCTTATATAAGATGGCATAGTATTTGTGTATATCCTATGCATATCTTCCCATATACTTTAAACCATCTCTAGGTTCCTTATAATACCTAATAAAATCTAAATGCTTGTAATAGTTGTTAATACCATATTGTTTAGACAAGAAATACAATGTATAAATGTATCATATGTATACATTTATACAATTATACATTTATTTATACAATGTATAACTATTTACATAGCATCTATACAATGTATAAATAAATGTATAAATGCTGTGAAAATAGTTGTTATACCATATCGTTTAGGGAATAATGATAAGAAAATGAATTCCCATATTTTTCTTTTCTGCATATTTTTTATCTATGGTTGGTTGAATCTATGGATGCTGAGCCCACAGATACAGAGGGCCAACTGTAATTCTCTTCTGTTATTAGAAGAGCTTGGTAGAAATGTTTGGAAGGTACTAAGGAATGTTCTTTCTTTATATTTCTCAAAGCACTGCTGAGGAAGGGAAATAGGATCTGTCTCTTGTTTTGTTCTGCCCAGCGTGCTTTTTCTTTCTCCTTTTTTCTGGTAATAAAATTCCTTGGTCTTGTGGAGATTCTTGGCCCTGCACTTTTTTTTGTTCTTGTTGTTCTTTTGTTTTTTTAATTGGTGCATAATAGATATACATAGTTTGGGGATACATGTGATAATATATTCATATAATTTGAAAGATCAAATCAGTGTACTTGAGATATCCATTACCTTAAACATTTGTCTTTTCTTGATGCTAGAAACATTTGAATTACTCCGTTCTGCCTATTTTGAAATGTACAATAAATTATTGTGAGGTATAATCATCCTGCTGATCTATTGAACACTAGATCTTATTTTTTCTGTCAAACTGTGTATTTGAACCCCTTAATCAACTTCTCTTCATCCCCCTCGCCCCTACCCTTCCCAGCCTGTGGTAACCACTAATCTACTCTATCTTTATGAGATCAACTTTTTAAGCTTTCTCATGAGTGAGAACGTGGAATATTTGTCTTTCTGTACTTGGCTTACTTCACTTTACAAGTGACTTCCAGTTTTATTCATGTTGCTATAAAGAGAAGATTTAGTTCTTTTTTATGTCTAAATACTGTTCAATTTTGTATACATACACCACATTTTCTTTATCTTTTTATCTATTGATATTTTGGCTATTGCAAATAGAGCTGCATTGGAGGTGCAGATGTCTCTTTGATATATTGTTTTCCTTTCTTTTGGATATATACCCAGTAATGGAATTGCTGGACCATATGTAGTTCCATTTTTAGTTTTTTAAGGAAGCTCTGTACTGTTCTCCAGAGTGGCTGCACCAGTTAACATTCCCACCAACAGGGTACAAGAGTTCCCTTCTCTGTACATCCTTGCCAGCATCTTTATTGCCTCTCTCTCTCTCTCTCTCTCTCTTTTTAAAGCCATTTTAACTGGGGTGAGATGAGATGATATCTCATTGTGGTTTTGATTTGCATTTCTCTGATGATTAGAATGTTGAGCATTTTTTCATATACCTGTTGGCCATTTGGTATGTCATCTTTTGAGAAATGCCTATTCAGATCTTATGCCCATTTTTAAATTGGATCTTTTTTTTTTGTTATTGAGTTGTTCAAGCTCCTCATGTATTCTGGTTATTAATTCCTTGTCAAATGGATGGTTTGCAAATATTTTCTTCCATTCTGTGGGTTGTCTCTTTACTTTTTTGATTGTTTCCTTTGCTGTGCGGCAGCTTTTTAGCTTGATGTGATCCCATTTGTCTATTTTTTATTTTATTATCTGTGCTTTTAAGGTCTTACACAAAAAATCTTTGCCTAGACCAATGTCTGGGAGCATTTACCCAATGTTTTCTTTTAGTAGTTTCATAGTTTCAGTTCTTAGATAAGTCTTTAGTCTATTTTGATTTTATTTTTGTGTATGATGAGAGATAGGATATCATTTCATTCCTCTGTATATGGATACCCAGTTTTCCCCACACCATTTATTGAAGAGACTGTCTTTTCTCCAGTTTATTTTCTTGGCACTTTGGCAAAAACCAGTTGGCTGTAGATATGTGGATTTATTTTTGAGTTCCTTATTTTGTTCCATTGATCAATGTGTCTGTATTTATGCCAGCATCATACTGTTTTGGTTACTATAGCTTTGTAATATATTTTGAAGTCAGGTAACATAATACCTCCAGCTTTGTTCTTTTTGCTCAGGATTGCTTTGGTTATTCTGGGTCTCTTGTGGTTCCATACAAATTTTAGATTTTTTTCTATTTCTGTGAATAATGTCATTAGTATTTTGATAAGGATTGCATTTAATCTGTAAATTGTTTTGGGTAGTATGGTCATTGTAACAATACTAATTCTTCTAATCCAGGAATATGGAATATCTTTCCATTGCTTTGTGTCTTCTTCAATTTCTTTCATCAGTGTTTTATAGCTTTCCTTGTATAGATCTTTCACTTCTTTGGTTAAATTGATTTCTAGGTATTTTATATTCTTTGTAGCTATCATAAATGGGATTGCTTTATTTATTTCTTTCTCAGATTGTTTGCTTTTGGTATATATAAATGCTACTGATATTGGATGTTGATTTTGTATCCTGCAACTGTACTGAATTTATTTATTAGTTATAACAGTTTTTTTGTGGAGTCTTTAGATTTTTCTAAGTAGATGCTCCTGTCATCTGTGAACAAGACTAATTTGACATTTCCCTTTCCAGTTTGGAAGCCTATTTCTTTCTTTTGGCTAATTGCTCTGGCCAGGACTTCTAGTATAATAATAAACGAAAATGACATTCTTTTTATTACAGATTTTAGAGAAAAGTCCTTCAATTTTTTCCCCATTCAGTATGATATTAGCTGTGGGTTTGTCATATATGGCCTTTATTATTTTGAGGTATGTTCCTTCTAAACCCATTTTATGAGGGTTTTTTTTTAATCATAAAGAGATGTTGAATTTTATCAAATGCTTTTTTGTCATCTATGGAAATAATCATATAATTTTTGTTCTTGGTACTGTTAATGTGATGTACCATGTTTATTGATTTGCTTATGTTGAACTATCCTTGCATGCCTGGGATGAATTCTACTTGATTCTGGCGAATGATTTTTTTTTCTTTTTTTGAGACAGAGTCCTGCTGTGACACCCAGGCTGCAGTGCAGTGGCACAATCTCAGCTCACTGCCAGCTCCACCTCCTGAGTTCAAGTGATCCTCCCACCTCAGCCTCCCAAGTAGCTGGGATTACAGGTGTGTGCCACCACACTCAGTTAATTTTTGTATTTTTAGTAGAGGCAGGGTTTCACCATGTTAGCCAGGCTGCTCTTGAACTCCTGGCCTCAAGTGATCCTCCCACCTCAGCCTCCCAAAGTGCTGGGATTACAGGCATGAGCCACCATGCCTGGGCATGAATGATCTTTTTAATGTGTTGTTGAGTTCAGTTTACTAGTATTTTGTTGAGGATTTTTGCATGTATGTACATCAGTTTTGTACTTTCAGACAATTTCTTATGGCTCATTAATGTCCATTTCTTTCTGATTGAAGAAGCCCCTTTAAGATTTCTTGTAGGACAGGTCTGGTGTTGATAAAATCCCTCAGCTTTTGTTTGTCTGGGAAAGTTGTTAGTTTTCCTTCATGTTTGAAGGTTATTTTTGCCAGATATGCTATTCTAGGGTAAAAGTTTTTTTCCTTCAGCACTTTAAATATGTCATGCCACCGTCTCCTGGCCTATAAGGTCAGACTTTTCCACTGAAAAGTCTGCTGCCAGATATATTGGAGCTCCATTGTATGTTGTTTCTTTTCTCTTGCTGCTTTTAGGATACTTTCTTTATCCTTGACCTTTGGGAGTTTGATTATTAAATGCCTTGAGGTAGTCTTCTTTGGGTTAAATCTGCTTGAAGTTCTATAACCTTCTTGTGATTGGTATTGTTATCTTTCTCTAGGCTTGGGAAGTTTTCTTATTTTCACTTTGAGTAAACTTTCTATCCTCATTTCTTTCTCTACCTCTTCTTTAAGGCCAATAACTCTTAGATTTGTTTTTTTGAGACTATTTCTGGATTCCATAGACATGCTTCATTGTTTCTTATTTTTTCTTTTGTCTTCTCTGACTGTATATTTTCAAACAGCCTTTCTTCAAGCTCACTAATTCTTTCTTCTGCTTGATTGATTCTGCTTTTAAAAGACTCTAATGCAGAGGGAGGGGCCAAGATGGCTAAATAGGTCTGCAGCTCCCAGTGAGACCAATGTAGAAGGCTGGTGATTTCTGCATTTTCAACTGAGGTACCAAGTTCATCTCAATGGGACTGGTTACACAGTGGGTGTAGCCATGGAGGGTGAGCAGAAGCAGGGTGGGGTGTTGCTTCACCCAGGAAGTGCAAGGAGCCAGGTACCTCCCTCCCCAAACTAAGGGAAGCTGTGAGGGACTGTGCTACCTGGCCGGGTTACTATGCTTTTCCCACGGTTTTTGCAATCTGCAGATCAGAAGATCCCCTCGTGTGCCTACACCACCAGGGCCCTGGGTTTCAAGCACAAAACTGGGCAGCTGTGTGGGCAGACACTGAGCTAGCTGCAGGAGTATTTTTTCATATCCCAGTAGTGCCTGGAACCCCAGCAAGACAGAGCTGTCCACTCCCCTGGAAAGGGGCTGAAGCCAGGGAGCCAAGTGGTCTCGCTCAGCAGGTCCAACTCCCATGGAGCCCAGCAAGCTAAGAACCACTGACTTGAAATTCTTGCTGCCAGCACAGCAGTCTGAAGTCAACCTGGGATGATTAAACTTGATGGGGGGAGGGGTGTCTGCCATTACTGAGGCGTTAGTAGGTGGTTTTTCCTGACAGTGCTAAGGAGGCTGGGAGGTCTGGGTTAGGCGTGGCAAAGTGGCTGTGACCAGACTGCTTCTCTAGATTCCTCCTCACTGGGCAGGCCATCTCTGAAAGAAAGGTAACAGCCCCAGTCAGGGGCTTACAAACAAAACCCCCATCTCCCTGGGACAGAGCACCTGGGGGAAGGGGCAGCTGTGGGTGCAGCTTCAGCAGATTTTATCGTTCCTGCCTGTTGGCTCTGAAGAGACCAGCTGATCCTGACAAGAGGGATTCTCCCAGCACAGCACACCAGCTCTGCTAAGGGACAGACTGCCTCCTCAAGTGGATCCCTGACTCCTGTTCCTCCTCACTGGGAGAGACCTCCCAACAGGGGTTGACAGACACCTCATACAGGAGAACTCTGGCTGGCATCAGGCCAGTGCCCCTCTGGGATGAAGCTTCCAGAAGAAGGAGCAGGCAGTAATCTTTGCTGTTCTGCAGCCTCCGCTGGGGATACCCAGGCAAACACGGTCTGGAGTGGACCCCCAGAAAACTGCAGCAGACCTGTAGAAAAGGGGCCTGACTATTAGAAGAAAAACTAACAAACAGAAAGCAACAACATCAACATCAACATAAAGGACTCCCACACAAAAACCCCATCCAAAGGTCATCAGCCTCAAAGATCAAAGGTAGATAAATCCATGAAGATGAAGAAAAACCAGTGCAAAAATGCTGAAAATTCCAAAAACCAGAATGCCTCTTCTCCTCCAGAGGATCACAACTTCTCTCCAACAAGGACACAAAACTGGATGGAGAATGAGATTGATGAATTGACAGAAGTAGGCCTCAGAAGTTGGGTAATAACAAACCCCTCTGAGCTAAAGGAACAAGTTCTAACCCAATGCAAGGAAGCTAAGAGCCTTGATAAAAGGTTACAGGAACTGCTATTAGAATAACCAGTTTAGAGAGGAACATAAATGACCTGATAGAGCTGAAAAACACAGCAGAGGAACTTCATGAAGCATACCCAAGTATCAATAATCAATCAAGCAGAAGAAATGATATCAGAGATTGAAGATCAACTTACTGAAATAAGGCATGAAGACAAGATTAGAGGAAAAAAAATGAAAAGGAATGAACAAAGCCTCCAAGAAATATGGGACTATGTGAAAAGACCAAACCTATGATTGATTGGTGTACCTGAAAGTGACGGGGAGAATGGAACCAAGTTGGAAAACATACTTCAGGATGTTATTTAGAACTTCCTCAACCTAGAAAGACAGGCCAACATTCAAATTCAGGAAATACAGAGAACACCACAAAGATACTCCTCGAGAAGAGCAACCTCAAGACACGTAATCATCAGATTCTCCAAGGTTGAAATGCAGGAAAAAATGTTAAGGGCAGCCAGAAAGAAAGGTCAGGTTACCTACAAAGGGAAGCCCATCAGACTAACAGTGGATCTCTGCAGAAACCCTATAAGCCAGAAAATAGTGGGGACCAATATTCAACATTCTTAAAGAAAAGAATGTTCAACCCAGAATTTCATATCCAGCCAAACTAAGCTTCATAAGCGAAGGAGAAATAAAATCCTTTACAGACAAGCAAATGCTGAGGGATTTTGTCACCACCAGGCTTGCCTTACAAGAGCTCCTGAAGGAAGCACTAAATATAAAAAGACAAAACTGGTTTCAGCCACTGCAAAAACACACCAAAATATAAAGACCAATGACACTGTAAAGAAACTGCATCAACTAATGTGCAAAATAACCAGGTGGCATCATGATAACAGGATCAAATTCACACATAACAATATTAACCTTAAATGTAAATGGGCTAAAAGCCCCAATTAAAAGACATAGACTGGCAAATTGGATAAAGGGTCGAAACCCATCAGTGTGCTGTATTCAGGAGACCCATGTCATGTGTAAAGACACACATAGGCTCAAAATGAAGAGATGGAGGAATATTTACCAAGCAAATGGAAAGGAAGAAAAGGCAATGGTTTCAATCATACTCTCTGATAAAACAGACTTTAAACAGAGACACAATAAAAAAAGAAAATTTCAGGCCTATGTGCCTGATGAACATCAATGCGAAAATCCCCAGTAAAATACTGGCAAACTGAATCCAGCAGCACATCAAAAAGCTTATCCACCAGAAACAAGTCAGCTTTATCCTGGAATGCAAGGATGGTTCAACATATGCAAATCAATAAACATAATCCATCACATAAACAGAACCAATGACAAAAACCACATGATTATCTCAATAGATGCAGAAAAGGCCTTCAATAAAATTCAACACCCCGTCATGCTAAAAACACTCAATAAACTAGATATTGATGGAACATATCTCAAAATAATAAGAGCTATTTATGACAAACCCACAGCCAATATCATGTTGGACAGGCAGAAGCTGGAAGCATTCCCTTTGAAAACCAGCACAAGACAAGGATGCCCTCTTTCACCACCCCTATTCAACATAGTACTGGAAGTTCTGGCCAGGGCAATCAGGCAAGAGAAAGAAATAAAGGGTATTCAAATAGGAAAAGAGGAAGTCAAATTGTCTCTGTTTGCAGACGATGTGATTGTATATTTAGTCTCTGTTTGCAGACGATGTGATTGTATATTTAGAAAACCCCATCATCTCAGCCCAAAAACTCCTTAAGCTGATAAGCAACTTCAGCAAAGTCGCAGGATACAAAATCAATGTGCAAGAATCACAAGCATTCCTATACACCAACAACAGACAAGCAGAGAGCCAACTCATGAGTGAACTCCCTTTCACAATTGCTACAGAGAGAATAAAATACTTAGGAATATAACCTACAAGGGAAGTGAAGGACCTCTACAAGGAGAACTACAAACCACTGCTCAAGGAAATAAGAGAGGGCACAAACCAATGGAAAAATATTCCATGCTCATGGATAGGAAGAATCAATATCATGAAAATGGCCATACTGCCCAAAGTAATTTATAGATTCAATGCTATTCCCATCAAGCTACCAGTGACTTTCTTCACAGAATTAGAAAAAACTACTTTAAATTTTATATAGAACCAAAAAAGAGCCCCTATAGCCAAGACAATCCTAAGCAAAAAGAACAAAGCTGGAGGCATCACATTTCCTGACTTCAAACTATACTACAAGGATACAGTAACCAAAACAGCTTAGTACTAGTACCAAAACAGATATGTGGACCAATGGAACAGAACAGGTACCTCAGAAATAACACCACACATGTACAACCATCTGATCTTCGACAAACCTGACAAAAACAAGCAATAGGGAAAGGATTCCCTATTTAATAAATGGAGCTGGGAAAACTGGCTAGCCATATGCAGAAAACAGAAACTGGACCCCTTCCTTACACCTTATACAAAAATTAACTCATGATGGATTGAAGACTTAAATGTAAAACCCAAAACCATAAAAACCCTAGAAGAAAACCTAGGCAATACCATTCAGGACATAGGAATGGGCAAAGACTTCATGACTAAAACACCAAAAGCAATTGCAACAAAAGCCCAAATTGACAAATGGGATCTAATCAAACTAAAGAGCTTCTGCACAGCAAAAGAAACTGTCATCAG
The DNA here is from genome assembly GCF_000001405.40 of Homo sapiens. NCBI lineage: Eukaryota > Metazoa > Chordata > Mammalia > Primates > Hominidae > Homo > Homo sapiens. The sequence goes on along the minus strand of NC_000002.12, from coordinate 207,377,426 downwards.
AGTGAACAGGCAACCTACAGAATGGGAGAAAATTTTTGCGAGCTACCCATCTGACAAAGCACTAACATCCAGAACCTACGAGGAATTTAAACAAATTTACAAGAAAAAAAAAAATAAAAAAATGAGCAAAGGATATGAACAGACACTTTCCAAAAGAAGACAGTTATGTGGCCAAGAAACATATGAAAAAAAGCTCATCATCACTGGTCATTAGAGAAATGCAAATAAAAACCACAATGAGATACCATCTCATGCCAGTTAGAATGGCAATCATTAAAAAGTCAGGAAACAACAGATGCTGGCGAGGCTATGGAGAAACAGGAACACTTTTACACTGTTGGTGGGAGTGTAAATTAGTTCAATCATTGTAGAAGACAGTGTGGTGATTACTCAAGGATCTAGAGCTGGAAATACCATTTGACCCAGCAATCCCATTACTGGGTGTGTACCCAAAAAATTATAAATCATTCTACTATAAAGATACATGCACATGTATGTTTATTGCAGCAGTGTTTACAATAGCAAAATATTGGAAACAACCCAAATGCCCATCAGTGATAGACGGGATAAAGAAAATGCAGCACATATATACCATGGAATACTATGCAGCCATAAAAAAAGAATGAGTTTATGTGCTTTGCAGGGACATGGGTAAAGCCAGAAGCCATCATTCTCAGCAAACTAACACAGGAACAGAAAGCCAAACACCACATGTTCTCACTCATAAGTGGGAGTTGCACAATGAGAACCCATGGGCACAGGGAGGGGAACATCACCCACTGGGGCCCATTGGGGGGTGGGGGGCAAGGGGAGGGAGGGCATTAGGACAAATACCTGATGCATGCATGGGTTAAAACCTAGATGACGGGTTGATAGGTGCAGGAAACCACCATGGCACATATATAACTATGTAACAAACCTGCAGGTTCTACACATGTATCTCAGAACTTAAAGTAAAAGAAATAAAAAAGACTCTAATGCATTCTTCCATATGCCAATTGTATTTTTCAGCTCCAGAATTTCTGCTTGATTCTTTTTAATTATTTCAATCTCTTTGTTAAGTTTATTCGATAGAATGCTGAATTCCTTTTCTGTGTTATCTTGAATTTCTTTGAGTTTCTTCAAAACAGCTGTTTTGGATACTCTGTCTGTAAGGTCGCACATCTCTCCTTCTCCAGGATTCTTCTTGGTACCTTATTTAGTTCATTTGGTGAGGTCATGTTTTCCTGGATGGTCTTGATACTTGTAGATGTTCATCTGTGCCTGGGCATTGAAGAGTTTGGTATTTATTGTAGCCTTCACTGTCTGGGCTTGTTTGTACTCATCCTTCTTGGGAAGTCCTATTCAAAAGGATTTGGGTGTTATAGTCTAAGCTGTATCTGCTTTAGGGGGCATCCCAAGCCCAGTAACACTGTGGTTCTTGCAGACTCAGAGAGGTACCACCTTGGCAGTCTTAGGTAAGATCTGGAAGAATTCTCTGGATTATCAGGCAGAGACTTGTTTTCTTCTCTTACTTTCTTCCAAACAAATGGAGTCTCTCTCTGTGCTGAGCCACCTGGAGCTGGGGGTGGAATGACACAAGCCCCTCTGGGACCATGGCCACTTAGACTACACTGGGTCAGACCTGAAGCCAGCATAGCAATGAGTCTTTTCCAAGGCCTACGGTAACTACTCCCTGGCTACTGTCTATCTTCACTCAAGGCCCTGGGGTTCTACAATCAGCAGGTGGCAAAACCAGTCAGGCCTGTGTCCTTCCCTTCAGGGCAATGAATTCCTCCAGGTCCTGGGCAGGTCCAGAGGTGACATCCAGGAGCCAGAGATTAGAGTAAAAAACCTTAAATGTCTACCTGGTGTTCTATTATACTGCAGTTGACCTGGCACTCAAATCACAAGATGCAGTCCTTCTCACTCTTTCCTATGCTTTCTGAAGGCAGAGGAGCCTCACCTCATGGCCAGTGCTACCACAGTCCCATGGGAAGTACTGCCAGACTGCTACTGATGTTCCTTTAAGGCCCAAGGGCTCTTCAGTCAGCTTGTGGTAAATCCTGTCTGGCCTGGGACTCACCCTTCAGGCAGTGGCCTCCCCAGGAACCAGGGCAGGTCCAGAAATGCCATCCAAGAGCCAAATCCTGGAACAAGGGACCTCAAGAGCCTGCTTAGTGCTCTATCTTCCTGTGGCTGAGCTGATACCTAAGGTGCAAGACAAAGTTCCCTTTTCTTTTCCCTCCACTTCTCTTAAGCAGTCTTGCCTTGTAGCTACCACAGCTGGGAATGTGTTGAGTCTCACCTGAAGCCAGCAAATCTCAGAGTTTCATCCAAGGCCCTCAGTACCTGGGTATCTCTGCTGGTTATTCAGGGCCCAAGGTTTCTTCAGTTAGCAGGTAGTGAATCCTGTCATGACTAGGTCCTTCCCTTCAAGGCAGCAGTTTCCCTTGTGTCCCAGGGTGTGTCTAGAAATGTCATCTGGGCCTAGGGCCTGGAAAGGGGCCTCATGACTCTGACTGGTACCCTATCCTGATGTGGCTGAGCTGCTATCCAAGATGCAAGACAAAGTTCTCCCTGCTCTCCCCGCTTCTCTCCTCAAGTGGAAGGAAGGGGTCTCTTTTGGAGCCACGAGCTGTGCAGCATAGGGTTAGGTGAGGGCTGATTCTAGCACTCTTTTAGCTGCCCCAGCTGGTGTCTCAGTAGGTCATATGCCCCCGAGTCCACTGACTCTGGGCCCAGTTCAGCACTAGAAGTCACTTGGGAGTTGCAGTCCTTGTGGCCTAGCCTGCCTTTCGAGTTTATTTAGAGCTCCAGAGTACTTTAGCCCATGGTAGTGAGGCTTGTGAGAATTCAAGTTCTGACCACTGGGATTGGTGATTCGCCTCTGGCTAGGGCTGGTTTAAATGCCGCCTCCGTGGGCAGGCATCAGCTGCATTTGGTCCTATTTTACTTTCTGCTAGAACAGCACAGCACTAAGTTCAGTGCTTCACAATGTTTCTGGGCACTTCTTCTCCCCAGTGCACAGAAATGCTCTCTGCACCATGCTTCCATGGTTGGGGGTTGTGGGAAAGGGGTGGTGTTGGCAATCAGTTGGCAAAGACTGATTTTCCTACCTCTTTGGTGCCTCTTTCAGCAATATAAAGTTAAAACCAGGTACTGCAAGTACTCACCTGATTTTTGGTTCTTAAGAAAGTGCTTTTCTTTTGTGTGTGTGTGTAGATAGTTGTTAAATTGGTGTCCTCGTGGAGGAGACAGTCAGTGGAGCCTTCTATTCTTCCATCTTGTGCCACCTCCCTCATGTATGTGCATTAGTAGTATTGGCCTATAGTTTTATTTTTTGTTGTGTCTTTGTCCCGTTTTGGTATTAAGGCAGTGCTTGTTTTGTAGAATGAGTTTGGATGTTCCTCTTCAATTTTTTTTGAAAGGGTTAGAGTAGAATTGGTATTAGTCCTTTAAATGTTTGGCAGAATTCATCAGTGAAGAAATTAGGCCCTGGGAGACTTTTTATTATGGCTTCAATCTCATTACTCATTATTGGTTTGTTGAGGTTTTCTATTTCTTCATGGCTCAATCTTGGGAGGTAGTATGTGTCCAGAAATTTATCAATTTCTTCTGGGTTTTTAAATTTGTTGGCATATAGTTGTTCATTATAGTCTCTAATGATTCTATGTATTTCTGTGTTCTCAGTTGTTATGTCTTCTTTTTATTTCTGATTTTATTTGAGTCTTTTCTCTTTTTTAGTCTAAGTAAAGGTTTGTTGATTTTATTTTTTCAGAAAACCAAATTTTCATTTCATTGATCTTCTGTATTTTTTAAAATCTCAATTTCATTTATTTCTGCTCTGATCTCTATTATTTCTTTCCTTCTCCTAATTTTGGGTTTGGTTTGTTCTTGCTTTTCTAGTTCCTTGAGGTGCATCATTAGCTTTTTAATCTAAAGTCTTTTTAATTTTTTGATATAGGCATTTGTTACTATAAACTTTCCTGTTAATAGTACTTTTGCTATGTATCCCATAGATTTTGGCATGTTGTATTTCTATTTTCATTTGTTTCAAAAAAATTTTTAATAGCCTTTTAAACTTCTTCTTTGACCCATTGCTTGTTCTGGAGCATGTTTTTAAAATTTCTTTGTGTTTATGTATTTTCTGAGGTTCTTCTTGTTACTGATTTCTGGTTTTATTTCCTTGTGGTAGGAAGAGATACTTGGTATGATTCCCACGTTTTTGAATTTTTTCAGACTTGTTTTGTGGCCTAATATATGGTCTATTCTGGAGAATGTTCTATATGCTGATGAAAAGAATGAGTATTCTGCAGCAGTTGGGTGAAATGCTTTATAAATGTCAGTTATGCCTATTAGGTCCAGTGTGAAGTTTAACTCTGATATTTCTTAGTTGATTTTCTGTCTGAATGATCAGACCATTACTGAGTGGGTGTTAAAGTCCCCTACTATTATTATATTGCAGTGTATCTCTCCCTTTAGATCTATTAATGTTTGCTTTATATACTTGGGACCTGTGGTTTTGGGTGCATACATATTTAGAATTGTTATATCCTCTTGTTGAATTGACCTCTTTATCATTATATAGTGAACTTCTGTGTCTCTTTTTACAGTCTTTGATTTATAGTCTATTTTATCTAAGTATAGCTACTCCTGCCCTTTTTTTGGTTTACAGTTGCATGGAATATCCTTCCCACCCCTTTTCTTTCAGTCTATTTGTGTCTTTGTAGGTGAAGTGGGTTTCTTGTAGGCAACATACAATTGGATCTTGTCTCTTTATTCATTCAACCGCTCTATGCCTTTTAATTGTTGGAGAATTGAATCCATTTACATTCATTGTTGTTACTGATGAGTAAAGACTTAGTACTGCCATTTTGTTGTTTGTTTTCTGTTTGTTATATAACTCCTCTCTTTCTTTCTTCCTTTATACTATCTTCCTTTGTGGTTACATGACTATCTCTGGCAGTATGTTTTAATTTGTTGCTTTTATTTTTAGTGATTCTATTATAGGTTTTTGCATTGTAGTTACCATAATGGCCCTGTACTTCGAATGAGATTGACTGACTCACTTCAGGAGTAGGCACTTGACCCACTCTAGCCAATCAAAAGAACACATTTTCTAGGCCACAGTGAGTGGTTTAGGAATGGGAATGTGACTTAAGCTGGGCCAATAAGATTTCCCTTGGCATTTTTGCTTCAACTCTCAGGAAAGTGGCAGTTTATTGTATGGAATTTGCCATCTGAAAGGGCAATGTAAAGCTGGAGCCATGGACAAGGCCATCTCCTCTCCTTGTTACAGACCCTGCCTGAGAATAAAATCAGCAAACAGGAAAAAAGGCAGATTCCTGATGACATCATTTCAACCTTAGAATCTAGCTGTGCCCTAAATTTTTGTTACATGTCCCAGGAAAATCATCCCTGCCTCTTTTTTAATTAGTTTAAGATGGTTTGAGCTGTGTTTTCTGAAACTTGTAACCAAGTTTTGACTAACAGGGAAATTGAGCAGGAAAGCCATGCAGTGGTAGAAGAGGTTACCATTATAGAGGGGGCTGAAAACAAGGCAAAAACTGTTGTATCAGAAGACATAAGAAAGATATTATAGCATGAAACATAGGACACTGAAATAATTCCTCAATAGGGAGGTGGTTTTGCTCTTAGTGAGGCAATCAAATCATAAGACAGCAGCTAAAGGCAATTTCCTAGGGATTCAATTGCAATTTGAAGAATGCAGGTAGAAATTTTTTCCCCAAAATATAAAAAGATATTAAAATAGTTTTTACATATAAGTAATTTAATTGAATAGCGTGAGTTGTTTTTAGGACCAGACCATATGATAAATCCCATAGTTAATTTTTGAAAATCTTGTTATTAGGATATTGATAAAAGCAACATCAATTCTTGGTCAGGTTGATCCATCCGTATTTTAGATACTAGGTGGACCCAATGGCCATTTCTTTAACACTTAGATTCTGATTGGCGAAAAGTTATGCTTTCATTGACTAGTGAAAGGAGCAGCTCTGAACTAGCATGGTAGACAGGTAAGTGGACTAGCATTTACTGCACAATAGCATGATAAGTACTATCTTAGAGGTAGGTGCAAGAACATTAAGAACAAAGAGCAGGGATATCTAGATCAGAGTGGGAGTTTTGGAAAGGTTCCTGGGAGATAAGGCTTGAACTGCTATTATAGGATGAGAAAGAATTAATTAGAGATGGGGTGGGAGGATGAGGACATCCCAGACATCAAAAGTACAGAAACATGAAAAATGTTAAGTAGCTCAGGATGGTAGAAATAAAATGTACCTATGGAAGAGGTGGGAAATGATGGTAGGAAGATAGGCAGAGGGCAGCCACTAGGGAATTTGTGTGTTAAGCTTCAGAATTTGAACTCTGAACTGAAATTTATGGGGTACCACTGAAGAATTTTTAAACAGGATATTGATCATTTATTTAAATTCTCTAAGACATAGACATATATTTTAAAAGCTGTAATCACAGTTGAGGTTAGTCATAATTGCATGGCAAATAAGGAAATGAACAATTGCTCTGATCTGTAGGGTGTTATAGGGAAAGCCTTGACTATCTATGAGGCTCTGATCAACAGGGCTTCCAAGGAGTGACTGGGTCATTGTTCTTATGGGGCTTCACCAAACGCCTTGAGCAGAAAGACAGCACTTTGAGAGAAGGAGGCTTTGTACCAGAGGGTGGTTACTGATTCAAATTCATGTATGTTGAGTCCCAGCTGGGGCCTTGACATTGATATTCTGTACTCCTGGATCTGAAATAAATTCAGAAATACAGTTCTTTGGAATGAAAGCAAAAATAAGGGTGGGAAAGAAAGGCAGAATACAGAAAAGAATTAGCCTTACTTTAGTGAGACATTCCCAGCAGGGCATTCTTTTAAGTAGCATGTACTCTGTTCTATTCCATTAATTTTAAAAGCAGGACCACTAGAAATGACTTATCTGAGTAACCCAAAAGATTCAGATCAGCTAGTCAACTAATGGGACCCAGGTCACCTTTTACATGAATGATGCATGAGTAGATGATAGATACAAAGAGCTTTGCTAAGTCTGCCGATGTTTAGTGTCTAAGAAATTGAAGGGTTTCAGTCAAATGAATAAAGATTCTTTCAATATAGTGATTTCCTGTGTTTTGGGAGACTAACTAGTGTATGCTTCTGCTAGCAGTTTATTTTTCTGCTCTGACAAAGAGAAAAAAATTAAAGAAAAAGAAAGGTTGGTGTGTACACATATTAGAAAGATGGAGGATTTATGGAACTGCACTATTTTACTGTTTCTGAACGACCCTTTTTTAATGGAAAAGAGACCTGTGACCTCATTTGCATTTCAAATATTCCTGGAGTGGAATGGTGAAGATCAATGAATTGATTGTCAGAGGAACAGCATGAGTGACAAATTTCTTAGTAAAGAAAAAAGAGACACAAAGAAGAAGGATAGTGAGGTCTTCTTGATTTAGGAGTAATGGAACAAAAAGGTCTCAGTTCTATTCTTCTCATTTTTCTAAAATTTGAATAATCTTAGAGGATAAAATAAAAATGCTGACCTGAAAGTGTGGTTAAATATTTTCTCAGTGTATAATTATGTGGCACTTGAATATGTCCCAACATATATTTTAGTGGTGGGCTCTAGTTTCCCTTGTCTGGGGATATTTTGAGAGGCAATGCAATGTAACAGAAAGTGGATTACATTTGGAAGCAGAAAGCCACTTTTCTAGAAAGCCAGGCCTCAAATGTTTAAGGCCAGAGGTTGTACTTCTTTTCAGAAGGATTAATAGTAGAAACATTTATTATATTCAGAGGACATTGCACTCCATTGTCTCCAACAAAATAATCACTTTAGCACATAATTGTCCCAAATCTAATCCTTAGCAGTCATCAACCGGGTTAGGGTATTTTGAATAGCATCGCATGTTTAATGCCAGTTGTCCTGAGTATGTGGAGCTGCAGCAAGTTAAGCACAGCTCCTTTTTATGACCCTTCTCCAATTCAAGGTGAAGGTCTGGTCTGTGCACTTCCCTTCAGTTTGCTACATCTCGTTAACCAGTTTGGACAAAAAGAGACTTAGATAAGGAGATGAAGATCTACCCTGATTCATGGGCATGTCTGATGGTTTGGCAGGTTGGGCAGTGACTTGGCAAGAACAAAGGTGGAGATTGTTGACCTAGAGGTTTGGGGACCAGCTCTCTGGTTAGAAATCTCAGAATGAGCCCAGTGTTAGAGAATTTGTATATCCTATGTGGATCTCATTGTAGTGGGTTGATTTGTGTCTTCCTCCCAAAAAATACATCTAAGTCCTAACCTCTGGTACCTGTGAATGTGATCTTATTTGGAAAGAGGGTCTTAATAGATGTAATTAAGTTAATGATTTCAAGATGAGGTCATCGTGGATTTAGGGCAGATCCTTAATCCAATGACTGGTGTTCTTATAAGAGAAAAGAGAAAGAGATTTGAGACACAGAGCTACACTGCGAGAAGGCCACGTGAAGACAGAGGCAGACATTGGAGTCAGGCTGCCATAAGCCAAGAAGCAGCTGGAGCCACTAGAAGCCAAAAGAGTGAAGGAAGAATATTCCCCTGGAACTTTTGGAGAAAGTGTGGCCACGCCAACACCTTGATTTCAGACTTTTCCTCCACAATATCCAGAACTGCAAGAGAATACATTTCTGTTATTTTAAGCCACCAAATTTGAGATAATTGGTTATAACAGCCCTGGGGAAAAACAAACCCTTACTGGAGACTCCAATTACTACCTCATGCCAAAAGGGGTGAAAAGGCCAAAGCGGGGGGCTGCAGTGTTGCTGGGTTGAATGACAGACATGGAGAAGAACTATATATTCCAGGGAATGCCTCATACTTTTTTTTGTGAGCAACTGAGGGAAGAACGGGGACATGGAACTACTGAGTCCCCAGGTGTTCTAGAGGGGCTGTCTCTTCATGGGGAATGGGAACAGTGGAGATGGCACTGTATCAGCAGGAGAGCACAAGAGACAAAAAAGCCACATGTTTCAGGCAGTGTGAGTGTGTGTGTGTGTGTGTGTGTGTGTGTGTCTGCATGCGTATGTATGTGTAGAGATTTGACAGAGTAAGAGGCTCTGGAGAAGTTAACAAATCAATACCTAGAGAGAAGAGAATATGGGGATTTTTAAAAAGTGTTTTTGTGGATAGGTGCGGTGGCTCGTGCCTGTAATCCTAGTGCTTTGGGAGGCCAAGGTGGGTGGATCACTTGAGGTTAGGAGTTCAAGACTAGCCTGGCCAACATGGCGAAACCCTGTGTCTGCAAAAAATAAAAAGATTAGCCAGGCGTGGTGGCAGGCACCTGTAGTCCCAGCTACTTGGGAGTCTGAGGCAGGGAATTGCTTAAACCCGGGAGGTAGAGGTTGCAGTGAGCTGAGATCGTACCACTGCACTCCAGCCTGGGTGACAGAGCGAGACTCTGTCTCAAAAAATAAATAAATAAATAAAGTGTTTTTGTGAGTCATACATTTAATTTTCTCTAATACTCTTCAAAAGATAAAAGCAATTTGGATTGCTTTTTTTAAAATGAACTTTATTTTTTAGAACAGTTTTAGATTTACAAAATAATTGAGAAGATGGTAGAGAGTTTCCATATCCCTGTGGTTGGTTTCCCCTATTATTAACATCTTACATTAGTATGATACATTTGCTATAATTAATAAACCAATGCTTACATTTTTATTAATAAAATCCCATAGTTTATTCAGATTTTTTTATTTTTTACATAAAGTCTTTTTCCTGCTCTAGGCTCCTGTGTTAGCCTGTTTTGCATTGCTATAAAGAAATACCTAAGACTGGGCAATTTATAAAGAAAAGAGGTTTATTTGACCGACAGTCCTTCAGGCTGTACAAGGATGGCACCAGCATCTGCCTGGCTTCTGGTGAGGCCTTGGGGAGCTTTCACTCATGGGGGAAGGCAAAAGGAGGAGCCAGTGTGTCACAGGGCGAGAGAGGGGGCAAGAGAGAGGGAAGAAGGTTCCAAACTCTTTTAACAATCAGATCTTGTCATAACTCATTACCACAGGGAGGGCACCAAGCCATTCAGGAGGGATCCACCCCCATGACCCAAACATCACCTATAGGCCCCACCTCCAACACTAGGGATCACATTTTAACATGAGATTTGGAGGGGACAAACATTCAAACGATATCAGATCCCATCCAGGATACCCCATAACATTTAGTTGTAATATGTGTTTAGACTCCTTTTGGCTGTGGTGGTTTTTTAAGCTTTCCTTTGATGTTCTTAATAGTTTTGAGGAGTACGGGTCAGGTATTTTGTAGGATGTTCCTTTATTGGAATTTGCCTGATGTTTTTCTTATGAGTAAACTAGGGTTCTAGGTTTTGAGGAGGAAGACCACAGAGGTAAAGTGCTATTTTTTGTTACGTCATATCAAGGCTACAGATGACTGCCCTTTAAAGTCACCTGTTTATTGAACTTTTCTTTTCTTTAATGGAGCTCTATGCAACAACTGGGTCTGAGGAACCACGGGATTTATTCTGGTTACAATGAACATAGAAGAAACACCTTCTCATTAAAAAAAATCAACAAGCATTACAGAAATATTATATATTGCTTTTAATGAAGACTGTCACAGTATATAAAGACTGCTATTGAGCATCTATATTACATTTCCTAGCTTGAGCTCTCTCTCCTTCCCTGGGCTCTGTTAGAGTTTGGAAAATGCTTTTGTGTATGTAAAGTTTTGATCCCAATAATAAATTTGTGAGACAGATAAACCATGTATTATTGTCCTGGTTTTATAGGAGAGGGTCAAGGATTCTAAGTAACTTGCCCAATATGACACAACAAGTGAATGATGAGGATAGAATTCCACACAAGGCCTGCTAGCTGCAAGTTATTACTCCAGTGCATTAGTTTGCCAGGGCTGGCGTAATGAAGTACTGTATGGCACAAACTGAGTGGCTTAAACAATAAACAGTTATTGTTTCACCAGTCTGGAGGCTAAAAGTCCAAGATCAAGGTATTAGCAGGGCCATGCTCCCTCTAAGGTGCTGGGGAAGGATGTGTTCCAGGCCTCTCTCCCAGCTTCTGGGAGTTCCTTGGCTTCTGGCAGCACAATTGCCATCTTCACATGGTGCTCTCCCTGTGTGCATATCTATTTCCTGCGTTTCTGATGTTAATTGTTGAGCTGCGCTGCCTCTCTGAGTGTCCCTTATTTCTTTTATTAGCACCTCGCTGTTTGGTTTCCACCAGAGGTCTAGCGCAGAGTTTGGAGGCACCCTGATTTCAGAATCTCAAGATTGCATCTCCTGTGAGTGGGAAGAGTTTCTCCCCTGCATTTAGTGTTCTGCAAAGGTGCAGATGTTCCAAACAGCCCTGCTGACCAACTTCCTTTTAAAATGCCAGAGCCATTAAGTACAGTGAATTTGTTCTACTTGAGAAGGGTGGGTTGCAGTCAGCAGGAGTAAAAGCCTGTCACTTATTGGTCTAAAAACGTGTTTAGCAGCTACAAATAACCCTTTGGATTAATGGAATCAACAGTCTTTAGGTCTCCAGATGTAAAGAGGCCTTTTATTAGACATGCATTCATTTATTCAACAAGCCCTGGTGGCGGTTTGAGTTGAGCTAATGCTGATTTGAGGCTGATGTCCTTCCTCTTAAGGCTATCTTCAATAATTATTCTGTTATTGACACATCACTGACCCAGGCATGACTAATGGTTTAGTATTACTGAGAGATGCAGCTAAAGGTCAACTAAAAGGGGACGTGCGGGGAGTCGCGCTGACATTTCTACTGTACAACGGTGGAGCAAATGGAGATTTTAAGGGGGTAGACCCCACTCAGTATTTACAGCAGACTTGAGTGCCATTACAGTGCTGCGTAATCGAATTTCTCCCTTTTCTGAAATCTTTGTTCTGCTTATTAATTAAGTGAAATGACACAACAGGGTGAGCACTGGAGGTCTGTGGCACACTTAGGTGCATTGTTAGGCTGGCGGCATGGGCTTGATTACAGTCAGTGCACACAGTAGCACGTTACTTATTGGGTAATAACACAGACCCAGGAGTGTCTTTTTAAGAGTTGAGAGAGGCATTTTCAGATACAGAAAAAAAAATGTTTTTAATGAAATTTAGAAAATGGGGTCAGAGTATAATTTATCGACTATATCATTCCCTTCAGCATCTGCAAAGATAGAAGCCAGGGAGGAAGAAAGAATTTAGAGCTCTAGGGTATTTCTCATTAGCTACATCCCCCTTTTTCACGTCCACCTATAACCCTATGTCAATGCATCGACTGTTTTTCTAGGCAAGGTTTACTATCATCTCCTCAAGATGCCTTTTTATTTTAAATACTGAAGGGCTTGCCTGTCAAAGACTCTGGTCAATTGCTTTTTGCTGTTATCAGTTTTCTAACGTGTAAAATGGGCAGGCGAGTCCTTGAGGCAGTACTGCCTCACAGAGAACTTGGGTGAGGCAATGGGCCCAAAACTCTTTGTGTTCTGTGCTTGAAGACTTGCTGGAAAACATTAAAGTAAACCATAATCACAGATCCGTGCCATGCCCATTAAAATGATACAACACATGTTTCCTGAATGCACACAGGAACCTGAGTGGGACTTTTCTCCTTGTTCTCCGTGGTGGACGTGGAGATGTGCTGCTTAATCGTCTTTCAGGACTTAGGTCTGACTTCCCAGCCACTGGTCTGCAAGCAGATGGCTCACGGCATTCAGTTCCTTTCAGGGATGTCTCAGATGAGGAGAGCAGCCTTGAAGAGGTCACAGCCCCTTCCTGGGCAGCTACATCCAATGACTGGCTGATGAAGGGGTAGAGAGGCCTGGCTCTCTCCCCAACTGGAATAGCATTGAGAGGTCAGTCCATCTTCAGAATTCCCCAGTGGGCCAGCGAGATGTCCACTGAAACTTCATTGTAGCCCAGCTTTCTCCCTCTGCCTAGTCTTACTCCCTTCCTTTCCTACCCCTTCCCTTCCCTTCCCTCCCCTCCTTTCCTCTCCCGTCCCCTCTTCTCCCCTTTCTTTTCCTAAGAGTTAAATCCTAACAGCACTCCCTAAAAATGTTCTGCACACTAATCTCTGTCTCAGAATCAGCTTCCTGAAAACCCAAGCTGCAACATTCATAAAATTATATATGTATCATGTACTAGGCTCCAAATACAGAAGAGATTTGAGGACCGACTGGATGGGGTGGCAAAGACAATATGCTCCTCATTGATGAGAGAACTCTGGTTTGTGATTAGAGCTGTTATGTGGAATTTGCAGGCTGGAACACAGCTGCTCACAGCCCCCTGCTTTAATCTGGGATCTCATGGCCACAGCCCCCTCAGAGCAAAACTCCTTTCAATTCTCTCCCCTTGAAGGCTGAACCATGCTGGGCCTGGTTTACTGGAACCATGACTGTATTCCACAGCAGATGTTAATGAAGAATGGGCACATGAGGTGGAGAGTACTTTCTGATTGGCTAGTGCATTTTGAAGAGAACATTGAATCTATTAAAATGTGTAATTGGGAAACAGAGCCTATGATGCCAACTACATATTTTTTGTGACCTTTGTTTAAAGGGTTTCATTCAGTTCTCTAATAAGTGAAGGGAACAGTTCCAACAGTGCCATCTATTTATTTTCTTCCCCCTTTTCCCTTTTTCAGAGCAGACAACATGATGCAGACCTTTCCTATGTCCCAGATCTGTGTTTATTTGCTCCTGCCATTTGCTTGGCTCTATTGTTAAAAGAAGAGAATATGGGAAAAAGAAAAGTTATGCTCCTTAGAGTCTTTTCTAATTAACTGTTTGAAAGAGACTTTAAAAAATGCCTAAGTGTGAGGTTATTTGTATGTCTAATTTCGTTTTTATGTTACACTTACTTTTAAGTGTAATTTACCAAGGCTTAACACTTGTATTCTTTCAGGGGCATTACGAAGAGCATTGCACATTTATTACAACCCTTTAAATGGCTGTGTTTTATTTCCATATGCTTTTAAATGGTTATTGAGTGGATTTGGTGCTCTTCCTGTAGTTAAAGTGCATTTTTTTATTGTACATAAATGGTAAATAATTGATACCTGCCATATGCTTCTCTCCCTTTCTGAGCTCCCCTTTCCCTTTCTCCTCTTCATTCTCTTCCCTTCTCTCTTCCTATTGGTTTATGCTCTTATTGTGCTCGCCATCCTTTCCTCTCCTCTCTGCAGGTTTCCACTGCTTTCAACACCATTTTCCTTGCCTCTCAATGTGCTCATTTGAGAGAGAATTTTCACATGGGTTCTGAAGACCGTTGCATTATCCTGTGGGGGTGAAGTGGGGAGGGTAAGGGCAAACAGCTTTATTAGGTTATTCCTGAATCAAGAATTTTAAATAAGAGAGTGGTTTCAGAGAACGTTTTTTAAAAATTATTCCTTTCTTCAGATTGCCGAATTGATATTGGACTAATTCTTGTTGGCTGTCCCTTTTTCTCTGGCCAGTGAGAGCCTCTAGAAGCCTGAAATTAAGGATGATGTGGCCAAGTGTCTGAGAGCATTCTTAGCAGGCAGTTTCTCAAGGCCAACAGTTTTAAAAGATCTCTCATTAGGGAAATGAGAAGAAATTGTGCAAGAGAAAATTTAAAGAATGTTCAGTCTTTGATAAACTTGTTTTCAGGAAATTCCTACTATATTAAGGACACAGAACTATAGAAATTTTAGATTTCTTTGCTTTTAAGTCTAAAGAAGGCAACAATTAAAAGCCATTTATAGATGTTGCAACCCACTAACACTAGAATAGTTTTCCTTTTTGAGACAAGAAGGAGTTGAAAATTCATATGGAAATGCAAGGGACCCAGAATAACCCAAACAATCTTGAAAAAGAACAAAGTTAGAGGACTCACACTTTCCAATTACAAAACTTACTACAAAGTAACAGTAATCAGGACAGTGTGGTTCTGGGACAAAGATAGGCATATTGATCAATGGAACAGAAATGAGAATCCAGAAATAAACCTACATGTCTATGGTAAATTGGTTTTCAACAAAAGTGCCAAGTTCATTAAAAGGAGAAAGAATGGTCTATTCAACAAATCGTGCTGGTGTAACTGGATAGCCACATGCAAAAGAATGAAGTTGGATTACCACTTTAAACGATATACAAAAATTAACTCAAAATGAATTGAAGACCTAATGATAAGAGCAAAACTATAAAACTCGTAGGTGAAAACATAGGGGTGAATCTTTGTGACCTTAGATTTGGCAATGGATTCTTAGATATGACACCAAAAGCACAAACAAAAGGAAACAAATAGATAAACGGGACTTCTCTAACATTTAAAACTTCCCTTCTTGTTCAGAGAATACAAGAAAGTAAAAAAGACTGACAGAAAGGGAGAAGAAAATATTCAAATCATATATTTGATAAGGGACTTATATCTAGAGTGTTAATGCTTACAGCTCAATACTAGATAACCAGACATTAAAATGGGCAAAGGATTTGAATAGAAATCTCTCTAAAAAAGATATATAAAAGCCCGACAAGCACAAGAAATGACACACAACACATTATTAGCCATTGGGGAAATGTAAATGAAAACCAAAATGAGATACATTTCATACCCACTCTAATTAAAAAACAAAAAATAACAAGTGTTGGCAAGGGTATGGAGAAATTGGAATCCTTATGCACTGCTGGTGGGAATGTAAAATGATGCAGCCATTTTGGAAAACAGTCTGGTCATTCCTTAAAAGGCTAAACACAGAGTTACCATACAACCCAGTAGTTCCACCCCACCAGTATCTACTCAAGAGAAATGAAAACATCTGTTTGCACAAACACTTGCACATAAAATGTTCCTAGCATCATTATCCATAATAACTAAAAGGTAGAAACAAACCAAATGTCCATCAACTGATGATTTAATAAATAAAATGTGGTATATCCATACACTGGAATATTATTTGGCTATAAAAGGTGTGGAGTACTGACACATGCTAGAGCATAAATTTATTTTCAAAACATCACGCTAAGTGAAAGAAGCCAGCCACAAATGTTCATATACTGTGAGATTCTATTTATATGAAATATCCAGAATTGGTAGAAAGTAGAGACATAGAATTTGGGAGGCTGAGGTGGGTGGATTACTTGAGGTCAGGAGTTCAAGACAAGCCTGGCCTACATGGCAAAACCCCATCTCTACTGAAAATACAAAAATTAGCCGGGTATGGTGGTAGGCGCCTGTAATCCCAGCTACTCAGGAGGCTGAGGTGGGAGAATTGCTTGAACCCAGGAGGCAGAGATTGCAGTGAGCCGAGATCAGCTCTCGCAACAGAGTAAGACTTTGTCCCCCGAAAAAAGAAAGTAGAGACACAGAGATAGAAAGTAAATTAGTGATTGCTTAATGCTGAGGGAGAATGGGGAGATTAGGGAGCGATAACAAAAGGATATAGGGTGTCTTTCTGGGGTGATAAAATGTTCTAAAACTGCTTGTGGTGATGGTTTCACAACTCTATGAATATACTAAAAGCTGTTGAGCAGTGTACTTTAAATGGTTGAATTGAGTGGTGTGTGAATTATATTTCAATAAAGCTGTAACAAAAAAAAATCTCCAATGATTAAAAAAAAAAGGAGTTGGAATATTTTGAAGTCAGGGAAGTGTATCTTTACCCAAAAGCAAAGCTACCACTTCCTTGAGTAATAACTTCCAAAGTTCAAGAAACACTTGGTGCAAGTAAACAATTATTCCTGCTTTACAGATGCAACACTCAAGACTCACAGGGTTAAGTGACTTGCCCAAAATTAAATAGATAATTGGTGGTAGCTATGGGGAACCTAGGTTTCCATCTCAGTCTCTTAGTACAGGGCGTTGTTGTTATACCAGCTCTTCTCCATGTTTCCTTCTCAGAGTCCTCTGGAGGCAGCAGAAATAGGAAACAATGCTGCCTTTGCTTGTTTTCTTACATTTTTGTTATGAACTAACCTAACACACAATTCTCAAGTCCTTTTTGGTAGGTAACAAGAACCTCTGATGAAGTTTGTGGCGGGTGTGGGTTAGCTATTGCCTCACAACCTTCATATCAGGTTATCATGAAAGCAGATCTCAGTCCAAATTCTGCCACACACGTGAACATTCATGAAGCAGTCATGTAAGTAGGCACAAAACAGCTCTGATAATCTGCTCTGCAAACATAATGGCATCCTAAGCTTCTGTCCTTTTGGGTGCATGCATCCCTGCTTGCATGAAAATCCACTTGAGGTGGACATGAAGATATTCCAGAGGCAGGATTCTGTTCCAACTGCAGTTCAGGCAACCAGAGATCCTCCTGGCTAATGGCTGGACGTGGGGCCATTCAGAAAACAAGCTCTGTGCATCATCTCAAAAGAGATCGTCCATAGGCCTGGCTAGATTCTGATACCCTGTTTAAGCACGGGTGGGGAGAGTGTCTTAAATATTTTAGTGTATATATATATATATATATCTTGAACACAGTTTTACCAACAAAGCCCATTTCTAACATTCTTGAACCTCAGAATCCACTGCTATAAAATAGGGTATTTAAGGAGTATAATAAATATGTGAAAAATCCTGTAATATGCCAATTAGAAAGTCATTGATTTATTGAATAAGTAGCCCCTTTTAATAGTTCTAAAATTCACTATGCTAATTAACAAAATATTGGGTGCTGATTGAAATATAGAAAGAAGCAGCATTTTTTAGTAGCTGCTTCTAGGGGCATCCATTCTGATATCTTGCCAACAGAGCACCCCAGAAGTATGGGTTTTCCATTAAGGTGACTGACTTCTCCTGGAGTGGAAGCCTAGACTAGCATATAAGCATATCTGACAGACTAGGCTGAAATCCTTCCAATTAAATTGCAGACATATTAATAAATATGCAACAAAACTCCAAGCAATGTACTAAAGCTGTCACTTGCTTTACGTATTTTAATTACATATTGTGATGCTTATAGCCTCAGGCTTGTTACAAATGATAATTTTTTCAAATCAAATAAAGAGAAAATATAAGAAGAAGAGGGGGGAAGAGAGTAGAAAGAAAACAAACAGCGACAGAAATAAATAGAAACTGAGGAAGAAACAGAGTGGTAGATTTGGGAATCAGGCTCTGAGCGAGACACACAGAGAGAACGAGAGATTAGGACCAAAATAGTCGTGCATCCTCAGGTCGCTCATTTTTCTAATTTCCATACAATCCCTTCAAGGACCTCCTTTCTATTGGCGAAGAGTAACATGTCTGTCTCGACAAAACTATCCCCAGCCAGGCTGGAGGGATCACTGAAGTTCAACAGAGATGTATGCTGAGAGAATAACCTTAAGCTGACTCTCCCTTCCTGGGTCTGGGAGGCTGCTGTTGTGCTGTTGGTGCGGTGGGAAGCATCCTCCACAGGACAGGCCCGGAAAGCTGCAGCGACACAGCATCTGGGGGCAGATCCAGTGGCCCTTTCACGGGGTGGAGCAGATGGCTGTCTGTGGGCAATGATGTGAGGGGGCTAGCCAAGGCCCTTCTTACTTCACTATTTCTGCTCATTGCGTCTTGGCTTTGCCACCTAGGGTTATGTGATGTTGGACAAATTACCAAACCTTTCTGGACCTCAGATTCTACCTTTAAATAAAATGAGGTGTATTGAGGACTACTGTCATAGTTGTAGGTTCCAGGACCCCCACAGGTACCAAAATCCATGGATGCCCACGTCCCTTATATAAAATGGTGTAGTATTTGCCTATAACCTACATGCATCCCCCTGTCTACTTTAAATCATCTTCAGATTGCTTATAATACTGAATATAATGTAAATGCTATGTAAATAGTTGTTATACAATATTGTTTTAAATTTGTAATTTTTATTGTTTTTTTTAATTTTGTTTAATTTTTTGGAATATTTTCAATCCATGGTTGAGTCTGAAGATGCAAACCCGTAGATATGAGGAGCCAACTGTAATGCCATAACTATATGAAGACTCCTGTAAACACTTCTTTCATTTTTTACTTTTTCTTTAATTCTGTTTTTTTTTTTTTTGTAACAGTTTTTTTTTTTTTCAATACGAGTACCTTGTTAAAATGTCAATAGCCCTGGGAGAGGTACATATGGACAGTTTTTCTCAAATACCCATCAAAGCACCCCTAATGGAGGAGGAAAACAAACATTGTGTCCCCCTGAGATCTAGGCAAGGAGTGGGAAGCTCATGCCTCAAACTCAAAATGTATTTGCAGTTTTAAGTTTTATTTTGAAAGTCCATGAATTTTGCGTTTTACTACAAGTTTGCGTTTTACTCTAGTTTGTAATGCTCCAAAAATAGTGCCATTTCCTCTTCTATTGGCACTCCAGGAAAATGTACCATGGGTTTTCCTGTGCTTCTTGTCCTCCTGCATGTCACCTTGTACTCCTCAGAGTCTGTAATCCCTGCTTGAGTAGAGTGAACTTACCTTATCAGCTAATGTGTTGTGTTGACAAATAAAGCTACGAGGGAAATGGGATACCCGAAGATGACTCCGGTTTTCTCTTGGGCCCATTGGGCCTGGTATTATACCCAGACTACTCTAAATCTCTGGATGGAAACCATGCTGATTTCATTTCCAGACAGAGGCAAAAAGATGATAAGAGAAGAAGTGGGTTAGAGAACTAATAGTTTTCTGATGTTCTCAGCCTCCTGAAAATTTGATTTTAGACTTGAGGTCTTCTTGGCCACGTGAAGAAGGCTGAGGGATTCCAGTCCTCTCAATGATCATCTTTACTAAATTCAATTATCCTGAGCTTATCAGAGAGGGCCAGAACTTGGGAATGGTACTTGAACCTGAAGTATCCTTTCGGGTAATATTTATAGTTTTGGGGCCCCTGAAGTTCTCAAGGACCTCTGGTTCCAAGGTATAAGCATTACTTTAAGATGGTCATGCCAAGTGAGAAGACATCATCTCATCTTCTGGGGACGTTAAATTCATGATCCTGCTGTCATGAAAAGGTACTAAGAAGTTAAACATTTATTGGAAGAGGATCTTTTTAGAGTCATCTCTCAACAAGTTCTCTTATGCTGCACAGATTGTCTCAATCATTACTAACAGATGCATCTGCAGCAAAAGACAATTTTGCAAGCCCAGGCAGAAAAGAACTCTTGCTTTTCTGAAATCTTTCCCCTGGCTCATACTAAAACTAGCCAGGACAAGAGACATAGCAAAGTTTATTAGGGACGGTTCCCTGGAGGGGAAAATAATGGGGATAATGAGACAAATATTCTTAAGGCATCCAGGGGGCTTCTGAAAGAAGCAGACTCTGGTCCACTGAAATCGCTGTTGGAGAAATGGTTTTGCTATGCACAGTTTTACACAATGTGTTCTGTTATGTTACATTCCAAATACATTTGAAATTATCTAAAGGGGTGCTAGTCACGTTTAAAAGCGCCATCGCCAGAAGTAGCCAACTGAATAACAACATAGATCACCCTTACTGATATGGATGGGGTAACACAATCGTTTCCTTTGTGGGTAAAATTCACCTGGGCCTCAGAAATGGCCAGAGTGAGCACTGCTCACGTTTGGAGCCAGAACAGACTGCAAGGATAGGGATTTAGGGGAGTCAAGAAAGGAGAGCTCTCATTTCTGCCTCAAGCCTGGTTCTCTTTAAGAAGTTAGAGTGTGGGCTTGGGGAAAATGTGCTGAGACAGCAATTCTGTTTGGGAAGTTTGGGAACTGCCCCATTGTAAAGTCCAGAGATGAAGAAAGGAACTTTCATTTATTCCAAGTGACACTGCAGGGTCTTGTTTAGCTTATGTTTCCTAGGGCACTGTTGCTAGCCATGAACACAGATCATATAATAGGAAGGTGTGGGAGAATGTTCTGTGTACCAACCAGGGAGACTTCATGTTTCTCTCCTGGCCATCTTATGGCTTTTATGCAGGCCATCTTCCTACATGCCAGGCCCTACGGGAATGTAAAGTTGAGTAAATCTGCACACATATTACATGGGAGGAGCTCCCAGTCTTTTGTAAAAGATTTATGTAGTGGCATTATATAGTGGCTAGAAGCACATATGGGGCATGATAGTGTAGTGTTTAAGCTCATAGGCTTCTAAAGTTAGACTGCCTGAGTTTATACCCTAGAATGTCTCCACTAATTAGCATCTCAAGCTCACTGAGTCTCAATTTTACCATTTGTAAAATGGGAATAGTAGTTGGACTGGCTACAGGATTTTTTTGACCATAAATGATCTGACAAATGTATAGTGCCTGATCCATAGTAAGCATTCAAAAAGTGAGGCTATTATTATTTATAGAAAATCTATAGTAGATTATTGACATTCCTGAAGGAAATGCATATAAGGAGACCTTTTGTAATCCCTTGAGAATAATGCCATAACATAGCCATGGAAGCAAAATTTTAGAAGAGGCAACTAAGCCTCAGTAAGAAATTTTGATTGTACAAACCAACCAACCTTCTTCCCTAGAAAATGCAACATTAGAGAGAGTTCTCAGCAAATGACAAATTGCTTCTTGCCATGGACTTTTGGAGTTAGATGGGTCTAGTGCAAATTAGGGCCATTAAATTCCTGAGAATGTAGAAGGTCCATAAGAGTAAAGTCATCACAGAGAAATGCAATTCGCTAGGGGAGCAACGGGGTGGGATGCACCCAACAAACTGTCTTGTGACAAACTTGGAAATTCCAGCTTTGCCTAAGTTCCTAGGTGAGAAGGTAGTTGTCTGGGGCTTCAGGAGCTGCGCTGGGGTTACGAGTTGTTGGCTGACCCAAACCTAAGGTGTATGTTGTGGGGTGGCAGGCGGGGAGAGAGAGAGAGAGGGAAGGAGAAAGTGGGAGGGAGAGAGGCAAAGTGAGTGAGCATTTTGATGGTGGGCCTGTGGACTTCTTGGTCAACAGGGAGGTAACTCATAAGGATGTCGAGCCAATTCAGACAAACTCTACTACAGATTCAATCACAGACTGTATGGAATAACTTCCTTAGCTCTTATTATTAATCTGAAAAGTTCAGATAGCCGCCTAGAGTAGGACAGTGAAGCCACATTTTTGTGAGGCTGAATTAGACCATTAGACTGTCTGGCATTCTATGATGCTCTGTAGACACTTCCCGTTCTTCTGAGAGAGGTGTTTATGCTCTGTCTGATTCTGAATGACCATAACTGGACACTTTTACATAACCCTGACATTGAAGGGTAGAGCAAGTTCAAGGCAAAGTGGAACTCCATACCCAGTTGGCCTTCAGTGAACTAGCCTACGTTTTCTGCATAATTTTCTCTCATCTACTGAGAGCTCCCTTTCTTTTAAAGGGCTTGACACCCTTTTCTATCTTCATCCTTTTCTCCATCAATCTCTGCTTCAGCAAAATATTTGATATTAGTCATTTATATTTCATGTGAATTTAAGCCAAAACATTACTTCCCCCAGAAGTAATTTTCCCTTAGCCTCAAATATGAACTCATCTTATGTCTGGCTTTGACTTGGCTCTTATGTTCGTTGAGCCATGAAAACAACTTCAGGGAGGACATTGTAGGTTTTAGTGTGGTACAACATGGGACTTTGGTAGCAGGAGTTTTGATTCACAGGTCATACTTTGTTCAAAGAAAGTTATCTGTACCAGGAGAAGAAACATGGTTGTAAGTAAATCAAGAAAGGACCTCTATACCAAACTGGATTTAAAAGCAAAGGAAGGAGAATAGGGAAAAAGATGAGGAGATGGAAGAGAAGAAGAAGAAAAAAATAAAAAACAAAAAGAGGAAGAGAAGTAGAGAAACAATGACCACTTTCTCCTGGCAACTAAGAACAAAGAGCCCAAGGGACAATGCCCAGACAAGGGCCCTGCAGAGGCTAGAGCTGACTGGTGCAGGCAGGGGCTCAGGGAATGGCACTGATTGCACGACCCCTTTCTCTTTTCCTTTGCTTTACAAATATTTGCCTTATAAAATGACTTCAAAAGCAACTACCAGTTTCCTCATTTTCTTATTTTTTTTTTCTCAAATGTTGCTCAAATCACACATATACAAATGAACAATAAGAACAACAACATGCACACACACACACACACACATACAAACACACAATTTTAGGAATTTTCTATGACTTTCCAGCCTTGTTTGATTGTTTTCCATTCTGCTCTTTACCTAGTTATTTCTCTGCTGATTGATTTATTTGAAGATTTTAAAGGTCAAAGTTTAGTTTATTATTACCTTTAAAAATGTATGTTAAAAAATAGAACAAAGAATATCCTGAAGAACTAGCTAGGTGCTGTGCAAAGCCCAGAAGTTGTTCCAATTTCTACTTACAGGATTTAAAATCTTGCTTTTGAACAGAGATAAAAACTAGAGGGAGAAAAGGAGAAAAGAACACCATCAAAGCAAAGAAAAAGGAGGCTGAACTGTCCAAAAGTGTCGTGTTAGCTTTTTTTTTCAATAGATTAAAATAATCCAAATAACCTCTGAAACACAGCAACTTTATATATAGGGTGTGTTGAAAATGATGTATCAGCTTATAACTGTTTTTCTTAAAAAATTGCTCTTTTTGTATGTATAATGTCAAACCAATGATATTGTTGATGAGTGGGAATGTGTAGCTTGAGGAAACTTGGTACCTGAGTTACAGGTTAAAATGTAAAACTTTATGAAATAATGGCTTGTATGAAATAATGGCCTGATTTAGATTAGGCTATTGTGGCAAAAAGATCCCTGTAATATAAATCACAGTTTCCAATCAAGCTGTCCAATGAATGATTTCACTTTCTGCTGTGTGCCACTGCTTGAAGGGCAGAAAGAATTGGGGTTTCTCCCTGAAAAATGTGGGTCCCCAGGGATCTCTCTGTCTGCCACTCTCTCATGCTATATTAGTGGTAGCTTCTCTTCTTCTCAGCACTAGAATCCAACACGTCTTTTTAAAAAAAGACGTATGACTATATTTTGTTAGAGACTGTGGGAATGAAAACTGTATAACAACACTAGTCATGTGTTGCATGTTTCATATGCTCCAAGCACAGTACCCGGAGCTGTACATTCATACTTCGTTATCCCCGAACCTCACAAGTCAGCCAGCTTCTTTAGCGGTGCTTCCAATCCGTGGAAGAGAAAGCCTTCCTGTTTAGGCTCCAGGCTCATCTTTTTTCCTATTAGCAAGGTCCTTTCTATACATTGGTGAAGGCATTCACTCATGGTCAAGCTGACAGTGGGGTTGGTAGTGTGGGAGACAGGGACTTTAACAACCTCGGAGCCTCAGAGTGTTAGAATCCTGCAAGCAGGATTGGTGTTAGCCCTCAGAGTGTTAGACTTCTGCAAGCAGAGGCAGGAAGCAGATCTGGGTCATGTGACTGCCTCCCCAAACAATGCAATCCACCTGCAGATGGTGCTGGGCAGTTTCTGTCTTAAAGTTGAGCCCTACTCTCTTATGTTTGAGCTCTCTGTCTGAAGAACAGATGGAGAACATCAAAGTTTTTCTGTTTTTGCCATGTCGTGATGTGACTTGTGTTTGAATATCCTCACTCACTTTTTCGTCCTGGGCCGTGTGCCACTCGCTGGCCCCTTATAAGTAGAACTTTAAGGTGGTGCCTGGAATGATTGTGGGTTTTTAGTTTGAAATTCAGTGGCCTGTATTTGAACCTCAGCTTAACCACTTATCAATCACATGACTCTGTGCAGCTCACTTCTGTGAGTCTCAGGAGCCTCCTTCGAAAAATGAGGATTAAACAAGGCATATAACATTATGCAAAACACTTAGTGTAAGGCCGGGCACAGTGGCTCATGCCTGTCATCCCAGCACTTTGGGAGGCTGAGGCAGGTGGATCACCTTAGGTCAGGAGTTTTAGACCATCCTGGCCAACATAGTGAAACCCGGTCTCTACTAAAAACACAAAAAGTAGCTGGGCATGGTGGTACACGCCTGTAATCCCAGCTACTTGGGTGGCTGAGGCAGGAGAATCGCTTGAACCTGGGAGGAGGTTGCAGTGATCCAAGATCTCACCACTGCACTCCAGCCTGGGTGACACAGTGAGACTCTGTCTCAAAAACAAAACAAAACAAAACAACACTTAGTGTAGTGCCTGGCACTTAGTAAGCATTCGGGAAAAGTTACTCATAATTGTTATTCTGATCATTAGCCTGAGAGCCTGTATGTAGCCTGTGGTACATGGGCTACATGCTTTTGAATGCAGATTGCTAGCTTTGTCAATCATGTAGGAAATATGCTGTGTAAGGAATATTTTCCTTTTGTAGCCACACAGATGTGACAGTCTTGCCCTTTGTTTATCTTTTCTTTCTTATACTATTTAAGGCTCTCTTAAGGTATAAGCTATTAGGCAGTTATACACACACACACACACACACACACACACACACACACACGAATAAATAAATGAGGTTGGGCATGGTGGCTCACACCTGTAATCCCAGCACTTTGGGAGGCTGAGGCAGGCAGATCACTTGAGGCCAGGAGTTCAAGACCAGCCTGGCCAACATGGCAAAACCCCATCTGTACTACAAATACAAAAATTAGCTGGGCATGAAAGAGCGTACCTATAATCCCAGCTACTCGGGAGGCTGAAGCACGAGAATTGCTTGAACCCAGGAGGTGGAGGTTCCAGTGAGCCAAGATCACGCCACTGCATTCCAGCCTGGATGTAAGTGAAACTCCATCTTAAAGAAAAAACAACCACAACAAAGACAAACAAACAAATGCCAAATAAATTAGTAAAATAAATGTAAATATACAATAAAATGTTATATATTTATAGTAAATATATAAAACTGCTATCATACTTACATTAGAATATGATGTTTTATGAAGCATATCCATTGTTTTTTGATCTCATCAAACATACTACAGAAATTATAGGTTGATTAGTATCTTTCTTTGGGCACAAAAGTGGTAAACAGTGTGGCACTGGGGCCTTGAAAATGTTACCCCAAAGTACTTGGAACTGCAGGAGATTGGGAGGGCCTCAGAAATAAGAAGGTCACTGTGACCTTACCCTGCCTTTCTGTGTGAAGCATGGTCATAAAAGAATTCTCCAACCTACCTTGCTTGAAAGTAGGACATAAGGCTCTCATCCCAGGGTGACGTGCCCCATACTCAGGGAGAAGGTATGCTACATAGAGGCCAAGAAGAATCTGAGCAAACAGGCCTTCCTAGGTTCCCTTCTCAGTTGATTACCAGTAGGTCAGATCTTTCTAACCATGTTTCTCCATAACTATTTACTTCTTTCATCAGACTTAGCATACAAGTACAAAATTTTCCTGGGTCTTCAGGTCTTCATTTCTGAAGGCTCCTGTGTCAAGTAAAACTTTGCTAAATAAATTTGTTGTGCTTTTTTCATGCTAACTTGTCTTCTGTCATAGGACTGTTGGCCATGACTCTTGTGATGGGTGAGGAAAAGGTGTTACCCTTTCTTCCTTACAGTGGTAAAGTGAGTAATTTGCATTTAGAAGCATGCCATATACCATGCTACATATGTGTGTGTGTGTATTTATATGTGTATATATATATTTGGTCACGTTAAATCAAGAAACTTAAAAAGTAATTTAGTCTAAACTGTCTTAGACAGAAATAAGTTGACTATTCATTTTTGGTGTCATGAACATTGCAGAAAACCTAGTACTAGTTAATGTGGTTAATACAATTATTTCTGAGATTCTCCCATGTCTAGAGGAGTGGCTTCCTCCTGAAAATTTGCCATTTTGTCATCTGAGTGCTTTGATTCAGTCAATTGTGAGAACTTTGTCTTTTGATAAAGCAATTTAAACATGGATTTGTTATATGGAAAGAAGAACTTTCTCTAAATTCTCTTCCTGAGGAAGTTGATCCTTTGAACATGGTATTATTTTTCCCTCAAAGGATTATTTCCTAAATAAGGAAACTTAGTTTTCCATAAAGAACCTCTAAATTTGTTGAAAACTGTTTTTTTATTATTATTATACTTTAAGTTCTGGGATACATGTGCAGAATGTGCAGGTTTGTTACATAGGTATGCATGTGCCATGGTGGTTGGCTGCACCCATCAACCTGTCATCTACATTAGGTAATTCTCCTAATGGTATCCCTCCCCTTGCCCCCAACCTGCTGACAGGCCCCAGTGTGTGATGTTCCCCTCCCTGTGCCCATATGTTCTTATTGTTCAACTCCCACTTATGAGTGAGAACATGCGGTGTTTGGTTTTCTGTTTCTGTGTTAGTTTGCTGAGAATGATGGTTTCCAGCTTCATCCATGTCCCTGCAAAGGACACAAACTTATCCTTTTTTATAGCTGCATAATATTCCATGGTATATATGTGCCACATTTTCTTTATCCAGTCTATCACTGCTGGGCATTTGGGTTGGTTCCAAGTCTTTGCTATTGTGAATAGTGCTGCAATAAACATATGTGTGCATATGTCTTTATAGTAGAATGATTTATAATCCTTTGGGTATATAGTCAGTAATGGGATTGCTGGGTCAAATGGTATTTCTAGTTCTAGATCTAGATCCTTGAGGAATCGCCACACTGTCTTCCACAATGGTTGAACTAATTTACACTCCCACCAACGGTGTAAAAGCGTTCCTATTTCTCCACATCCTCTCCAGCATCTGTTGCTTCCTGACTTTTTAATGATCGCCATTCTAACTGGTGTGAGATGGTATCTCATTGTGGTTTTGGTTTGCATTTCTCTGATGACCAGTGATGATGAGCTTTTCTTCATATGTTTGTTGGCCGCATAAATGTCTTCTTTTGGAAAGTGTCTGTTCATATCCTTTGCCTGCTTTTTGATGGAGTTGTTTGTTTTTTTCTTGTAAATTTGTTTAAGTTCCTTGTAGCCCTTTGTCAGATGGATGGCTTGCAAAAATTTTCTCCCATTCTGTAGGTTGCCTGTTCACTCTGAACAGCTGTGCAGAAGCTCTTTAGTTCGATTAAATCCCATTTGTCAATTTTGGCTTTTGTTGCCATTGCTTTTGGTGTTTTAGACATGAAGTCCTTGCCCATGCCTATGCTCTGAATGGTATTGCCTAGGTTTTCTTGTAGGATTTTTATGGTTTTAGGTCTTATGTTTAAATCTTTAATCCATCTTGAGTTAATTTTTGTATAAGGTAAAAAGAAGGGGTCCAATTTCAGTTTTCTGCATATGACTAGCCAGTTTTCCTAACACCGTTTATTAAATAGGGAATCCTTTCCCCATTGCTTGTTTTTGTCAGGTTCGTCAAAGATCAGATGGTTGTACATGTGTGGTGTTATTTCTGAGGCCTCTGTTCTGTTCCATTGGTCTATATATCTATTTTGATACTAGGACCAAGCTGTTTTGGTTACTGTAGGCTTGTAATATAGTTTGAAGCCAGGTAGTGTGATGTTTCCAGCTTTATTCTTTTTGCTTAGGATTGTCTTGGCTATATGGGCTCTTTTTCGGTTCCATATGAAATTTAAGGTAGTCTTTTCTAATTCTGTGAAGAAAGTTAATAGTAGCTTGATGGGAATAGCATTGAATCTATAAATTACTTTGGGCAGTATGGCCATTTTCATATTATTGATTCTTCCTATCCATGAGCATGGAATGTTTCTCCATTTGTTTGTGCCCTCTCTTATTTTTTTGAGCAGTGGTTTGTAGTTCTCCTTGAAGAGGTCCTTCACATCCCGTATAAGTTGTATTCCTAGGTATTTTATTCTCTTTGTAGCAATTGTGAATGGGAGTTCACTCATGATTTGGCTGTCCATTTGTCTATTATTGGTGTATAGGAATGCTTGTGATTTTTGCACATTAATTTTGTATCCTGAGACTTTGCTGAAGTTGCTTATCAGCTTAAGGAGTTTTGGGGCTGAGATGATGGGTTTTCTAAATATAAATCATGTCATTTGCAAACAGAGACAATTTGACTTTCTCTCTTCCTATTTGAATACCCTTTATTTCTTTCTCTTGCCTGATTGCCTGGCCAGAACTTCCAATACTATGTTGAATAGGAGTGGTGAGAGAGGACAACCTTGTCTTGTGCTGCTTTTCAAAAGGTTCCAGCTTTTGCCCATTCAGTATGATATTGGCTGTGGGTTTGTCATAAATAGCTCTTATTATTTTGAGATTAATTCCATCAAGACCTAGTTTATTGAGTGTTTTTAGGAGGTGTTGAATTTTATCAAAGGCTTTTCTGCATCTATTGAGATAATCATGTGGTTTTTGTCATTGGTTCTGTTTATATGATGGATTACATTTATTGGTTTGCATATGTTGAACCATCCTTGCATCCCAGGGATGAAGCCGGCTTGATCGTGGTGGATTAATGTGCTGCTGGATTCAGTTTGCCATTATTTTATCGAGGATTTTCGCGTTGATGTTCATCAAGGATATTGGCCTGAAATTTTCTTTTTTTTGTGTGTGTCTCTGCCAGGTTTCAGTATCAGGATGATGCTGGCCTCATAAAATGTGTTAGGGAGGCTTCCTCCTTTTTCTACTGTTTGGAATAGTTTTAAAAGGAATGGTACCAGCTCCTGTTTGTACCTCTGGTAGAATTTGGCTATGAATCTGTCTGGTCCTGGGCTTTCTTTGGTTGGTAGGCTATTAATTATTGCCTCAATTTTAGAACTTGTTATTGATCTATTCAGGGATTCGACTTCTTCCTGGTTTAGTCTTGGGACAGTGTATGTGTCCAGCAATTTATCCATTTCTTCTAGATTGTACAGTTTATTTGCATAGAGGTGTTTATAGTATTCTCTGATGGTAGCTTGTATTTCTGTGGGATCAGTGTTGATATCCCCTTTATCATTTTTTATTGTGCCTATTTGATTCTTCTCTCTTTTCTTCTTTATTAGTCTGGCTAGTGGTCTATCTATTTTGTTAATCTTTTCCGAAAACCAGCTCCTGGATTCATTGATTTTTTTGAAAAAATTTTTTTTGTATATCTCTATCTCCTTCAGTTCTGCTCTGACCTTAGATATTTCTTGTCTTCTGCTAGCTTTAGAATTTGTTTGCTCTTGCTTCTGTAGTTCTTTTAATTGTGATGTTAGGGTGTCAATTTTAGATCTTTCTCGCTTTCTCCTATGGGCATTTAGTGCTATAAATTTTCCTCTAAACACTGCTTTAGCTGTGTCCCAGAGATTCTGGTATGTTGTGTCTTTGTTCTCATTGGTTTCAAAGAACTCATTCTTTCTGCCTTAATTTCATTATTTACCCAGTAGTCATTCAGGAGCAAGTTGTTCAGTTTCCATGTAGTCATGCAGTTTTGAGTGTGTTTCTTAATCCTGAATTCTAATTTGATTGCCCTGTGGTCTGAGAGACTGTTTGTTATAATTTCTATTCTTTTATATTTGCTGAGGAGTGTTTTACTTCCAATTATGTGGTCAATTTTAGAATAAGTGTGATGTGGTGCTAAGAAGAATGTATATTCTGTTGATTTGGGGTGGAGAGTTCTGTAGATGTCTATTAGCTCTGGTTGGTCCAGAGCTGAGTTCAAGCCCTGAATATCCTTGTTAATTTTCTGTCTCATTGATCTATCTAATATTGACAGTGGGGTGTTAAAGTCTCCCACTATTATTGTGTGGGAGTCTAAATCTCTTTGTAGGTCTCCAAGAACTTGCTTTATGAATCTGGGTGCTTCTGTATTGGGTGCATATATATTTAGGATAGTTAGTTCTTCTTGTTACATTGATCCCTTTACCATTATGTAATGGCTTTCTTTGTCTTTTTTTATCTTTGTTGGTTTAAAGTCTGTTTTACCAGAGTCTAGGATTGCAACCCCTCCTTTTTTTTTTTGCTTTCCATTTGCTTGGTAAATCTTCCTTCATCCCTTTATTTTGGGCCTATGTGTGTCTATGCATGTGAGATGGGTCTTCTGAATACAGCACATGATGGGTCTTGACTCTTTATCCAATTTGTGAGTCTGTGTCTTTTAATTGGGGCATTTAGACTGTTTACATTTAAGGTTAATATTGTTATGTGTGAATTTGATCCTGTCATTATGATGCTAGCTGGTTATTTTGCCCATTAGCTGATGCAGTTTCTTCATAGTGTCGATGGTCTTTACATTTTGGTATGTTTTTGCAGTGGCTGGTACTGGTTTTTCCTTTCCATATTTAGTCCTTCCTTTAGGAGCTCTTGTAAGGCAGGCCTGGTGGTGACAAAATCCCTCAGCATTTGCTTGTCTATGAGGATTTTATTTCTCCTTCACTTATAAAACTTAGTTTGGCTGGATATGAAATTCTGGGTTGAACATTCTTTAAGATTGTTGAATGTTGGCCCCCATTCTCTTCTGGCCTGTAGTGTTTCTGCAGAGAGATCCGCTGTTAGTCTGGTGGGCTTCCCTTTGTGGCTAACCCAACCTTTCTCTCTGGCTGCCCTTAACATTTTTTCCTTCATTTCAACTTGGTGAATCTGACGATTATGTGTCTTTGGGTTGCTCTTCTCGAGGAGTATCTTTGTGGTGTTCTCTGTATTTCCTGAATTTGAATGTTGGCCTGTCTTGCTAGGTTGGGGGAGTTCTCCTGGATAATATCCTGAAGTGTGTTTTCCAACTTGGTTCCATTCTGCCATCACTTTCAGGTACACCAATCAAACGTAGGTTTGGTCTGTTCACATAGTCCCATATTTCTTGGAGGCTTTTTTCATTCCTTTTCATTCTTTTTTCTCTAATCTTGCCTTCACACTTTATTTCATTAAGTTAATCTTCAATGTCTGATATCCTTTCTTCTGCTTAATTCATTCAGCTATTGATACTTGTGTATGCTGCATGAAGTTCTTGTACTCTGTTTTTCAGCTCCATCAGGTCAGTTATGTTCTTCTCTAAGCTGGTTATTCTAGTTAGCAGTTCCTGTAACCTTTTACCAAGGTTCTTAGCTTCCTTGCATTGGGTTAGAAGATGCTCCTTTAGCTTGGAGGAGTTTGTTATTACCTCCTTCTGAAGCCTACTTGAGTCAATTCATCAATCTTATTATCCGTCTTGTTTTGTTCCCTTGCTAGCGAGGAGTTGTGATCCTTGGAGAAGAGGAAGCATTCTGGTTTTTGGAATTTTCAGCCCTTTTCACGTTTTTTTCCTAATCTTTGTGGATTTGTGTACCTTTGGTCTTTGATGTTGGTGACCTTCGGATGGGGTTTTTGTGTGGTCGTCTTTTTTGTTGATGTGGATGCTATTGCTTTCTGTGTGTTGGTTTTCCTTCTAACAGTCAGGCCTCTCTTCTGCAGGTCTACTGGAGTTTGCTGGAGGTCCACTCTAGACCTTGTTTGCCTTGGTATCATTCAGCGGAGGCTGCAGAACAGCAAAGATTGCTATCTGTTCCTTCCTCTGGAAGCTTCGTCCCAGAGGGGAATGCGCCAGATGCCTGCTGGAGCTCTCCTGTATGTGGTGTCTGTCGACCCCTGCTGGGAGGTGTCTCCCAGTCAGGAGGCACGGGGGTCAGGGATCCACTTGAGGAGGCAGTCTGTCCCTTAGTAGAGCTTGAGCGCTGTGTTGGGAGATCCAAGGAGCTGGCAGGCAGGAACGTTTAAGTCTGTTGAGGCTGCACCCACAGCCGCCCTTTCCCCCAGGTGCTCTGTCCCAGGGAGATGGGAGTTTCATCCATAAGCCCCTGACTGGGGCTGCTGCCTTTCTTTCACAGATGCCCTGCCCAGAGAGGAGGAATGTAGAGAGGCAGTCTGGCTACAGGGGCTTTCCCAAGCTGTGGTGGGCTCTGCCCAGTTCGAACTTCATGGTGGCTTTGTTTACACTGTGAGGGGAAAATCACCTTCTCATGACTCAGTAATGGCGGATGACCCTCCCCCCACCAAGCTCTAGCACCCCAGGTTGACTTCAGACTGCTGTGCTGGCAGTGAGAATTTCAAGCCAGTGGATCTTAGCTTGTTGTGCTCCGTGGGGGTGGGATCTGCTGAGCAAGACCACTTGGCTTCCTGGCTTTAGCCCCTCTACAGGTGAATGAATGGTTCTGTCTCGCTGGCATTCCAGGCACCACTGGGGTATGAAAAAAAACTCCTGCAACTAGCTCCGTGTCTGCCCAAATGACCACTCAGCTTTGTGCTTGAAATCCCGGGTCCTGGTGGTGTAGGCACTGAGGAAATCTCCTGGTCTGCAAGTTGCGAAGACAGTGGGAAAAGCATAGTATCTGGGCTGGATAGCTCTGTCCCTCATGGCACAGTCCCTCACAGCTTCCCTTGGCTAGGGGAGGGAGTTCCCTGACCCCTTGCACTTCCTGGGTGACGGAACACCCACCCTGCTTCAGCTCCCTCTGTGGGATGCACCCACTGTCTAACCAGTCCCAGTGAGATGAGCCGGGTACCTCAGTTGGAAATGCAGAAATCACCCCCCTTCTGCATTGGTCTTGCTGGGAGCTGCAGACCGGAGCTGTTCCTATTCGGCCATCTTGCCCGGGAAAATCTGAAAACTGTTTTTAATAATCTGTTTCATTTCCAGTGTCAAATATCAGTGTAGAAACATATTTTTTGAGTATCATAGTTAATCCATGGGCCATGAAATGCAATACATCAAGTGCTGCATCAGCAAGAGGTGCACCTTTGTGTTCTCACTTACTGGCAGAGGTGTGTTTTTACTTGTTTGAATAAACTTTTGAAAAGTAACAATAATATAAGAATTTTAAAATTAAAAAATGGAAAGTTATTTTTTTTGAGACGGAGTCTCACTGTGTTATCCAGGCTGGAGTGCAGTGGCACCATCTCAGCTCACTGCAACCTCTGCGTCTCAGGTTCAAGTGATTCTCCTGCCTCAGCTTCCTGGGTAGCTGGGACCACAGGCATGCACCACAATGCTGGGCCAGTTTTTGTATTTGTAGTAGAGACAGGCTTTCACCATGTTGGCCAGGCTGATCTCGAACTCCCGGCCTCAAATGATCCACCCGCCTCAGCCTCCCAAAGTGTTGGGATTATAGGCATGAGCCATCGTGCCACACCGAAAGTTTGTTAATGACATTCTATATGACCTTGCACTTTACATTACAATCTGGAGTTTTTTTGAGTATGTCTATTATTTTTGTGTAAACCATCAAACATACCTCCTTACAGCAATTACAAGCTGGTTAGCATTTTTCTTTGGCCACAAAAGTGGAAGCTGTTGCTCTGTGGGCCCAGATGAAGAACAGGGTCTGAGGCTTGGACAGGAAAGTGCAAGTTGTACCTAGACAATGCTTTATGATGTATCTTGCTTCAAGGTGAAACTTAGAAAGCCTTGGAAATGTGAGCTTCTTGGTCCTCATGGCTTCCTATTATTCTACCAACTTTTTATTTTGAAAAATGTTGAACCTATAAAAGAATTGAAATGATTATAGAATCCTGCTCTGCTTTACTAGATTCAATAATTGTTTTAGCATTTTGCCACTTTGTGCTCCCCCTACCCCCACCAGGCACACACACACACATCCATGTCCCACACTCTGGATTTGTGTGGATTTTCCCTGCGTGATAAGATTCAGGCTAAACATTTTTGGCAAGACTGCAACACAGCAGAGATTGAAAAGCATTTAGAGTAGAAAGGAATGTGGACAATTGCCCTCTCCTGTGTAAGTGAAGAACTTGGGCAGGATCCTTCCTCAGATCAGGGGACAGGGTGACAGTTGCACATTTGGGGAGGGACACAGAGTGACTTAAGGAGCTAGTGGGTGTGCAGGGCGATATAGAAAGATGGTGGCTTCTGCCAAGTTGCACATTTAAATATTTAAATATTCTCGAGGCTAACACACTTATGTGTCATTGGTTTGCAAAACTCTTCCCCACTGTCTACATTTCCAAGGCAAAATCTGTGATGATGATGATGTTCCTTTCCTATCTGCTCACAATTCCTTCCAAAAATTTGTTGATCTTCCAAAAGTTTGTTTTTCACTTCAGTGATATTTTTGATCACCATTTATATCAGGTTTGACTTAAATAAAAAGGTTTGTGGTTTAGGGTAAGGAAAGGGAGGGAATCACTGTATGATTTGCCCCATGTCTTGTACTTATTAAAGTCAGCCCCAAACTTGTTTTTATTTTTCATTTGAAAACCATGATTCTCTGTGGTGAAAGGGGCAGAGGAATACTTAGGAGGGAAAATGTTGAGAAGGATTCTCCAAACTGGCATCCGAAGAAACCATGATGGAAATCTGCAAGAGGAGGTGAAGCAACTAGAAGGATGAGGTCAAATGCTTGAAGTCCTGGAGTTTCCAGGAAAGGCTGTATACAATAGATTGTTTACCTTAAAATATGACTAAAAAAGTAAGTGACCAAAAAAAATGGTAAACTTCAGAACACTTCCTAGAATTATCTAATAGTTATTAATTTTTTAAGTAAATATTTTAAAATAAATAAATGTTTATTTATTTATTTTTCTGTGTCCTGGGGCACATTACCTCTGTGGCAAAGATGTCAGAAAACTGATTTTAAAAAATACTGGCCAAGACTTGTAAACAACAATGGCAAACAGCTATCTAGAAGTCCTGGAAGAATGGGGCTTCTGGGGCCCACCCAGGCTCTAGCTGGAGTCCCCAAGCCAGATCATGGAAAGCAGTGGTAGCTATTGGGCTTTTTCCCTCTAGGTGGTTCTCCAGGCCTTACAATCTCCTCTCTCTGACAGGTAGTGGAGGCTGCAGAACAGGACAGCAACACAATAGTGAACTCTGGGCAAAGACTGAGTTTCCTAATTTTCTGCTCTTTTCAGTGGCTTCTTGAAGGTCAGGGCTGAGTTCACAGAAAAAGTGGCACAATGGCTTTAAATTAATTATTGCTATAATTTCCATTCCTGTCTTTCTTTACCTTCCATTGGCAGGTGGCTCATGCTTAAGTGCTCAAAAAGTTCAGCCCCAAGATGCCCGGGCAGCGGTTGGCATGTGAAATGAGCTATGCCCCTCGGAACACCATCCTTATCAGTAGCTGTGCTAAAGAAACATCTGCCCCCACAAAAAGTCAAGGGCAAAGGTCATCTGGCATTCCAAGGGAACTCTCCGCAGCAGGGAGCCTTCTAATTGGCTGGTATTGATCGGTAAATTGTGTCCCTGCTGTGATTAATTCCAGCCCCCCCACAAACTCCCACAGCATGAGCGTGATAGGTCAAGGTTTGGGGTTTCTAAGCATCCTTTACAAATGGACCTCAGGTCCTTAAAGGTACCAGTGAAGGATTGCAGCTTGTTAACTCTCCCTGGCTGCTAGTGCTAACCCAGGAAGCCGGTTTCATTCAGTTTCCTTGCTATCACTAATAGCAGCTTAATGGGATGCTAATGTGAGGAACAGACGTTATCTGATGGCTTGTGCGATTTATGATGGATTTATTGCCACTCTGTGTTCCCTTGGTGTTCAGTGCATCTTTTCCCCATCCATCCCTGTTATCAGCCTTAGCAAATGGTTTCATAATTAATTAATTTTTTTTTCCTGAAGGGGGTTAAATTATTTTTGCCCTGCTGCTTTTCCTCCATATTTAATTCCCAGTGGGCAACTCTTCTCTGTGTGCCTACCAAAGAGGGAATATACTAACTCACAGCTGTTCTCTCCATGGCCTCCTCTCTGCCCCATCTTTCCTGCCAGCTAATGTCTACTCATCTTTGTAGAATAGTGGTTCTCAGGCTTCACTCTTCACTGGAGTTACCTGGGCGAGCTTTTAAAATATTTAGACCTGGGCCCTATTCCCAGAGACTATGATTTAATTGTTCTGGGGTGCTGCCTGAGTATTGGGTGTTAGAAAAGCTAATTCTAATATGCATAGTTGAGGACCACTGAAGTAAGATTCTAGACCATGCTGAATGCTACCTACCCCATGGTGCTTGCTTTTTCCATGTCTCCCAGGGGGCACGATCTCCTGTTCCTTGTAATCCAAATAACGCTGTATTTGGAATCCACATAATACTTCACACATTTCCATTGGCAGCCACCTTACAGTTCACCTATTTGTGAACTTGTCTCATTGCCACTATCAGACTGTGAGCTACTTTGGGCAGGGACAGTGCTCAAACCATCTTGGTGCCATTGCAGTGCCTTGCGCATAGCAGGGATCCAGTAAGTATTTATTGACCTGAGTTTTCTACCAATGACAACACTTTTTGAGAAGTGTGCTACCAGCCCCCAGTCCTGAATCCATATTGGGCAACTGGAATGGATTCTATTTTAGGGCCCCAAAGGCAGATTTTTCCTGCCAGTGTGTCCCTGCTATCTTCTACCATCCCCTCTCACCAGGGTGACCACATGTCCTGGTTTGCTGGGGACAGTCACTGCTTATGGCTTTTGTCCACTGTTATTATGAATAGCACCTTCTTTCACTCTCAAAGGTGTCCCAGTTTGGATAACAAATTATAGGGTTCCTCTACTCACCCCGCTCCTCCAGCTCTCTTTCCTCAAGTCAGCCTAGAAAAGAAAGACTGCTTTAGAACCCATATCTTCTTTATGAACTAAGCTTAAATAAGCTTAGAAAGATCTGTACTAATACTACATAATTTTTTAATTCCATGTATAAAAAATTATGAAAACTGGTAGAACTAATCTATATTGTTAGAAGTCAGGAAAGGAGTTTTCTTTAGAGGAAAAATGCCTGGAATGGGGCACATGGGGCTGGTTCTGGGACGCTGTAGGGGTTCTGTTTCTTCATCTGAGTGTTGGTTTCACAGGTGTGTTTATTTTATGAAACTTCATCACACGTAACATTTATGCCCTTTTCTATATGTAATACTTTCATAGTTTTTTTAAAAGAGGGCTAAATTATAATCAGTACAGAACTGCAAAAGTCAATGTTTATTCTTATTAATGAGTATAACTGTTCTGATTGACAAATTCATGTCAACACCAGCAAAGTGCTGCAACACACAGAACACCCGAGAAATCTAGTGTTCGTCTTCTTGGAGACATATATTATTATTGTTTTATTAAAAATGTTATTTTTTATTAAGAAAATGTATGTTGTCAGTTAAAAAATGTAGTACAGTCTTGTTTATTATATAATTCTTCCAACAATTCTGTGAACTAGGTGAGTGTTTTCTCATATTACAGATGAGAAAGCTGTCACAGAGGTGTTGGAAATGGGCTGAGTTTATATGGACTGAACTTACCCAGAGTAGGCTGTAGAATTGCCAGGGTGTTCAGCTGTCTCAATGACAGAATCAGATTAAATGTGTGGCTGATCTTATTGATTGGGCAGAAATCAACTAAGAGAGCTTAAAACAAAACAAAATTAAACTATGACTAGAAAATAAACAGTCAATTTTGTGGCTTTAAATAGAAAAGACCAGAATGTCAATAGCTGAATTGAGATTAGGACCAACAGTTTCTGAGTTTCCAGAAAGCATTACCAAAGTCTAGGCACCATGAGAGACTCAGTCCCAAATTGAGAGAATTTGCCAGGGGTTTGACATGAACCCTGCCTTGTTTGAGCCCAGTTCTCCAAGCCCAGAGCAGGGGTTCTCCAGGATGGAATCCTCTTAGAGACTCCTCAGTGACTGTACCCATCTCCTTTCCATTCTACCCCTCTCTGTATGACCAAGAGAGAATTGTTTTCCCTTTTAGGCATAGCTAACATGGGCAAATGAAACAAATTAGTTTTCATTACTGCAGATAATAAATAAATCTTGTGGTGAAATAAATAATATAATATGTAATAATGGACTGAAAAAATACAGCTCAAAACAGACAAAGCTGGGTAAAAACAGAAACCATCAAAAGTAGAGAAAGCCAGAGAACTATCCAGTCAAGCAATAAAGCAACAACATCTGAGAGGCCTCATGTACTGTCCTGAAGTGACTTTTAGCTACTCACGCTGTGTTAACTGTTGATGAAATGTCATTGAGCTTAAAATAAAATAAGTTTGTAGTCCTAGATAACACTCTGCAAGAGCAAATAATATTAGGCCACTATACACCGATATAAATAAATAACTCATAGCAATGTACCAATATGTCAAGATTTTTCACAGGAGGGAGTATGAAAACTAGCTGGATGGTGTCAGGCTCGTTTAAAAGCTCATTTGCTCCCCTTAGTCACTGTCCTTTCACCTTTACATGGCATCTCTCCTGGTCTCTTGTCGACGTGGTTGTCAAAGCACCAGCTCAATAGTGCTGGTCTGTCAGCAGAGATGTGTTAAATGTAAAGATGGCAGAGTTCCCCACAGAAAGCTACATGCAGACTCTGGAGCCAGCTGAAGTCATGGGGCGTCAGGTGACAATGAGACTATGTCATCAAATGACATGTATCCCTGAGGTGCCCAATGAACTTTACACAGAGTTTTTTTTTTTTTTCCTATTGTATTATTCTGACATCTTGCTAAAAAAAAAGAAAAGAAAGAGGACAGACATTTCTATTCCACAGAAAGGAAAGCTTGGACTCAAAGAAGTTGCCTGAATTGCTCTAGATGACTTTATTTTTTGGGATTTCCTGGTTTCCATAAACAGCCACCCATCTGCCTACCCTCCTTCTCCCACTCACTTCTGACCACAACTGCACCCTGCTGTGTGTTAGGAGGAGCGGATTTGATGTCTCGGAGGCGAGGGGTGTGTCTGAGGTGAATGGGCATGTCTATACCTCCCTACTTTGTTAAATGATTGCAACAGAGATCACCCACGTACTCCCAGCCTGGTTCAGTGCAACACATGTCTAGTTCATTAGATGCAGCCTGTTCAGGCCTCTTCTACCTGCTGAGACTTCACACCCATAAAATCCAGTTAAACCTCTGAGTCACAGGAGGCTGCCCTATCAGAAGACTACACACTTTCCAGCTTCCCAGCTTGGGAGTCACAAGACCTGAGTTCAGATTTCAGCTCTGCCACTTACTGAGGCAAATACTTGTATCCATCTTAATGTCAGGTGGTCATGTTGAGTAACCTCTGATTTCTTATCTAAAGGGGTTTTTTTTTTAGGATAATTGAATGGAAAAACTATCTTAAATTGCTTAGTACAGGAGTCATCAATGTATAGTCTGCCTGCTGCCTGTTATGGAAATAAAGTTTTATTGGAACACAGCTGTGCCCATTCAGCTAAGGCTAGCATTTATGTTTATTGTTGACAGCTGCTTTTTTGCTACAATGTCAGAGATGAGTGGTTTTCCCACATAGTGGGTCTGCACTATGTATGAGTTGCTTACTCCTTTTCTTCTTTCTGTTTGTCCTTACTCTTAACTGTATGCTCCTAATTAGTTGCTCTCTAATTATCCAACCCCTCCCCAGAAACAGACTGACTATACTTTCTTTTAACAGTAATTTGCTGGAGAGTTTCAATTTCACTTTGGGCACTGCTACGTCTTAGTGACAATAAGTAATTCATCTGGGGTGGATGGGGGTGATAGGGTGGGGGTGGGGGTGGGAGGAGGTGAATAGGAAGCATTGTAGCTTCGTACTTTGTGAGTGGACTCAGTGAGGGACAACCACAGAC
This sequence comes from Homo sapiens, assembly GCF_000001405.40. Taxonomy (NCBI): domain Eukaryota; kingdom Metazoa; phylum Chordata; class Mammalia; order Primates; family Hominidae; genus Homo; species Homo sapiens. The sequence continues at coordinate 207,337,208 of NC_000002.12, read as the reverse complement.
ACAGACCCTAGTTCAGTGTCATATCTCTATGTTTCATCAAACAACTACAGGATTTTGTTTGTTTATTGTTAGCAGGAGTACATGGTGTAAGGGCAGGTCGAAACATTTTTTCCCCTAATTTCAGTATGGTTAAAAAAAGTATATTCTCCAATGTATTGTGAGATTGATGTAGTGAAAAGATGCCTGGTAAGAGAAGTCAGAAAATCTAGGTTCAAGTCTGGGTTTATCTTAGTTTTATTATGTTGGTCAAGCCACTTCTGAGTGTCAGTTTCTTCAGAACTAAGACTGAGGGTAATAATACGACTTGATTCCTAGCATGATTCTGAAGCATAAAAGATAATGCAAGTGGAAAACTTTGTGAACTATGAGGCCATCTATAAAATGTGACACATATGTATATAACAGGGTCTGTTTCAGGGGATTTCATTATTTTCTTTTTCTTTATATTTTTATATTTACATCAAACACAGTTTCAGTTTTTACAATAGGTTCTGATATCTGACGAGGCTGATCCCTAAGAACATTTGCATTTTGCTAGTTTTCCTGTTTATAGTTTTGAATGTTTTTAATAAGATAAGCACTAAGCTTAGCAATTCGTCAGTGTTCATTCTAATGACCTTCAAGAAACGTCCCGTTGGATCTTTAGACAGAATTATTTCAGTAAGTTTGAGGAGCCTTGGCATCTTTATGTTGAATTTTTCCATCTAATAAAAATATAACTCTTCCTCTTAATTATTAAAAATATATCCCCCAATCAAGGTTTTAAAACTTTTAATACATTTCTTATTGAGTTTATAAATATTTTATATTTGTCGCTATTTGAATAGCTTTTCTTTTGCTTTATATTATCTATCTGTTTACTGCCAGTATATAGAAATACTGTTGCTTTTTAGGTATTTATCTTATTCCAAGCCACTTTATGACTCTTTTTTAAAATAAAGAAAGCTTTTAGTTAATTCTTTTGACTTTTTCAGATTTATACTTGTGTGATTTTCATGTACTTTAGTACCTTAGTTCACAAAAATTTATTCCTTTTGTGTTTATAACCTACTGCATTAACCAGAGAATCTAAAGTGATAATGATGCTAGCTGATAGTCCCAGCTACTCGGGAGGCTGAGGCACGAGAATCGCTTGAGCCTGGAAGACAGAGGTTGCAGTGAGCCGAGATTGTGCCACTGCACTCCAGCCAGGGCGACACAGCGAGACTCTGTCTCAAAAAAACCCCAAAAAACAAACAAACAAAAACCAGAAACAGTGATAATCATACTAAAGGACATTCTTTGTGTTTGTTTCTGATTTTCAATGTTTGCCAATTAATTATAATCTTTATTTACTTTAAGCCAAGAGCATCTTTATCACATTGAAGGAGCATCCTTCTATTCCTATTGAAATGTTTACTCTGTAATTAGGAAAAGGTGTTGATTTTATCAGATGTGGTATCTATGAAATTATCACATTGGCTAATTATTGTTGTATCAGTGAATACTCAGTGGATTATTTTCTCCTTGGAAATCAATCTCTGTGGTCAGCTGACTGGCTCTGCTAACAGTGACAGATGTGTAAACGGTGCCTTTACGAGTTCAAACATTTCAGGACCAAACTTTTTGCACAAGAAGGTGGTCCAATGCCAGAAGCAAGGGTTGCAGGAGTAGGAATCCCCCCGAGTTTCTCTCCTTGGACACATTTTCCAAAGTTGGCCGCTTTGAACAATCCTTTAAGGTAAGGACAATGGACATGGCAGTTGTTAACACTATGAAGAAAAGACAGTAGAGGAAGGAGCATGGAATATGGGAACAAAAATCAGCTGGCTGCTCAAGAAATGTGAAATTAGAAAGTAGAGAAAGGTGGTGTCTTTGTATATGCTCCTCCCCTCCCCTCAGCCAGGCCTAACAACACCCCAGCCGCACCCCTCCAACCAAGACTCCGCCTTGGACCCTGCTCATGCCTTTGGGCTTAAGACTGGGAGTGGAATTTCAATGCCATGGAACTCGCATTTTAAAATGCCACGCTCAAAAATATCGCCTGAAATGTAGGCAAATGAACTGCTAACATCAGTGTCTATACCGGGCTCTTGCTGGCACTCTGGCCGCGTGTATGACCTTTCAACACGATATTTTAAAAAATGAGCAGCGCTTTCCTCTTCCCCTGGCAGCTCAGAATAGCCCTGTTTCCTTTCCTATAAACAAGTCATATCTCTGGGAATTTCTAAAGCTGAATATTGTCTGCTAAGAAGACATGACTCACGCCATTTCCTGGCAGTTCTCACAAATTCAAGAACACCTCTTGAGGAAAGAATCCCAGACAAGAGTGGCCACAGAGAGCCTCGGATGCCTTCATTTCAAACACAGGAAGCTGAGAGACAAAGGAAAACACTAGGAATCGTCCCTGGCCTCGGCATTCCCCTCTTCTGGACTGAGTTCCTATTGTGGCTGTCAGAGCAGCCAGGGGACGCCCACTGGGAAACTCGTCTGGGCCGGTCTTCAGGCCTTTAGTCACTCACCCACCCCCTCCGTTTGGAAACTCACCTAGCTCAGCTTCCTCCTAATTCTCGGGGTAGAGGTTCTCTGAGGCGGGATTCCCCAAGGAAATTACCAGGAGTTCACGCACACTGGAGCCGTGGGGCTTCCTAGCTGCTTTTAGCAAAAACTCTGTGGCCAAAAAAAATCTCCTTTCTGCATTCTTTTCCCGGCACGTCCTCTCCTCCTCCACCCACTGGCCCTGTCTCTCTAAGTCCCCTCTTCAGTGCCACGTCATTTTCCTCGTATTTGCTAAATAGTCTAGAAACAAAAGAAAAAGTGTTTTACTTGGCTTCTCCCAGCTCAGCCATATAAAAACCTCTGTGTGTATGTGTGTCCCTCTGTGTGTTTATGTGATGCGTATGTCTCTATGTGCTTGGGTGTCGAGCATATGGGAACAATAATGCAAGGGGGTTGCTTGAAGAGATTGGATGAGAAAAGTTGGAAAAATTCTGGGTAATCAGGATGTTGCTGCAGTTATACCTACTTCTTGCTTTCAGTTGTACCTACTTTTTGCGTTCTCATTAATGAAACGTCAAAGGATTGATTTGCATAGGGCTCTGCAAATGCACTGCGGTGGGAAGGTTTAATTCCTGTTGATCCATAGCATGCCCTGATATTGGTCTCATTAGAACCAGAACCCTGGAAGCTGGAAGTATCCATAAGGGCATGATCCAGAGACAATAGTGACTAACATGTATAAAGCATGATGTATGTGTCAGGCATGATGGTATGTACTTCATATGCATTTTCTCATGTGTCACTAGTAAGGAAGCAGGACTGGAGAAGTTAAGTCAATTGTACAAGATTTTTAAAAAGTCATGGCAAAGCTGGAATTTAGACCCGTATCTATTTGGAAACCACAATCTGGTTCTTAGTCACTGTGCCATAGAGCTATCCTAAGAGAGTAAGATGGGATAGGAAGGGAAGGAAAGAAAGACAAGGAAGAAGCAGAGGACAAGTATGTGATTACTACACTGATATAATTGAATGATGTCATTTCTCCCTCAACTCTCTAGGATGACCAACTTATCCAGGTTTGCCTGAGATCTTGGTTTTAGTACTGAAACGTTCACAACCAAGGAACTCCCTCAGTCTTGGGAAAACCTGGACAGTTGGTCATTCCATTGCTTACCATCTGGAAAATCTGCTACAGATCGTGTGGATTGTTAGAAGATAAAGCCCATCCATTTATGACCTGAAGAACCTGGGTTATTGGGGGATACAGTTGAAATCCATGTCATGGATAGCTGTGCGTTATATATATGTTGTTTGTATGCCTCTCACAGAGTTCTTGAAATTTGGAGTCCATAAAAGACATGTAATAGTTGTTGACTTGATTTATAAAGAGCAAGATAGATTATGAGTAAACATCTGTGGGATGAGCACAACTGCAAGTAATAGGGCTTTAGGTAAAACCTAATCCATGAACAGTAAAGATTTTTTTCAATGTAAAGTTGTTTTCTACATGTATGTGCAATTTCTTTCAACAACACTGTATGATACATTTTGACTAGATTTTTTTTTTATGTTAGAGTCTAGGAATATTCACTTTCTATCAATGCTGTGCTCCTGAATGGTTCTATGAAAAAAAAGTGGATTTTTATAAATCATATTTTCTGTGTATTAGGGATGTGAATTCTTTTCCAGAGCCAATATGGCCCCTCACCTGTTTGGTTTTGCAAATGTCAGTTTTAGATATACAGTTAAGATGCTAGCTGCAAGTGGAAAATACCTATGCCAAACACTTGAGGAGCAATAAAGAGTACTACTTTATTGGTGGATCTGGTTCGGCCCTGATAATAGGTTTAATCTTCAACAAAACAACTTCTTATTTTCTCTGGAAATAGAACTGACTTTCTCTCTTCGTATGTCTGTCTCTTTCTCCCTAATCTAAAAACTCCCCTACACAAGCATCTACTTCCTCTTAAGCTTATAAAGTTTCTCAATGCCTCATCTTTCTGATGTGATGTGTTTGGGTTTTGTTTTCTTTTAGAGTTTTCGAAGAACTCCAGGAAGTGGCTGCAGAGCAAAGTAGGATCCTGATACTGGTAAGGAGGCTTCTGCAGTAATGGTCTGGGGGTGACCAAAGTAGTATTGATTACAAGCAAACCTTGAAATATGATCAACCTACAGCTCAGTTCAGCTCAGCTCTCTCCAGTTCCTCCATGGGAGCTTTGTTCTTCCATTTGAAGGGAGTAATTAAGACTGCAGACACCCTCCACAGTAGAAAAAATTTGGTTTCCAGTCACATCAATTTTTGGGACAACCTGTTCCCTCCTCCCAGTTTGTCAAAGGCAAAGGGGAAATCTTGGGATATTTGTGTGTAATAGACACTGCTTGAGACTGAGCAGTCACTCGTCTCTCTCAAGGGTCCTTCCTTGCCTCCCTTTCCCCAAACATTCATATATTTGCTTTAACGACCCCTTCAATTTAAGTCCGGCTGACCCAAGCTGCGGAAGGTTATCTTTCTTTTTTACCTCTCCTTCAGGAGAGAAACAAGGCTGACAAATTTATGGATTTTGGTTATTTCTTTAATAAATTACTCCCTGGGATGTGATTCCAGGAAAAAGATGCTTTAGAGGATAAATGTCTTAGAGAAAGTGGTGACTAGGCAGAATTATGCACTGTGGTGAAAGATACTCCACACTCCACGTTAGGCACTTCTAGGAGACTAGACATTGTCAGAGAAATACCCACAGAAGTGTACATGTGTTGGTAAAATGTCTTCCATGGACATTATAGTCATACATCACCTAATGATGAGAATACGTTCTGAGAAATGCATCATTAGGCGATTTCATCGTTGTGCGAACATTAGAATGCATTTACACAAACCTACGTGATACAGCCTTCAACACACCTAGGCTGTGTCATCTAGCCAATTGCTCCTGGGCTGGTTACAAACCTGTGCAGTATGTTACTGTACTGAACATTGTAGGCAATTGTAACACAATAGTAAGTATTTGTGTATCTAAACACAGAGAAGGTACAGTAAAACATGGTGTTATAATCACATGTGGTCTATCATTGACCTAAACAGCATTATGCAGTGCATGACTATACTTTAGGATAAAGAGAGAAACACTTTTTTTTTCTCTACCATTCCTGCTTGTTTAGTGTTTCAAACAGAACAAATAGTGCTGAAACAACCTGGAGAACTTGTCAGTCATTTTTGAGTATCTAAAATATTTTTTAGGAGAACAGTTCCCGCCACTTCTTTTTATGACATTCTTTTTTTTCTGTTGAGGGAACAGGAAGCAATGCCTTTGAGTATTTCATAGGGTGTGGAAGGAGAAAGGAGTCTTTCTGTTGTGCTACAATTCCTCATTTTTCGAGATAAGGAAACTGAGTCCAAGAAAAGTAAAGGAAGTCACCATAGATCCTACAGTGCGTTTGCACGCATGACCCAGGCCAAAGCTCAGTTTCCCTTTTTGGCGCTCTATAATTACATGGGAATTACCTTCAGATGATGTGTTTCAAGCCCTGGAACCACATGGATCAGCCCCTCCCTCTCCCTGTGCTATAGCTCATTGCTCACCTGTGCTTTGTTCTGTGCTGGCCCCGATATAGTTGGTTTGCCAAGCTGCCCCTGCGCTACTCAGAGAGCATTAGTCACGAGCTCCTGTCTCAAGGGCACTGATTCATTTCTAGACGTGATTGCATCAGTGTGCATGTGTGTCCTTTGTGAGAGATATGAGTCCATGTTGCATGTGTGGGAGTTTGCCAGAATTACAACCTTCTGCCCCTTCCTTGCCATGGCTAAAGAATAAAGCAAAGAAGAAAGAGACATCCACTTGGGGCTTTTTACAGACTAGAGGTCCTGTTTTCTTAAAGGTTATAAATGCTGCTGTAGGAAATGTTAAGAATTAAAATCATGATTACATTAGGCATCTGCTTTGCTTTCCGGTGATCCTAACTAGCATTTGGAGTCAGTGAATAAAGTGAAGGCGGCATTTTAACTGTCTCCTTGCAAAAGTGGCTGGGCAAGGATACTCAGGCTTGTTGGGAAAGTGCATAGAGATCTCAAGATAAAAGGTTTTACTTGAGGGAAAGGTTATTGTTATTATTTTGAACTTTCAGAGTGGTTTCCTTTTTGCATATTTATGATATTAATATAATCTTAATAGAAGGCTTAATGTGCAAGTTGCTAAGCACATTGCCCAATGGAAAAAAATAAATTATACAACTACTGCAATGATAAGGCAGTTTTCTACTACATTTAATTATCTCTTTCTCAAATGGAGAGACTGCAGAAATCTTAAAAGCATACTGGAAAAGTTTCAATAATAAAATAGTCTAATTTTAAGATTTAAGTTTCAGGTAAATACCAAGTGATACAGGCCTTTACAAAATATAAAATAAAATAAAGTGAGATGAAAAATTTTCATGATTGTTTGATATCTCTTACTACTGGAGAAACTGGATGTTGAAATGGACAAGACTGAAAACAAACAGATATATTCTTCAAAACAGTGTGTGAAAGAAGCAAAGGATTTGGAGCTCTTTAATGAAATAAATCTGAATTTGGCCTAAACCTATTTTAGCACTAGGCTTTGATGTAGTTTTGCACTGTACATAACTTAAACGGAAAAGTGTGGGCACCATTCTTCTTAAATAGTTGAAACTGTGGCTTTGGCCCTGTAGATCATGTTTTATCAATTCATAAGAAACAGAGATGAGACCCACTGTGTTATTGGATTGAGGTATATTGTATAAGCAGTTTCCTGCTATGTAGGTCAGTTTCTTAACAATCATGTGAATTGATTCAGCTACGTATTTACAATCTCCAGCTTTTGCAAGGTCCTCATGGCAGCCCATATCCTATGCTTCTTTATTCCAAGAGAATGTTAAAAATTTTCACCATTCTCACTCTGAACAACCTTACATTTGGCTCATGATATTACTTTCTAATTCACAGAAAGAAGTATAGCTTGTCAGGGAGGAACTCCCTCAATTTCTCCCTTCCCACCCCAGAAACACTGACAGCCATACCCCTCCTTTCTTCCTTCTTTCCCTTCAAAATCCTCCTGTGTCCAGATCTGGCCCCTCCACCTGTGCTTTGGGCTACATCACTCCCACTCCCATCTCTTCAGGAGGTTTGCTCTTTGTATTCAGTGTTTTCAATCACTCTTTCTCTATTGCTTTCTTGTTCTCAGCACATAAACATACTTAATTCTCTCCCATCTTAAACATATTTATATGCATTTTCCTTAACCTAGGGTATCCTAGCTACTATCAAGTCTCCTCTCCACGTACACACAGCATAGTTTATACTTATTACTTCTACTCCCTTATCTTTCATTTATTACTCAATTTAGTCCCATCTTACTTCCACCCCTACCACTCCCCAGGAAATGCTCTCACCAAGGCCATCCAGCATCTCGTAAACTCTAAGTTCAACAGCCTTTTGTTAGGCTTCAGATGGCTTGACTTTAAGGTAAATACTTCAGTCATCTTTGACTCCTCCCTTTCTCTCACTTCCCACATCTGGTCCCACAGCAAATTGTGTCAGCTTTACTTTGAAAATCTGTCTGGAGTTTAACTACTTCTCACCATCCCACTGCCACCTGGTCCAAGTTACTATCATTCTTGCCTGAATTACTGCAATGGTTTCTTAACTTGTCTCACTGCTTCTGCCCTCACCCTCCTCCACCCTGTTATCAACCCACAACCAAAGTTGAGGGCTTAAATTAGATAATGCTATTTCCTCTCCTAACACCCTCCAATAACTTCCCATCTCAGAGTAAAAGCTAAAGTTCTGACTATAACGCACAGGGTTCTACATGATCCTCCCCTTCTGCCTGTTTTCATCTTCTGTTATTCCTCTACTTCCCCAGAGCCAGGACTAGCTCAAGGCCAGAGAGATGCCTAGGGTGCGAGATGAAAGAATTAAGAAGGTGCTTACTCTCAGGGGTCGGCTGCACTATCAACAACTTCTTAAAATCGCGCTTCTTGACGTTCTCCTTTGCTTGCTTCTGTTGCCCGGTTTTCCTTCAGCAACTTTGACTTTCTCCTTAATTCCACATCTCCCACCCTCATCTAAGCAGCATGGTGTAGTCATGGTATTGTTAGATTTTTGCAGTGCAGATACAGAGTTATATTGCTTGAGTTCACCTTTTGCTTCTAGAACCATGTGGCCACAGATAAATTATTTAAACTTTCTAAGCCTCAGTTTCCCCATTTGCAAAATTTTAATCATACTGCCTACCCCATAGTGTTGTTATGAAATTTAAATAAGTTTAAATTAAATCACATAAGCATTTAGTGCAATACTAAGCACATAGTAAATGTATAATAAACATTATAATTAGTAATTATTTTTAGTAGTATTAATATTACTCTTGTACCTGTCCCCTTAAAGCCCAACATCCTCTCTGTTAAGCCATTTGAGTTTTTCCAGAACAACTGCAAAATAAGAATTCCTGGTACATAAGTGAGTAATTTTGTCTCTAAAAGGTAGAGAAGAGAATAGCATATTTTACGTTTCCTTTTTTTGTGGGAAAAATGTTACAGATCACACTTTTGTCAAGAAGCCAAAGAACAAAGTTGATTAAAGCATTATGCCTGGAAATAAAGGGGAACAGGACATCAGCAAAATTCTTTTTATCCATTCACACATTGAAGACATGTAAGATCAATGACACACAAAATGGAAGAGAAATCTTAATCACACGTGTGAAGACTAGCAGGTATTTTTTTCCTGTGCACATCAACGGGCTGTATTGTGGCATATACATGAAAGGGTGAAGTGCTTGATGTCTTTAGTTTATGTTTTCCTAAAACTCCATGCTACTAGGAGAGAGGATTTTGTTTAATTAACAATTATTTCAAGAGTCATACTGTGAGATGCAATGTTAGGATGGATACTGGGGGAGCACTAGCAGTGGGTTCAGCAAGGAACTAGGAGATCCTTCTGCCTGGAATACTCTCTCCCCAGATTTTATCATGACCATCTCCTTCTTGCCGCTAAGGTACCAGTTCCCTAATCAATCAGAGTCAGAACTCTCTGACTCATTTCTCTGTTTTGTTTTTTCTCAGACCTTATTGCCCTGAAATTATTTTGTTTACTTTTTTGCTTTCTTGTTTACCATCTGTCTCCTTTCTCCATGAATATAAGTTCCATGTGAACATGAGACTTCTTTGTCCCTAGAATCTGTAATAGTGCCTGGCTCTTGAAGACGTACAGTCAATGTTTGCTGAATAAAATAAGTCATACTTGGATACCAAAGCACTCATAACTTTATTCCCAGAGAATAACTGGTGATTGACAATATGCTTCCTTAACTTGATTGTGTTGAAAGAAATAGTTAAAATTGTGAATATGACAAAGCCACAGCCAGATGTTGTGATTTCAAGACACTGTGAAAAAAAATATTTGTTTACCCTATAAAGGTCCACAGGATACCAAGCAGAAGGTCTCATACAAGTGTTGAAATGAGGGAAGAAGTGGAATCAGTTTTTTAAAAATTAATTAAGTAATACAAACAAGCACCCAGAGAGAACAACGCAGTGAGCATCCATAGCTGCAGCTTCATCAGGCTTCCATGTAGCTTCACCAAGAGTTTATGCGCCATAAGTACCCTCAGGCTTTTAAAAAGTGTTATAATATTTCAGAGTCAGTTAAAGGACCCTATAAATTCCTCCCAGATCCTATTTTCTTTCCTCCTCTTTCAGAATTTACCACTATACCAGAGAGTTAGAGCTCGCTAAAAAATCGAAGTTGGGGTTGTATGAAATTTTGGCCAGAGAAATATGAATTGAAACCACTTTTGGATCAAGGCATTCAGAGCAAGGGTGGTCACCCGCCTCCTTCTCTTATGTGGTGCATCTTGCAGGCCATGTGCCCCAAATGTCCGGATACAAGCGCCACTTGACTCATATCACACTCACATCAGATGAGGAATATGTCTTTATAAGCCAATGGGATTTTGGGATGTGGTTATTGACACTCCATAGCCTATTCTCTCCTGAGTAACATAGACATAACTGCTCATTTGGGTGTTTATTATTTACTGTTTTAATAACATTGCTGCATGTATATGATGTACAGATAATATTCAGGTTATTGTAATGTTTTAAAATATGCTATAAGTGGTATGATACACTAATATAGTTGAATTTTTGGGGATTTATCCATGTTGATACTTTTAGGCTTAAGTTCATTTAGTGAAAATTTATTATAGTTCATTCATCCATTCTCCTGTTGATGGATATTTAGGCTCTTTGTTTTTTTCTGTCATAAACGCCACTGAAATGAATAGTTCATGTCTCCTCCTGCATGTGGTAGGAGTTCCTGCAGAGTTTATATCTAGAAGAGGAATTGCTGAATTCAAGGGTAGGTGCAACTTCAATTTTACCAGGTATTATGAAATTGCTTCCTAAAGTTGTATAAAAAAAAGCCTTGCCATTTTTCTTTAATGTCATATAATTCCAGCAAACATAATTTCTATGATTTCAAGTAGCTTTTTCAAATTATGTATCTTCAGTGGTATATATTCAGTATCTTGAATAGATAGAACCAAGTCCATCAGGGTAAAAAAAACCCTACATGGATTTTAATGTTAAAGATGAGCTCTCAGATACTCTGTTTTTTTTTTGTTTTGTTATTTTTTTTGTTTTTGTTTTTTTTTTTTGAGACGGAGTCTTGCTCTGTTGCCCAGGCTGGTGTGCAGGGGCGCAATCTCAGCTCACTGCAACCTCCGCCTCCTAGGTTCACACCATTCTCCTGCCTCAGCCTCCCGAGTAGCTGGGACTACAGGCGCCCACCACCACGCCTGGCTAATTTTTTGTATTTTTAATAGAGACGGGGTTTCACCGTGTTAACCAGGATGGTCTCGATCTCCTGACCTCGTGATCCACCCGCCTCGGCCTCCCAAAGTGCTGGGATTACAGGCGTGAGTCGGATATTCTTTAGCAGACTAAATTGTGGTGCAACTGGCTTAATTATTGAGTTTTTTACTCTTTTCCAACAGGTAATTTTCTTGGCTTGTTGGAAAAATAACTTGATATATCATTGCACATATTTCAAAACCACATGCAAAAGAGTACAAGAAAATAATAACAAATGCTTTCAAGAGGTAAGTGCAACCAAAAAGAGGCTTAAGAATTTATTTCCCATTAGCTCTAGTTCAAACATTCAAACATTCCACTTTTGAGAGTGATATGCTTGTCAATCTAGCATCTGGCAGAACACTGATGGTATCTCTCAGCAAGATAACTCTCCAAAGTTATCTTGAACCTATGATTGTTCAGAGTCTACAGAACTATCTGAAAAGCCATCAGTTATCAGCTGCTATTACCAACAACCTGTAATTGTTAGTTAAGATTTTCTTTTCTTTTTTTCTTTTTTTTTCTTTTCTTTTCTTTTCTTTTCTTAGACCAGATCTTGCTCTGTTGCTCAGGCTGGAGTGCAGTGGTACGATCTAGGCTCACTGCAACCTCTGCCTCCTAGGTTTGAGTGATTTTCGTGCCTCAGCCTCCCAAGTAGCTGGGACCACAGGTGTACACCATCATGCCTGGCTAATTTATGTGTTTTTTTTAGAAACGCGGTTTTGCCATGTTGGCCAGGCTAGTCTCGAACTCCTGGCCTCAAGTGATCTGCCCACCTTGGCCTCCCCAACTGCTGGGATTACAGGTGTGAGCTACCATGCCCTGCCAGGATTTTCTTTCTCTTTTTCTTTTGTCTTTTTTTTTTTTTTTTTGAGACAGAGTCTTGCTCTGTAGTCCAGGCTGGAGTACAATGGCGCTATCTCAGCTCACTGCAAACTCTGCCTCCCAGGTTCAAGTGATTCTCCTGTCTCAGCTTTCAGGCGCCTTGCACCACGCCTGGCTAATTTTTGTATTTTTAGTAGAGACGGGGTTTCACCATGTTGGTCAGGCTGGTCTCAAACTCCTGACCTCAGGTGATCCGCCTGCCTTGGCCTCCCAAAGTGCTGGGATTATAGACTTGAGCCACTGCGCCTGGCCAGATTTTCTTAATTGAACAAAAGAGTAAGATGCAAAACTAGACCTATTCTAAAGATGCAAACAATATAATCGCTTCCATGGATATGAAACAATTATCTGTATTGCTGTTAACGTAAGATAATATGTTTAATTTTAGTATTTTGAATATTTTTGATGAATTTTCTAAGCCAAAATTTGTTGTCTACATGTATGCTGGGCATATCTTTAAGAATTTAAGAAATTCAACCCAAATGACAGGATCTGTCACAGGGATCATCAATGCCTGTGGCTTCAACTGCCCCTCTTGCAGTCACGCCAAGTGAATCAAATCTCTGGACACCTCCAGACCAGATCTCTATGCTGATCCCGTTCCTAAATATCCAACATGATACCTGACAGCTTTACCCAGCTACAACCAACTCTTCAGATTCAGCAGGTCCAAAGTTGATCTCATCATTTTTCACTCCAGTTCATTTTCCTTCTTCAGGCAATGCTTGGATAACAGTATCACCATCTATCTAGTCACTGACTCAGACATTTTAGGTCATCTTCCTCCTCACATGTCACTTCCTTTTGAAACTATCCCCCTCACTCCATCTACTATCATTGCTGGCTCTGATTCAGGCCTTCATTGTCTTCTGCCTGGACTATCACAGTAGTCTCATATTTATTATCCCTGTCTCCATTCTGGTCCCTGCCAGTCATCCATACTTCTTCCAGAAAGAAATTTTAATAAATGCAAATGCCATTTACTAATACTGCTTACTATTCTTTTATGGCTACCTGTTTCTTTGCAGGTAAAGACTTTTTTTTTTTTTTAACCAGGTCTTACATAATCTGATATTTGCAGACATCTCATTTCCTAACAGTTTTTAGCTGGACAAGAACACAGGATGCATATGAAATGTCTTGTAATTTCCTAAGTCCGTCTTGCCTTCTCAGCTACCTTGCCTTTGCACGTGCTCTTCCTTCCAACCAGCAGATGGTCTGTTCATCAAGGGCCTGTGCAAATGTCATCTTCTTGGTTGCTCCCTTAGTGCTCTCTGCACACTTCAAGCATTACACATTCACTCCTTCTGCTGGGCTGGGAGAGCTCTTAGAAAGAGGGATTGAAATTGTATTCATGTCAATCATGCAGTTTGTGCATGGCAGCTCAGACCTGCTACAGATGGGCGGCCAGCAGTCAATGAAGGGGGCATGGTCAGCTTTCTTCTTCCTTTCTACTCTTCCTCTCCCACATTGCTAACCTGGCTTTCTGACCCTTCAAGCACTGAAGCCAAGGCAGGGCTTAGAAAATCTTTAATGTATTCTCTTTCTCTTCTGGACTTTTTTTTTTTTTTTAATTTTTTTTTTTTTTTTTTTGAGATGGAGTCTTGCTCTGTTGCCCAGGCTGGAGTGCAGTGGTGTGATCTCGGCTCACTGCAACCTCTGCCTCCCGGGTTCAAACAATTCTTCTGCCTCAGCCTCCTGAGTAGCTGGGACTACAGGCACACATCACCACACCTGGATAATTTTTGTACTTTTAGTAAAGATGGGGTTTTGCCATAATGGCCAGGCTGGTCTTGAACTCCTGACCTCAAGTGATCCACCTGCCTCAGCCTCCCAAAGTGCTGGGATTACAAGCATAAGCCACCGTGCCTGGCCTCTCTTCTGGACACTTTTGTGGCTTCTTTGAAGACATTGCTGATACTCTTGCCTGGAGTTTCCTTAACCCAAGTGAATGGATCTCTATTCACTTGGTGAATATGGTGGTGCGCAGGAGCTCTCATCCTGCCCCAATTGCCTGGCCACGATAGAAACCCCAAGCCAGTCTTTTTCCCCTACTCACTCAACCCACATTTGGATGAGCTTGGAAAGCCTGCCCTGCTGCCCTCAGAACGCCTCACTACAGAAGTAATGGAGCGTTTTATACCTCGTTGGTGTAGGTCTGGTATCCGTTTTGACATCTGAACCAGATTTTCAGTGACGGTCCATTCTGCAGAAGAAGGGGTTTATAATAACTGGTGCCGCAAACAGGATAACCACAATATTTATTGTGTCTGATATTAGTATAGCCACTCCATTTCTCTTGTGGTTGCTGTTTGTATATCTGTTTTGTGTATCTTTTTTCCATCCTTTCACCTTCAACCTATTTGTATCTTTCAATCTAAAATATGTCTCCCATAAACAGCATATAGTTGTATCTTGTCATGTAAAAAATCCAATCTGATATCTCTTTCTTTTGATTGGATTGTTTAATCTAGTCACGCTTAATGTTATCACTGGTATGGTTGGATTTACATCTGTCATTTGCAATTTTTATTTTCTGTGTTTCATGTTCATGTCTTTTTTTTCCCCTCTATTTCTCCTTTATGTTTCCTTTTGAAAAATAGACTTCATTTCTAGGATTTTTTGGATTTACAGAAAAATTGAGAAGATAGCAGGGGGTCATGTATATCTTGTCCCCAGTTCCCTCTATTATTAACATTTTGCATTGGTGTTGACAATTGTCACAATGAAAGAACCAGTATAGAAACATTATTATTCACTAAATTACATAGTTTATTCAGATTTCCTTAGTTTTTGAAAAAAAATGTGGCAAAATGTATATAACATAAAATTTATGATTTTATCCATTTTTAAGTGTAAAGTTCAGTGATATTAGTACATTCACATTGCTGTGCAGCCATCACCACCATTCATCTCCAGAACATTTTCATCTTCCTGTTAAACACTGTACCTATTAAACACTAAGTCCTCATTCTCTCTTCCTTCAGCTCCTGGCAATCGCCATTGTCTTTTCTGTCTCTATGAATTTGACTGCTTAGCTACCTCATGTAAGTGGAATCATATAACATTTGTCTTTTTGTGTATGGCTTATTTCACTTTGTGTCATGCTGTCAAGGTTCATGTATGTTATTGCATGTGTCAGAACTCCCTTCCTTTCAAAGACAGAATCATATTCTATTGTATGTATGTACCACATTTTGTTTATCCATTCATCTGTCAATGGACATTTGGGTTGTTTCCCCATTTTGGCTATTGTGAATAATGCTGCTTGAATGTGGACATGCAAACATCTGTTTGAGTTCCTCATTTCAGTTCTTTTGAGTATACACCCCATATTTCCTTAGTTTTTATTTAATGTCTTTTTTTTGTTCCAAGATCTGATTTATGATACGTTACATTTAATTTGCCTGTCTCCTTAGGCTCCCCTTGGCTGTGACAATTTCTGATTTTTCTCATTTTTGATAACCTTGATGGTTTCAAGATCAAGGAGTACCAGTCAGGTATTTTATAGGATGCTCTTCTATTGGAATTTGGAATTTGCCTAATGTTTTTCTCACACTCAGAGTGGTGTTACAGGGGTTTAAAGGAAAACCATAGATGTCAAATGTCATTTTCATCACATCGTATGAAGGGTAGATAGTATCAACATGATTTGTCACTGTTGATATTTACCTTGATCACTTGGCTGAGATAGTGTTTGTCAGGTTTCTCCACTATTAAGTTACCCCTCTTCTCTGGTACTCTTTGGACGAAAGTCATTAGAAAGTCATTATGAACAGTCTGTATTTAAGGATTGGGGTTTTATGGTCCTTTCATTAAAGGAAGAGTATCTACGTAAATTATCTAAAATTCTCCTGCCAGGAGATTTGGCTCTTCTCCCCCATTTATTTATTTATTCAATCATTGTTTTAGATTAGTATGGACCCATAAATATTTATTTTATACTGTGGGTTATAATCTAATACTATTTTGTTCATTTTTTTTGCTCAAATTGTTCCAGCTTCGGCCACCGGGAGCTCTTTCAGTTGGCTTCTGTGTCCCTTTGACAAACCCCTATCAATGTAGGGGTTTTGTTTGCTTTTAGCACTTCCTTACTTTCTGGCACTATAAGATGCTCCAGGTTTATCTTCTATTTTCTGCCCAAGTGCTAGTTTCAGTCATTTCTTCAAGAGACCCTGTTTCCTTTTATTGGAGGATGGTATTTGAAACCAAGGTCTGGGAAATGTGTGCTCACAACTGCAGTTTCTTTGCAGGTCTCACAATTTTGTGTTGAAACTGGACACTGTAATAATAGTTTACAGCAGCCCAGGACACTGACTCCCTTCCTTCCCAACCCCCAGGACTGGTGGTGTTTGTTGTATGTTTTGTCATTTGTTTATTTGTTTAATGATTTGACTGAACTAATCCTGTGATGTCTGTTTCTACCACAGTGTGCAACCTCTGACGTCCATGCTTAGATATTTTCCCCCTTGTTTTTATCTTTTAGCCTGGCTACCTAGGGGCTGCCCCTGGGTCTGAGTCCATATAAGCCACTCGTTGGCCAAAGGTGGTACTTAAGCCCCCTTAGCCAGTTAGATTTTTACTCTTTATCTCTGGATGTGTGTGTGACTTACAGGCTGCCTTAATAATTCAGAGAATTTATGTTTATTGCCCCCATATTCAGCCATGGACTAGTAGCTTGGAGTTTCTTTCTTTGATTGCTCCCAAGAGGGCTTAGTCTTGGGCATGCCATATCTTTCAGTTTGCCCAGGGTGAGTGTGATTTTATTTTTAAGCCTGGCTTCCTAGGAGTCACCGTGGGTCATGAAGGCTTATTATTCAAGCCAGTGTTTGGTCAGAGGTTGTGTTTAAGCCCCTTCTACATGGGAGGATCTACCTTGTGTTGACTGTGATCCCAGGAGGGCTTTTCCAGCTGCTCTTTGTCCGATTCTGTCTATTAAACTTCTGAACGCTCTGCTGTTTTGCTTGTATCCTGGAGCTACTGGCTTCTTCTTAATTATTCTCCACCAAGATTTCCCTTGTTTTCGACAACATCCTTAGGCATGGAGTTCTCCATTCTCTGTTCCAAATAGCCCCTTCAGGCAGAGCTGCAGAGCTGTACATCCTTGGGGTCACCACATCCCCTGGGCAGTACCCTGTGCCACTGCACCAGAGCTAGGGGTTATACTCCAGTTCTGTGAGCCGTCTGGGGAAGCAGGTGGGAGGGAGTGCCAGACCCTGGTCTTCTCAGCCTGTCCTTTCTAACATAGAACTTCTCCTATGGGTGAGTTGGGGCAAGGGTGATCAGAGCCCCAGGATTCTCAGTGAGCTACAATTGTGTAGGACTGGGTAAAGGAGCCCTGTCCTCTAGGGCCAAGCCTGCCTTGAATAGAGCTTCTGCAACATCAGGCTGGAAGGAAGAGAATCAGTAATGCAACTGGCAACATGCCCCTCCCAGGGTGAAACCATAGCCCTAGACTGTGTGCTGTGGGGAGAGGAAGTCCCTATCTTCTTGGCTGTTCATGGTCAGGGTACAGTTTCTGTGACATGGAATTGAGTGGGTGGGGAGGAGGGTTAAAGAAGTAGGTCATGGCTAAAATGCCACACACTTGCCATTTTTATAAAACTTGGTAGATTATGTTAAATGAATATTTTTCCATTTGTCCTATGTTCTTAGGACAATTTCCAGAAACTTTAAATGATGTATTTTGATTTTTATAATTATCACCAGTTAAATTGTTTTGCTGGGGAGAGGTTTCACCGGAAGTCCTACCTGTCCAATCTTTTTTTTTTTTTTTTTTGAGATGGAGTCTCGCTCCGTTGCCCAGGCTGGAGTGCAGTGGCGCAATCTCCGCTCACTGCAAGCTCCGCCTCCCGGGTTCACGCCATTCTCCTGCCTCAGCCTCCCGAGTAGCTGGGACTACAGCCGCCTGCCACAACGCCTGGCTAATTTTTTAAATATTTTTAGTAGAGACGGGTTTCACCATGTTAGCCAGGATGGTGTCAATCTCCTGACCTCCTGATCTACCAACCTCGGCCTCCCAAAGTGCTGGGATTACAGGTGTGAGCCACCACGCCCGGCCGCCCCCATCCAATCTTAATACCCTTTTACATCATTATGATCTCTACCATGAATACTGGAGACAGTCTTCTGAGATATTAAGGTTGCTGTTGCCACAGATTGCTTGGTGGGGAGTTGAAGTTTGAGAACCAATGAGAATGTAAGGTCATTTTTGAGGATTAAGGAAAGAACTGGCATGGTCATTAGTGGGGAAGAGGTGCAGGAAATGGGTTTCATTTTCATCTGCCGCTTCTGAGTGTAATTCAGGTAGATGATTATTACTCCGGTCTTCTTACTACATTCATTCTAGTGTTCTGGCGATCTTGATATTAGCCATCTGATGTTTCCTTAGGCATGTGAGCTGATATCAGCAGCAAATAACATCTGTTCGCTGTGAGGAGAGAGAATCCACTTTAATTGCAGTGGGAGGAATTTGGGCTAAATGTCAGTAGATAGTCACTGATCATAAATGTCAGCCCAAGAGGCCTTTTTCAAGTATAAATCGGATCATGCCACTCTCCTGATTCCAGACCCCCAATAACTGCCCAATGCAATTAGAGTCAAGTTCACTCTTCTAGCCAAGACCTACATTTCATTTCACTCTGTCACTGACCATGCTCCAGTCACTTGGGCTTGCTTTCTGCCCTTCGAGCCCAACAGGCTTGTGGCTGCCCTGGGAGCTTTGCATTTGCTGGTTCTTCTGTCTGGAATGCCCTTGTCCAGCTCTTTATGTGGTTAACTGAGGAATGGTCTCAACTCCAAGGTCACTCCTTGGAGAGGCCTTTCTGGACCACAATATCTGAGGTAGGTTCTTCACACCCCCAGGCTTCAGTGTTTTGTGTTTATTATTGAGATGCCTCTATTCCCCAGTAGAATGTAACATCCATGAAACAGGAATCTTTATTTTCAATGTTGTCTGCTCTGTTCTAGGTACTTAAAACACTGCTTGTCATCCAGTGAGAATGTAATAAATCCAAAGCACAAAAGAGTGAAAACATGACATGGAATGAATGTGCACAGTTTTCTTTTTAGGTTTTAAAGGAAAGAATAAAATACTGTCACTGTGAGGTATCTCAGAAGCAGGGGTCTAGATGAGATTATATGATGATGTCTTGCAATGTGGTAATTCATTTTCCTAGTAGAATAATTCTTTGTAGAAGTTGGCAGACTAAAGTGTTTTTCAGGGGAGTAAATCCTCCAAATAAAAACAGTCCAAAATATAGTCAGTTCAGGTCCTGTTTTTAGTTCTACTTTGATCCCGGATTATGAACAATTTCATGTACGTTTTTACTATCTTCTGGTTATGACACCTAGTAAGAGGTGCAATATGAGTAACACAATGGTCAATCTCATGTATTTGTGATTGCAACAATAACTTTGAAGGTTATGACTCGTAGAAGACACAGAAGCTCCAAACAACGCTGGCTTTGCCAATTTAAACAAATCCTCTTTGCTCTCTATTTCATAATCAAATAAATGTCCCTTCTTCCACCACAATGATTAAACTATGTATTTGGTTCCAAGAGGTGTTTTCTTTGTCAATTATTGTACTGAGGAATTTTATCATCTTGAATTTAGAAACTAATCTTCTTATGAGAAACACAGGAAGATGACCCCAGTTTTAACAGGTCTAGGACTTGAAAATCTGCATTATGGAAGGGTATGGAAACGTGACATTTGATCATGGGAGGTGAGAGGTTCAGTCTAGTAAATAATGGACTAGATACACTGTATGCATAAAATATTGTGTACTTCATCTGTTTGCTCATCAAACGCATAGCAAAAACTACATGTGTGAAAGTTGTCAGAGTCAAAATGGAGTCACTAATGTTAAGAAAACCCTGACAAACAGAGCCAAGGAAGGCCATGAAGAGAGGGGTCTCATGCTTGTATGTTTTATAACAAAAAAGACTCTACAAAACCCACAACCTTGCACAAAGGATTTCCCCAAGGACATCTGCCCAGCCACTTGACCAGTCTGACCAACTTCAGACTAGCATCACCCTGTTATTGATCTTTGTAGACAAGGATAATTATTTCAAAACACTTATGTACTTCTCCTCATTTTTTCCTTTAAAACCCTTTCTTTTTCTTTACTTCCCTTAATACACACATAATTTACTGTGGTATGTGTAATTCCCATTGCAATCAATGCTTTATTCCCAAGTTTAAAGGTCTTTCCTTGTAGACAGCCTTTCTCTGTTTGTTATTTATGTTGACACATGTAAAGAGTAATTATCGCATATTTCCTTTGATGTGATGACCAAGAGTGCAGAGAAAGCACACAGGGCACTGAACAGGGCTTAGAAGCCAGGTTTTAAGACTGGCTTTATTTTTCCTTCACCCTCCAGCCCTCAATTCATGAAGTAGAAACGTGGGTTCCAAGGGCCCAAATTGTTAATAATTTCAGAACTTCACATTAAAAAACTTTCAAAAGTTCTTTATTATGAAAAATTTCAAACATACACAATAGCTGAAAATATATTACAATGATTTACCCATATACTAACTACTTAGATTCAGGAATAGCTAATATTTTACTAACCATTTGGATGTAATACTTCGGATTTAAATACTTCAATATGCATCTTCTAAAAATAAGAGCTTTTTAGTGACCTGCAGTTTGGAGGGTCAGAAGAGTGCCATCCCAGCCACGGCCCTGTTGCCATGGAGCTGCAGACCCAGACGGCCTCAGACTGGGGCTGGGGATGCTGGGGACACTGGTGCTGGGACATGGTTCATATATTTTCTCTTTAATCTTGGGCATTTTGTTTCTCTTTCTGAGAACATAACTTGAAACACTATAGAACCAGTAATTATATAAAAAATATATCTGTGAACACGCTACAGTTTTATATACATTCACAATGTATTTCTGCTGCCTTTTAGATAATTTATTTCACAACACATTATTGCACAGTTGTAAATAACTTAGGCACTGTAATAGCACTTTCAGTTATGTGTAAAGACATATATGAATTTAAAAAATAAAAACATTCTTTAGTATAGTCACTTCTAGGATCATTAACAGTAATTCTCTAATATCATCCAATAAACTCAAATTTCCCCAGTTATCCCCAAAGTATCTTTTATACCTGTTATTTTTCAAACCAAGATTCATTAAGGTCATGGATTCCATTCAGTGTTTCTAGTCACTTTTAATCTAGAATAGACCCCACCCTCTCTCTCTTTTTTTTTTTCTCACAACATTGTGTTTTTTGAGAGACTAGGCCAGCTATTTTGTAGAACATCCCACATTCTAGATGTTTCTTGTTTTATTGGGTCATAGCATTTTTCTTTATCCCTTAGGCTTGGTCCAATTTGGGTTGAACATCCTTCAAAAGTGATGCTGTACACTCATATTGCATCACATTAGGAGGTATATAATGTTAGAATGCTCTACTATTAATGATGCTGATTTTTAATTTGTTTAATTTCAGTATTTCCATAAAAAAAGTTAGTATTTTGGATAGTAGAGAGCTATTTTGTACTAAAATTAAGGTGATTTGCAGTGTGCAAAATAGTTACAGGCAACAGTTTGCAGGAATAGTCTAAAATGATGACTCATTATTCATTATTCTACCATTGAGGGGAGAGACACAGCTGAATGTTAAAGGGACTTAAGAAATAGTTAAGGTCAGATTACCTCTCCCCAGGAGGATAAGATGATTCCCATGTGGCCCAGATCCTGGTAGGTACTTTGAGAACACAGGTTTCAGGCCTGGGTGACGGTGTGTAAAAGGCTTAAGATGGTGTCGGTGAAGTTCAGCCACCAGCCCCCACTGCTTCTTCCCTAAATTTTAGGAAACCCTCCAGGCTATTAGGCAAATAGTTATACAGCTCAAGTGGAAATTCTAGCCCTACTGCTTGTGCTGCTTTTATTTCAAGTGCAACGACTACACATTTATCTATTTGATTTAAAAAATTGGTCCCTGCTTTAAAAAGCCTCTGGGCACAGGAACAGTAAAATTATTCAATAAAATACTTAAATCAATTGATACCACCATGTTTAAAAACACAGTCTATCACCAAGGGACAGAAAATGCCATGCCTAGTGTGAGATTCTTTTTGGCTACACAAATTTTAAAAGGCAGGTTTTACACTGGATTTTAAACATATGTAAGCCTGGGTCTGGTTGAACTAGTGAAGACAGATGGCATGATTGAAGAGACACCCTTCTCCTGATTTGGGTGGGCAGGTGGGTGGCTAGCAGCACTGTTGAAATTATCATCCAGGCTAACCTGCATCCCTTGTTCACTGTGCGCTAGGCACTCTTACTAGGCTAAAAGACTTATAATACCGACGTCATTTAATTATCACAACAAACCTGTGAGGTAGGTATGACTGTTATCCCCATTTTACAGGAGAAAAAAACCAAGGCACAAACAGAGGCACAAAAAGGTCAAGCCAACTGTCTAATGTCACACTAGCTGGTTTATGATAAACCTGGGATTTGAACCCACGCACTTTGGTTCTAGAGCCTGTGCTTTTGCTTTTAATTTTTGCATTTCCATTCTAAACTGACTACAGTCATTCATTTGGTAACATATTTAATGAATTATATACATGATATGTTTATGTTTGTGTATGTATCTTACTATGTGCCTGGCATTTTATTCAGCTGAGCTCTGGAATGCAATCAAAGTCCAGAACACATGTGGCTCCTCAGTTCAGGCTGAACCCAATTCCAGTTGACCCCAATTCAGGTTGACCCCTAATTGTATGGGTCTTGGATTTGTAGATAAACCTGATGAAGGGGCCACATGTCAACAAGTTATGTAATTGCTGACAGAGGCATTTCAGGCTGGGAAATCTTTTCATTCTTTCCATTACATGGGTTCTGTGCTATTAACATTTAATGACATGTTGGAGGTGCGTTAAAATTTATCACTGTGTAGACGATACAAGAATGGCCCCAAGGAAGCTGATGTTATAAAAGCAGACTGATGGAGGGAGAATCAAAAGATAAGGAGGTAACTTGAAAAGTATCTTCCATATGGATTGCTCATATTAGCTGCATTCTCTCAAGGATAGAAACTAAATACAGCAAGCAAAAAACCCCACTTTAACAGAATCCATTTAGAGATCCTATTTTGGATATAAGGATTTTTTATGAGGAGATGAAGTGGCTTGTTTCAGAGAGGTACTGTTTCAACAGTAACAGTGGAAACAAGGAAGGCTTCATTTGTGCAGTCTAGTTGAAAGCTCATCAAACTTATACAAGTGCAGAGACTATGAGATGGAAAGACAGTTGCATTTCAAAGAAGACCAATAAAACAACATCACTTTTCATTGTTTGCAGCTTTATAGTTTCTAAACCACTTTCTCATGCTGTATCAAATCTATCTCGCATGCATCCTCTCTTCCTCGTGGGATTCTCTCATCTGCCTGAGAGTCTCTCATCCTTCCCTGTCCCCTGCTTGCGCTGAAGTTGCTTGTTCTGAAGTAGCTGTCACTTTTGAAGCCAAAGGGTTTTGGGTGGGGCTGCAGGGTTTCACCACTCATGGTCAATCTGGAGACTCTGTCTCTTCCAGACACTCCCAGGCTTGGGTGAAATGTCATACTAAAGGACAGAGGAGTTGATTTCAGGGGAGACTGGGGAGACATGGGTAAAGATAAGGCAATATGGAAGCGTGGGGCGGTAAAATCTCCAATGGGTGAATATTGACCAATGTTCTGTTCTCTCTTGATACATTGCTTCAGGGTAGAGTTTCTCCATGTAAGATGTCCTGTGTGGTCCAATGGATGCTCTTGTCAAGTGACCAATGTGTCCCTTTGTGGCTTCACACGAAGCAGTAGTCAATGTAGGAGCCCACCCGTGTTTTATTTCTTCTCATTCTTTCTGTTTTTTTTTCTTTCCCTTTTCCCTCATTCCCAATGCCTAGGGATTGTACCTCCTACTTAAAGCACCAGCACTTGATCCCTGCCTCAGGCTCTGTTTTCTAGGAAATTGAGTCTATACATATTTTATTTCAAACTCTTGCCAACATTTTGACTCAGGCAGGTATTTTTGTTGTTGTTGTTATTGATCATATTTTAGAGATGAAAAAGCTAAGGCCCAGAGAGTTTAAGCGACTAGCCCAAGACTACATTCATTCATTCATTACTTCATTTATTTAGCAGACATTTTTCAAACACTGTCTGTGTGCCAGGCACTGTTCTATGTGCTGGTGGTGACTAAGAGAGACAAGGTTATGCCTTCATGAAACTTAAATATGAATTGGTGGAGACAGATGGTACATAAGTAAATACATCAATCAACAAATTAGGGCAGTGGTAAATTATATTATTCTATTCTATACAACAGGGTTTTGTGTTAGAAAGTGGAGGGAAGGCAAGGAGAGCTAATTTATAATGTGATCAGGACAAGCATTTCTGAAGAGGTGACACATGAGCTGACGCCAGGGCTAGGTTAGAACTTCTAGAGGCTCTAAAAACTCATAGTTCCCCATCCCTGCTTGTGTATTGTAATTCGAATAGAAACAGTACCATGTTGTGTAATGAAGTCCAACATAGAAGGTGCCTGGTAAATATCTGCTAAATGAATGAATTAATGAACAAATGACAGATTCTTATTTTCCCCATGATGACTACTTGGATTTTAAAAATATATATCAAATTTCAAATTCTCCTCCCAACCCCCCAAAAAAACCTTTTTCTGGGAGAGTGTTCCCTATTGAGTAATGCAGTATTTGTTAAGGGTGAAATGATTAGCAGACTACAGACACTTTTAGGACATTGTAGGCAGAGGGAACAGCATGTACAAAGACAATGAAGTATGAACCAGCCTGAGTGACTTAAAGGAACAGAAAGATAGGCTGATGTGTCTGGGGAGTAGCAAGTGAGAGGGAGAGAGGTGTGAGATGGGGTAAGAGAGATGGCAAAAGCCAGATG
This sequence comes from Homo sapiens, assembly GCF_000001405.40. Taxonomy (NCBI): domain Eukaryota; kingdom Metazoa; phylum Chordata; class Mammalia; order Primates; family Hominidae; genus Homo; species Homo sapiens. The sequence continues at coordinate 207,312,041 of NC_000002.12, read as the reverse complement.
ATACAATCTTGAATTCCATGATGAGGGGTTAGGATTTTATTTTAAGGGCAATAGGGAGCCATAGGAAGATTTTTAGCAGGTGAGCGACATGATGAAAGTGATTGCTAAGTGGTAATTCTAAGTCTAGAACTCAAACCTCTGACTCCTGGACCTAAGTATTTCTATACTAAGCAGGTGTCAGAATTGGAACCAGGGGCTAAAGTCTGAGGCTCCCACTCCTGTGATAGAGTGAAGCCTAGCTTCATAGTCGTGTCTTGTAATATGAGGCCTTCAGATGACGCAACAATATGTCTCCAACTGTACCCTGTTTCCTGGCAATAGATAGTATGAGACAGACTCATGAAAGCACATCTGCTCAATTGGGCCTGTGTTGTTCCATCTATAGACTGGGACTGATGTAACCTCTCACCCATATAGGGAGGTGGTGGAGTGGTGACTCACAGGTCATCAGGACAGGAAGCATGTGATGTTGGGACTGCTGAGAATCACCAGTGGTTCTCATCAGTCTGAATACTCCAGTCGTCAGAACAGCAACATCTATCCTGTCATTAAAGAAGTGAACATTATGGAGAAAGTGCTTCATCCAGTGTAAGAGGGCTATGTGGTTATGTGCAGTAACAAGGGAAAGGCCAGCAGGAGTCTCATGGTTTTAAACATCATCCAGAAAAATGGCAGGGAAAGACTGGTAACCACCATCTGATGAGTAAAGTTTTATTCTGTTACTGTTTGTTGCTTTTGCCTGAAAAGGATGGAGGATTTTCTTAAATGGGACACCTTTGCGAAGAATTCTGAGATTCTCAATAAATGGGCACGTCAGTGCATATGTCGGGGGTCACTATTCTGAGGAGGATTCAGGACTTATCCATAGGCTTGAAGCTTTTCTCTCCCTTTCCCTCCCAACTTCCATTTTCTTAAAAGAGAACTCCAGTCTGGAGACACAAGCTCCTGTTTTCTCAGCGATGCCTCTCTCCAGGGAGGAGAGTGGGACCAGGCAGTTCTTGAGGCCTTTGGTAATTCATGCACCTTGTGCTTTTGCACCGTAAGTGCACGAATTCCCAACACTGACACAGCCATCCCCTTAACTCCCTAGCCTGTACCCCAGAGCAGCTGTGCTTTCTTCTGGCTCTGCAGATATCAATTCCTAAATAGGATGCCTTGAGGACATCAGAGAGACTGCCCCCTCCAGCTGATCACTTATGTGACATTTTGATGTTATTAATGTGTGTTCATCTGCTCCCTTCCTTCTCCCAAAAGGAGACAGGGAGAGAAACATTATTGAATAGAAATGCGGGGACCCACGGAGTGAGCATGCAGGAGGGGGAAGGGAGAGAGGAAATTTAAACTGGAGAGAGGTTGATGGAGCTGAGGGACGTGGAGAGGACTCCAAGGGGAGTGGGTAAACGACAGTTTGTGCATCACAAATCACACCTTCTCTCGAGTCCAACTGTTTCACCATCCTGCCCCCACCAGCCCGGCGCCTCTTAGCAATTCCCCGGCTGTCAGCTCTCTACCTGCTTGGCTCTGGCTGCTCTGCTCAGAGCTGCTCCCCTGGGCCTCCCTGGCTTGTCAGTGGGCTGCGTCAGCATCACGCCACACTGTCTCCCGTTGGCCCGGTGATCAACGCCTGACGGGCCGGCCCTCTCTCCCCTCTCAGCTGGGGCCAATGGGAGTCAGGGGAAGGTTTTGGTTACAAACGAAAATAAAATAAATAAGTCATACTCCTGCACTCAGGAGTCTGGGAAGAACGTCTTCATGGCCTCATAAATAATCTTTCCTTTTAAATCTGTCCTTCTTCTTCTAGATGTGCCTCCCACCCGCCCTCCACCCCGGCCCCCTTGGGCTGCCCCTTACAGTGCAGGGAATACAAAATGAGAGGCTTAGATTTAGACTTGGTGTTGGTAATAGCACCTCCCACAAAGGCATTTGTACCGTGTGTGTGTGTGTGTGTGTGTGTGTGTGTGTGTGTGTGTGTGTGCGCGCGCGCGCGCACGCAGGAGCACATGCACAGAAGCCAGCAAGATAGAATTCATGACAGTGTTATACTGATCCCACCCTGACTCATGGTCTTCTGACTTTTGCAACAAGTCACCCAGCCCCCTCCCAGGTTACCCCTCGACCCTGTCTTCCTACCCCAAAGCTCTCAGTTTATTTATTTCTTCCCATTACAGGGAAGCTTAAATGTGGGGATTAAATGGACTACCCTATTTTAAGATGCCTAGAAGTTTTTCTTAAAATCCATATCTATATCTCTCTTTATTGGACATTTAATTAAAGTTCATTCACTTTGAATCTTCTGCTTAAGACATTGTCCTCTTTTTCAAAACATATACCTTAAGGTAGGGGGTGTTATTAATCTCGTACCTTGAATGTGAATAAAAGTGCTTGAAAATTGGACCTCAGAGGGTCAGGAGAGATGGCCAGAACTCCTGAAGACCCCGTGGTTGTGGGGAGGAGGGGTGCATGCTAGAGAAAGTCTAGGGGGCTTTGCTGGATTGCCTAGGGTTGCCCAGGAGCTTTCCTAAGCATGATTCATCTTGGTCATCAGGCGGGTGTCCTCTGAGCAGATGCCGTGGTGGCATGAGGAGACAACCATGGGCACAGGGGCCAAAGAGTTAGAGGGGAGCTGGGGAGGAGAAGCATTGAGAAATTAATGCTCAGTGCACGAGAGGCCCCCAAAGTGGTCAGTTTTTTCTTGAAAAGTCTTCATTTTAGACCAGGGTGGGCAACCTTCCTTGGCCACTCCTCCCACACTCCCTTCCTTGCCTCACTCCAATGCACACTGCATGAAGAGAGTGGGAGTTTGCCCTCTATTGACTGCGTCCAGAGAGGGTCATCTGACCAGTCTTCTGGTCTGTTAAGGGGTCCAGGTGCCTGGTGTGCTACGTGAGGTTAAGAAGAAAGAAGAGAATGTGAAAAGATTAGATTTTTGGAAATGTTGCCCAACTTCTGCCAGATGGGAACATTGAAGGCACTACATGGCCATGGGCTTTCCTCTGAGAAATGCCAAGATGGAGCCATGTTGGTTCAGAAGGACAGACAGGCAAGATATCTGCTGCCATTTAATCATTATCTAGGAAGATTTCACAGTGTTCAGAGCCACACACATTTTTATCTCTTTGATCTCTTTCTAACTGCTTCCTCTGCATGGTTGCCATGCTGAGGCAGTGGTGAAGTTTTTATAGACTGTACTTTTGGTGGGTGGAGTAGCTTCCAGATTGGGTTGTGGTACAAGATGCAGAAGACTTCATCGCAGAGCCTCTGCATAGAGGTGGATTTGCCATGAGGCTAGTGCATTTTAAGCTTCAGGGCCTTTCACTTCCATGGGCTCTGTCCATGGCTCTGAAGCTGGCCAAAGAATAATCACACTTGAGGATACATTTTGCCCTTGGGAGGAAAGACTCCAGGAAGAGATCTAGGTAGGCTCTGTTTCACCAATAAATTCCAGGGTCCTGTGTACTTGGAGTGAGATCAAGAAGTAGGGGGCATGGGTTTTGAGCAGACATGTCTCCTAGCCCTGCAGATTTCTTGCCCTGTGCAGAGAGACACCAAGGGCAGAGGAGCAGAATGTATTCCTGTGAAGTACAGGTTCCCTCTTGCCTGGATGGTTCTGATGGTATCCCGATACGATGTCTGAGATTAGGAGTATGTGGGTATACAGGGAATAACAATATTTCAAATAGAGCCAGAAGTTAGCTTTTGGAAAATTATTCCACATCTTACACTTCATATGTATAAAAGAAATTTGATAAGTTCCCCAAGATTTGACAACTATCCTAATAGTTTACATGAGAATGACTTCTGGAACTAAAAAAAATAAAAAATTTTTTCTAAACCGTCAATAATAGAAGGTGAATTTTGGTCAATGATGCTAGAGGAAAGACTGAATTGCTTTTGAGTTTTTCCTATAGGAAAGAATTTACAAAATCCTTGTCATGTGAAGAAGTTACTAAAGAGCATGCAGCAAAGATTGTAGAGGAACAAGTATTATAGGCATGTGAGGATGTTAATTAATAAAAACATTACTTTTTTGGTATTTGTGATGTATTTGATATTTTCCCACCTTATTATTTTATATTTAGAGACAGTGTCTTGCTCTTTTGCACAGGTTGGAGTGCAGTGGTGCCATCATAGCTCACTGCAGCCTCAAACTCCTGGGCTCAAGTGATCTTCCTGCCTCAGCCTCCTGAGTAGCTGGGACTACAGGTGCAAGCCACCATGCCCAACTCATGTCCATTTAAAAAATTAATTACATTTTATTTCCTCATTCTAAATAAATATTCTCTTTTTGTACCCAATTTATATTTTTAGCTTAGCATTGTTTTCCCTCAGAGAAGCTTTGAAGTTTTATAAACTTCAAGTCCCATAACACCTGTACCTGCCCCTGACACCCTAATCCTTTTTGGGTAACAGTATTCAATGGCCTTCATTTCCTAGCCTGGCAATGAGAGAAAATTTTTGTAATGACTTCATATCCTCAGCAGGTTGGGTCACATAGGCTGAGCCCAAGTTTAAAAATGTTTATGAGACCTGGGATGTTTAACAAACTTGCAAAGCTCCATGATCTTGAATAAGTCACTCAACATTGTAGATTTTAGATTCTTCATCTGTGAAGTAAGAGGGTCAACAAAATGTATTCTAGTTGGCTCTCCGCCACTAATATCCTATGCTTTTTCCACTGAAACAGAATCTGGCATTGGTAATCAGTGGTGGAGGAATACCCCAATATAAGCTGAGAACTGTAGGTATCAGTTATCATCCATACTGACAACTAGATCCCCAGATTATGTCTTTCCTAAGCAGCATCCAGTCCCACAACTTCTTCCCATATTTTACTTCAATATAGGTGCAGCTTACAATTTACGTGACATACATGTTTCTGTAGAGTCATATTTTTCTGATTCAGAATATGTAATGAAGGTACTAGGGAAGCATTTAAGAAAAAAAACTCTATCATGAATTTCTTATTGGCAAATGTAAGAAAATATGACCTTAAAAAGCATTATTCAAGTGGGTTCCATCTACACAAAGATATTCACGTCACTCATGTAATTTCTTAAAATTCATATATTCAGACTCATGGAATGTGAAGTCACATTAGCCTCAGGCAAAAGTGACAACTAGGAAGGCTGGTTTAGATCTTAGAATGGGGACAATGAGTAAAGGTGGAGAGATTTGAGGTCTGGAAGTTGAGTGTATGGGTTGAAAAGGGCTTGCTTGTACCAAAATGTCTGGGTGATACCAAACTGAATGGGGGCTCTTGGAATGTGTCTCAGATGCCACACTTACTCCTACTTTGGCTACAAGACCTTCTGGCATCAGAAATATGGCCAAGACATTTCCACACATTATTATACATGGGTCTGCTTTTACATATTGTGTATAATATGTTCAAGAACCCGTAAGTATTCATTTATGCCTCTAACTGGAAAAACCTTGCAGCGATGAGGCTAACAGGCTTCTGCCCGAGGGAGTTGAGATCTCCCAGCTCTAACAAACAAATAAACTTGTCTGACTCTTTGCCATTGTTCAACAGACATTTCTGCCTTTTTTTCTTACCGTCTCTATGCACTCCCCTCCCTCATCTTAAAATGGCCACTAGCTGGTTGCATATGTAATTCTGAAGCAGTAATGGCTCCAAGTACTTATTTATTAATTCTCTCTGCTGTCTCTGTGTCACTGTCTCACTGGATCAATAGTCTTGGGATGGGAAGTGCTAACTGGAGCTGAGGCCATCTCCTCCTTCCCCTTGCAGAACAGCAGGGGCTCCCTGGAGTGTGGCTAACACCTGTGCATTTACCATTTCTCTTTTGTTCCTATTTCCATCTTCCTCCATCAGGCCGAGGCAGACCCTGATTGTAAGGTTGGACTTAAGGATGGAGGACTTAGATCTTGATTTTTTTTTCTTTCATCCCTGTGCAAAGTTTCATTTTAATATGAGGAAAGAATCTGTTATTTTTAGCTTGCATTCTTTTGCCTAGACAAAGTCATTTAGACATTAAACCCATAGATCTAGAGAAAGACTGATTTCCTCAGTTCCAATATTTCCTATCTCTGTGTCCTTGGGCAAGTCATGGAATGTTGCTGAACTCTAATTTCACAATTTAGAAAATGGGGATTTAAAATGTGCTTTCCTGTAGAGTTGTGTCATTAGATGGCATAAGGCATGTCAAGTTCTTAGCATGGTTCCTACAGGTACACAGTGAATGCTCAGTGAGGGTCAGCCAAGATTACTGCTTCTCATGTCTCCTCTACACTTCATACCCCCTGGGTAGGTTTTCTTCTGACTTCGAGTTTTTGCAGGAGGGGCGAGAGGTCGGCTTAGATCTCTATGATTAGCCCTTTGGCTTTGTATTGTGATTTTTTCTTTTTCTTTTTCTTTCTTCCTTTTTAAATTATCTCTCTTCTGGACCACTGTCTTCCTCATCTCCTCCCCTCTCATACAGACTCACCTTGATTGTGAGTTTCTCAGGGGCCAGGAGAGATGATTTTTGTCCTCTACCCCCTACCCCAGCCTCCAACTTAGGACACAATTTGTAGTAAATGCCCAATAAAATGCCTAAGTGATTTCTCTTCTATATTCTGATCAGATTCTCGTCTTGCTATTTTTATTAGAGTCCTACATTCTGAACATTTGCTTGTTTTGGCAATGAAATCTTATGTTTATAAGATATTCCTGTAAGGCTGTGTCCTCAAAAAACATTTCACAAAGTACGTATGCCTTTCAGGACATTAGTCCAGTGGGAATTACCAGGAGAAAAGGTGTCTATGGTCATCTCTATCTGCTCTTGTGCTTTGTGAGAAATGGACACTTGTAAATAATTATCTGGTGAGGAGAAAATGACAATCTACATGACCTGGAGCAGGTGCTGTGGCTCCTGTGCCTTCTTTGCTCCTTTTCTGCGCTGACAACCCATCTGACACCCGACATCCTGGCCTAGCCCCCTCCATCAGTCAGCCAGACCCCTTCCTCCTTTCCAGCTGCTCTTCTCTAACCTCCTAAATGTTTGCAGCCAAGGCTCAACTTTGGCCACCAGGATTAGGTGACAGCCTCTGCCACGCTTTTTTTTTTTTTTTTTTTTTTTTTTTACTACTTCCTCTCTGTCTTTTAAATGATGTCCAGCAGTGTAATCCATCTCCTCCCTGCCCTTTCGAGCAGCATTCACCCCTAACAACCTTTCATTGGCCCCTCCACAAAGGAGGCTCGTGGTCTTCTATAGCTAACTCCTAAAAATAAGAGGAGTTGGGAAACACTGAGCTAGGGTAGGGATTCCTTTCCTTGAAATTTAAATAAACATTTTATTTTAGAGGTAGCTTTAGATTTATAGAAAAGTTGCAATAATAATACCAAGAGTTCCTGCATACACCTCGCCCAGTTTCCATGTTGTTACCATCTTACCTTACTGGGGGCGCATTTGTCACAAGTAAAGATGCCTCACTGGTACATTATTATTGACTAAACTCCACCTTTTATACAGGAGTCATTAGTTTTTCCCAAATGCCTCTTTTCTGTTACAGGATTCCATCCAAGACACCACATGACATTTGAGCATGGTGTTTTCTTAGCCTCCTCTGGTTTGTGACAGTTTCTCTGACCTTTCTTGTTTTGGATGACTTTGAGTTTTAAAGAATACTGGTCAGACATTTTGTAGAATGCCGTTGAATTTTCTACAATAATTTTATTGATATATAATTCACATACCATAGAATTCATGCATTTAAATTGTACAATTCAATGGTTTTTGGTACATTCACAGATGTGTGCAACCATCACCACAGTCAATTTTAGGATAATTTTTTCACCTCAGAAAGAAACCCTCTACCCTTTAGCTGTCACCCTCCCCTACTCCTCATTTCTCCCAGCCATAAGCAACCACTAATTTACTTTCTGTCTTTGTAGATTTGCCTACTCTGGACATTTCATATAAATGGACTCATATAATATGTGGCCTTTTGTGACTAGCGTCTTGCATTTAACATGGTGTTTTCAAAGCTCATTCATGTTGTAGTATGTATCAATACTTCCTTTCTTTTTGTGGCCTAATAATATTCCATTGTATACATATACCACGTTTTGTTTATCCATTCGTCAATTGATGGATGTATGGGCTATTTCTACCTTTTGGCTATTATGAATAACACTGCTATAAACATTTATGTACAAGTTTTTGTATGGACATACATTTTCATTTTTCTTAGTATATACCTAAGAATAAAATTGCTGGATTGTATGACAAACTATGTTTAACAATTTTAGGAAGAGTCAGACTGTTTTCCAAAGCAGCAGTACCATTTTACATTCCCACCAGCAGTATATGAGGGTTCTGGTTTCTTTATCTCCTCACCAATACTTGTTATTACCTAACTTTTTGATTTTAGCCATCTTGGTGTGTGGTGACATCTGGTAGCTTTGATTTACATTTACCTGATGACTAATAGATGGACATCTTTTCATGTGTTTGTTGGCCATTTGTGTATCTTCTTTGGAGAACATTTATTCAAATCCTTTGCACATTTTAAAACCAAGTTGCCTTTTTATTAAGGAGTTGGAAGACTTCTTATATATTTTGTGTACAGGTTCCTTATATGTGATTTGTAAATATTTTCTCCCATACTGTGGGTTGTCCTTTCATTTTGTTGACAGTGTTCTTTAAAGCAAAGAAGTTTTAAATTTTGATGAAGTCCAACTTACCTATTTTTTCTTTTGTTGATCATGCTTTTGGTGTGGTATCTAAGAATACATTGTCAAATCTGAGGTCAGGTAGATTTACCCCTATATTTTCTTCTATAAGTCTTAGAAATTTAGCTTTTATACTTAGGTTTTGATCCATTTTGAGTTAACTTTTAAGGTAAGGGTCCTATTTCATCCTTTTGCCTGTAGCTATGCATTTGTTCCAGCACTATTTGTTAAAAGTATTATTTTTTTCCAATTGAATTGTCTCGGCATTGTAGAAAGACAGTTGAGACACATGGGTTTACTTCTGGACAGTCAGTGCTAATCCATTGGTGTACATGTTTATTTGTAACTATATGTCAGCATCATACTGTCTTGATTACTGTTGTTTTGTAGTAAGTTTTGAAATTGGTGAGTGTGTATCCTCCAACTTTACTCTTTTTAGGATGAATTTAGTGATTCTGACTCCTTCCAATTTCATATGAATTTTAGAATTGCCTTGCAAGTTTCTACAAAAAAGCCAGTTGGGATTCTGATAGGGATTTTGTTGAATCTGTAGCTTAGTTTGGGGAGTATTACCAACTTAACAATATTAAATCCTTCAATTCATCAAAGTGAAATGTTTTTCTATTTTATGTAGATCTTCTTTAATTTCTTACAACAATATTTTATAGTTTTCAGTGTGTAAGTTTTGTACTCCTTTCATTAAATTTATTCCTACATGTTTTATTATTTTCGATGCTATTTTAAGTGGAATTGTTTTTTTTTATTTCACTTTTGGATACTTTGTTGCAAGTGTATAGAAATACAGTTGATTTTTGAATATTGGCTTTGTATCTTACAACATTACAGAACTTGTTTGTTCCAGCAGTTTTTTTCATGGATTCCTTAGGATTTTCTATAATACGAGTTCATGTCATCTGTGAATAGACATAGTCTTATTTATTCTTTCCCAATCTGGATGCATTTTATTTATTTTTCTCATCTAGTTGCTTTGATTAGAACCTCTAGTTCAATATTGAATAGAAGTGGCAAGAGCAGACATTGTCTTTTTCTTGATCTTAGGAGAAAGTATGTAGACATTTACTATTAAGTATTAATATGATGTTAGCTGTGGGTTTTTGTAGGTTCCTTTTATCAGGTGGAGGAAGTTTCCTTCCGTTCCTAGTCTGTGAAATATTTTTTATCATGAAAGCATGCTGAATTTTGTCAAATGGCTTTTTGACAAAAAAAGACCATATGGTTTTTGTTTTTGTTTTCAATAAGGTGCATTGTATTTATTGATTTTTGGATGCTAAACCAATCTTGTATTCCTAGGATAAATGCTACTTAGTCATGCTATTCATTTTTTTTTTCTTTTTTTGAGACAGTCTCACTCTGTCACCCAGGCTGGAGTGCAGTGGTGCCATTTCAGCTCACTGCAATCTCCGCCTCCCAGATTGAAGCAATTCTCCTGCCCCAGCCTCCTGAGTAGCTAGAATTATAAGCGCACACCACCGTGCCAGGCTAATTTTTGTATTTTTAGTGGAGACGGGGTTTTGTCATGTTGCCTAGGCTGGTCTTGAACTCCTGGACTCAAGCAATCCACCCACCTCGGCCTCCCAAAGTGCTGGGATTACAGGTGTACAATTCTTTTTTTATACTGCTGGATTCAGTTTGCTAGTATTTCGTTGAAATTTTAAATCCATATTCATAAGAGATATTGGTCTGTAGTTTTCTTTTTTTGTGTTATACCTTTGTCTGGTTTTGGCATCAGGGTAATCCTGGCCTCACAGAATGGATTAGGAAGTGTTCCTCTTCTATTGTCTGGAAGAGTTGTGAAGAATTGGTATTAATCTTTAAGTGTGTCATAAAAATCACTGGTGAAGCCATCTGAGCCTGGGCTTTTCTTTATGGGTAGTTTATTGGTCACCGATTCAATCTTTTTACTTGTTATTGGTCTATTAAGGTTGTTTGTTTGTTCTTCAGTCGGTTTCCTTTTTGGAGTTTGTCTATTTCATCTAGGTGGTCCAGTTTATTGGCATATATTTGTTTATAGTATTATTTGATACATCTTTTTACTTCTGTATGGTTGGTAGTAATGTCCCCTCTTTCATTTCTGATTGTAGTAATTTGAGTGTTCTCTCCTGTTTTCTTGACAAAGCTAAAGGTTTGTCCATTTTGTTGTGTTCAAAGAAGCAGATTTTGGTTTTATTGATTTTTCTTTATTATTTTTCTCATTGTCTCTCATTAATTTTTCCTCTGATCTTTATTATTTCCTTTCTTCTGCTGTCTTTGGGCATGAAAATTTGCTTTTCTTTTCAGTGCGATAAGGTGGAAAGTTAGGTTATTGATTTGAGATCCTACTTTTTTAAGTATCTAAAGCTATAAATTTCCCTGTGAACACTGCTTTAGCTATATTTCATGATTTTGCTATGTTTTAATTTTCATTTATCTCAAAATCTTCTTTAATTTACCTTTTGATTTATCTTTCACCCACTGGTTTTTTAGGAGTATGTTATTTAATATCCAAATATTTCAGAGTCTCCAAAATTTCTTCTGTTACTAATTTCTGTACTTCATTCCATCATATTTGGAGGACGTAGTTTGGGCTATACTTATTCCTCTAACTCTGTTGAGGTTTGTTTTATGGACTAGCTTATGTTCTCTCCTGGAGAATGTTCCTTAAGCACTTGAAAATCATCTATAGTCTGCTGTTTTGGGGTGGGTGGAGTTATTCACAGATGTCTGTTAGGTCTATTTGGTTTATAGTGTTGTTGAAATGTTGATCTTCTGCCCAGTTTTTTAAATCCATTATTTAAAGTGGGGTACTTAAGTTTCTTATTATCATTGAATTTCTCCTTTTATTATTGTCTTTTTTAATTGTTCATTTCCCCCTTCATTTCTGTCAGTTTTCGCTCCTTTTGTTTTGCTGCTCTCTTGTTAAATGTATGTATGTTCCTAATTTTTATATTTTCCTCATAGATTGCTCCTTTTATCATTATAAAATGACCTTCTCTATCTCTAGTAATTTTTTTTCCTTTTAAAGTCTGTCTTGCCTGATATTAGTATAGCCACTCCAGCTTTCTTGTGGTTACTATTTCATAATATTTTTTCATCCTTTTACATTCAATATATTTTAATCTTTGAATCTTAAATATGTCTCCTATAGACAGTGTAGGGTTGGACTTTTCTAGTGTGACAATCTCTGACATTTAATTGGGGTGTTTAATCCATTCACATTTAAGATTAATATTAATATAGTTGGGCTTACATCTGCTGTTTTTTGTTTTCCTTCTCATGCCTTCTTCATTCTTCTACTCGTCTTTTAGTGCTTTTATTAGCATTAAGTAGAGATTTTCTAATATACCACTTAAATTTATTTAATAATTTTAAAAAATCATTGGTCAGAGACTTTGAGATTTTTTTTTTCTAATAGGTTTTTATTTTGTAAGGTAGTTTTAAGTCTACAGAAAAATTGTGCCAAAAGTAAAAGAGTTCCCATTTAACCTGTCTTTCACCACCATATAATTTCCACTGTTATTAATATCTTGCATTTCTAGGGGACACTTATTACAATTTATGAATCAATATTGATACTAATTATTAACTAAAGTCTATAGTTTATATTAGCATTTACTCTGTGTTGTATTGTATTGTTCTGTGGGTTTTAATAAATGCATAATGTCATGTATCCAGCTTTACTGATTTTTGTATTTTCATGTTTTGAGTTATTTCCTTACTGGTTGCTCTAGGGACCATATACATATTAACTTATCAGAAATAGCTTCAGATTTATATTAAGTTAATCCCCATGAAATATTGAAATGTTACTCCTTTATAATTGTATTCCTTTTCCCCCTTTGGTATTATTATCATACATATTACATTTATAAATGTTACAATCCCAATAATACATTGTTATATTTGTTTACTTTATGTCTTTTAAAACAGCTAACAGAAGGAGAACAAGTATATATTTGTAACTTTTGTTATATTCATCTTCTTATTCATCATTCTGTTTCTCTTCTTTTGTTCCTGTGGATTCCAGTTACCATCTGGAGTCATTTCCTTTGCCCAATAAGCTTTTTTCCCATCTACCTTCTTTGTGCCATTGTGGGTAAATATATTACTTTTCTGCATGTTATAGGCCCAACAATACATTATGTGCATATTGTTTTAGACAATTGTGTTTTAAATCACTTAAAGAAGAAAGAACCAGAACTATGCATTTCTAATGTCTTTTATAATTACATAATTACTTTTTCCAGTGCTCTTTATTTTCTAATGTGGATTTGAGTTACTGTCTGGAGTCACTTGCTTTCAGCCTAAAGAACTTCCTTTAATACTCCTTATGAGGCAGATTGGCTAGCAACAGATTCTCTCAGGTTTTGTTTATTCTTTATTTTACCTTCATTTTTGAAAGGCAGCCTTGCTGGTTGTAGGATTCCTGGTTATTTGAACACTTTGAATGTTATCCCACTGCCTTCAGGCCTCCATTGTTTCTGTTAAGAACACACCTGTTAACCTAATATGGGTTTCCTTATGAGTAATGTGTCTTTTTTTTTTTTTCCTTACTGCTTTCAAGATTTTCTCCTTGTCTTCAGCTTTCAATATTTTTACCATCTATTTGTGGATCTCTCTGTGTCTATCCTACTTGGAGATCATTGAGCTTTCTGAATATGTAGATTAATATTTTTCAGACATTATTATTATTATTTTGAGACAGGGTCTCACTCTATCACCCAGGCTGGAGTACAGTGGTGCAACTACAGCTCACTGCAGCCTCAACCTCTAGGACTCAAGCAATCCCCCTACCTCAGCCTCCCATGTAGCTGCGACTACAGGCACATGCCACCATACCCAGCTTATTTTTTTGTATTTTGTAGAGATGGGTTTCACTATGTTGCTGAGGCTGGTCTTGAACTCCTGGCCTCAAATGATCCTCCTGCTTTGACCTCCCAAAGTGCTGGGATTACAGGCTTGAGCCATAGCACCTGGTTTTCATTTTTTCAAATATCTTTTCTGCTTTTCCTCTCCTCTCCTTGTAGTCTCATTATACACATTTAGTATGGTTAATGGCATTCTATATATCTCTGATGCTTAGTTCATTTTTCATTATTTTTTCCCTGCTGTTCTTCAGATTGCATAAACTCTATCAATATAGCTTTGAGCTTGCTGTTTCTTTCTCCTGCCAGTTCACATCTAAGACTGAGTCCCTCTAGTGAAATGTTCATTTTAGTTATTGTGTTTATAAACTCCAGAATTTCCATTTGGTTCTTTTTTTTAAAAAAAATAGAATGTCTATCTTTTAATTGATATTCACCATTTGATGCAAAATTGTCATCATACCTATCTTTCTTTCTCTTTTTTTAGAGACAGAGTCTAACTCTGTCACCCAGGCTGGAGTGTACTGGCACAATCATACAATCATAGCTCACAGTAACCTTGAACTCCTATGCTAAAGCAATTTTCCTACCTCAGCCTCCTGAGTAGCTAGGACTCCAAGTGCATGCCACTAAGCCCAGCAAATTTTAATTTTTTTTTTTTTTTTTTTGAGACAGGGTCTCACTATGTTGCCTAGGCTGATCTCTAACTCATTTCCTCAAGCAGTCCTCCTTCTCCAGCTTCCCAGAGTGTTAGGATTATAGACATGAGCTGCTGAACCAAGCATCTACTTTTATTTCTTTAATAATGGTTTCCTTTAGTTTTTATGAGCATGTTTATAATTGCCACTTTGAAACCTGTTTCTGTTAAACTGACAACTGATCACGTTCATAGTCAATTTTTGTTGCCACCTCTCCCCTCCTTACCCCAGTATACAGGTCATGTTTTATTATATTATTATTATTGTACTTTATTATTTCTTTGCATGTATCTTTTTTTGTTGTTGGAAACTGTACATTTGGGATAATATACTGTAACAACCCTAAGTGCCAGCCTCTCTGGGGATTTTTATTATTTGCTTGTTTACTTCTTTAATGATTGATTGAATTACTTTAGTAAAATCTATTTCTCCTTCCCATTTCATCCCTCTAGCAGTGTGAAGTCTCTGATGTTGCTCTTCAGGGGTGTAATGTTAGATATGCCCACAGTCACCTGCAATGATAGTGGTTTTAACTGGGCTTACTTTGACTGTTTTTCTCTTTCCTTGACCAGACACAACTTTAAACTTTATTAATTTCCAGCTTGATTTCTCTGTTTTCAACAATGCCCCAGGCATAAATTGATTCACAGCCTAATCCAATCAGATTTGGGCTCCTTTGAAGGAAAAGTTCTGAGGCCAGATATTTGCAATTTGTTCTTACCTCAGGAAGGTAAGATGTCACTTTCTTCATGTCTTTCCAGCAAACTAGCTGTCCTACAGCTTTGTCTGAATGTCCAGCAACTCTCAATCAACTTCAAATTGCCTTACATCACAACTGCCACTGCTTTCGAGAGCACCTTTAGGCTTGTACTCTTTCACACGCTGTTGAATTAAAGTCAGTTCCTTTGGGGAGAGATCTGGAGCTCTCTGTTCTATGACCTGCTTCTTCCCTCAAACAAAATCTGTGATCCAGGTTCTGGTGTTGGGGGCAGGGATCACAGTGTGTTTTCCTCTGAGTGACATTCTTGCTTTAGAAGCTGAGTGCTTAGTGGATGAGAAGGGTGCAGCACCAGGCTGCCACTTTTGGCATGGAATCCCAGTGTTACAAGCCAAGATAAGCACAACTGGGGCCCTAGTACTCTCATAGCAGCATCCCCAAGATAGGGCGTCAGTATTCTCATAGCAGTGGGGGCTGCTGGGCAGAAGGGAACCCTCACCTTTTGGCCACACTCACCCAAAACTTAGCCTCAGCAACAGAAAGCTGGAGTAAAGATGAGAAATACCAAATGCCCTACTCCTCCCAGGAAAATAGCCCTCAGACTGGTAGCAGGAGGGAGAAGAAGCCCTTTGTTTTCAGCTGCAGTTTGGAGTGAAATCTCCACCTTCCTGAGCTGGGAGAGGGAAGGAAGTATGTTGGTCTTGGTTCGAATATTACTAACACTTGTACTTTTTAGTTTTAGTAGATTTTCAAGAATAAATGTTTCTTCATTTACTATATTTTGGTAAGGCTATTTGCAGAGACCTTAAATTATTGTTTTCAAAAATAATTTTTATCAGTTTCACTGAGAAGTGAATCTGCAGAGCTCCTCATGCTCAGTGAAACTTCCCAATGATAGGGTAGGAATTCTTAATAGAAAGTGGGTAGGAGGAGAGCATATCAAAATCCCATGTTCAGAAACATGGAGAGTGGTGGATGAACTTTGGGTATCAGTGGTAGTGGGACATCTCCCATGAGTGTGATGGGATGAAAAAAAAGGCAAAAAATGACTGGGGTTCTTTCCTACAGTTAGGAAGTTACTTGTAGGGATAAATGGATATACTGTCTACACAGAAAACTCCCATAGATTCCAAGTAGATAAAGAATAATAGTTTTATAGTTAATTTAAAGTAATGTAGGCCAGGCACAGTGGCTCATGCCTGGAATCCCAGCACTTTGGGAGGCCGAGGTGGGTGGATCACTTGAGGCCAGGAGTTTGAGACCAGCCTGGCAACATGGTGAAACCATATCTGTACTAAAAAATTAAAAAAATTAGGCTGGAGTGAGCTGAGTTTGTGCCACTGCACTCCAGCCTGGGTGACAGAGCGAGACTCCATCTCAGAAAAAAAAAAAAAAGAGAAATGTAAATAAATTTACAAGAAAAAAAACCCCATTAAAAAGTGGGCAAAATACACGAACAGACACTTCTCAAAAGAAGACATTCATGTGGCCAAGAAACATGAAAAAAAGCTCAACATTACTGATCGTTAGAGAAATGCAAGTCAAAACTACAGTGAGATACCATCTCACGCCAGTCAGAATGGTGATTATTAAAAAGTCAAGAAACAACAGATGCTGACAAGACTGCGGAGAAAAAGGAACACCTTTACACTGTTGATGGGAATGTAAATTAGTTCAAGGATTGTGGAGACAGTGTGGCAATTCCTCAAAGATCTAGAAGCAGAAATGTCATTTGACCCAGCAATCCCATTACAGGTTGTATACCCAAAGGGATATACATCATTCTATTATAAAGATACATGCATGCGTATGTTCATTGCAGCACTATTTACAATGGTGAAGACATGGAATCAACCCAAAGGCCCATCAATGATAGACTGGATAAAGAAAATGTGGTACATATACACCATGGAATACTATGCAGCCATAACAAGGAACAAGATCTTGTCTTTTGCAGGGACATGGATGGAGCTGGAAGCTGTATCCTCAGAAAACGAACGCAGGAACAGAAAACCAAATGCCGCTTGTTCTCACTTGTAAGAGGAAACTGAATGATGAGAACACATGGACACATTGCAGGGAACAACACATACTGGGGCTTGTTAGGGGTGGGGAAAGGGGAGAGAGAGAGCATCAGGAAGAATAGCTAATGGATGCTGGGCTTAATACCTAGGTGATGGGTTGATCTGTGCAGGAAACCACCATGACACACATTGACCTGTGTAACAAACCTGCACATTCTGCACATGTACCCCAGAACTTAAAATAAAAGTTGAATAAAAACAAAGACTTGAAAGCAAAAATAAATAAATAAATAAATAAATAAATAAATAAAGTAATGTAAGGAATTAAGAACATAGTAGTCAAATTGCCTGGGTTTGCTTTTTGGTTTCATCTTTTATCAGCTGTTTGACCTTATGTGAGTACTTAGCCTTTCTGTGCCTCTGTAAAATGGGAATAAATGTCAACCACTAGGCAGGTTATGCAGGCTTTTGAGTTTTGCTGGATGGATAAATGAAATTATCTAATGATAAACATGAAATATCAGTTTCAAATAAAGAATTAATAATGCATTCAATTATGATCAGTGTAGTTAAGTGTTTCTGGGGTGATTCAGAAAGCACTTAAGCATTTTACAGTAACCAAGCATCATGCCTCTGAGAGGAAGAGGTGAGGGAGATGGATTGAATCCAACCTGGCCTGATGACATCCCCTGCAAGTGAATTTTGTGATGAACTATTAAAATTTGTTTAGCTTGCTTGCCATTTTTCTCTCTTCTAAAACAAGAGTGCCAAATGTATAAAGAAAAAAATCTATTGTTTGGATAATTTGTGTGTGGAGTTTTATTGTGTTACAAACACACCAGGTGTCACAGCATTTCCTGAGGGGTTGGATTAGATGAGCCATAAGGTTGCCTTCTATCCTCAGAGCGTGTGGTACTTTGTATCAGCATCATCAATACGTTTTCCTCCAAAGTCTCACTCATTGTGCTGCCAAGAAGCAGCCCCGTGGAGCCACTTTAGTGAAGTAAAGCTTACTCTTAGTCCTTCTGTGATCATTATAAATTCATCATTTCCAGCTGCTCCTGAATGCGTTTCTACCTTTCTTCTTTGTGCTTTACAAAGTAGCTTGGGGGGGTGGAAAGGGGAGAACTTTAGTAGGGAAGCTATTGCCAAAAACAAAATGAAAGAACCACTCTTCTTTCTTTCAAATCTGCCATCTCAGAGGATTTCTTTTATTTTATTTTTTCTGTTAAATTACATCTCCTAATTAGGTCATGCCACTGGAGGTGACCTACATTTCAGAAGCCAACAAGCAACACCAGAGAGGCAGCGAAATGGGTGGGAGAGAAAGAAGGTTGGTTTCAAAATGGCTTCAAACACAGCTTTTCTCAAATATTTCATTGTGAGAGAAGTTTTCACAAGCTGAATTTTGAAATAAGAGATACATTTGTTGGTTGAATGCAATATTCTGAAAGCTTACCTAGTGGGATATACTGTGCTTATTCATTCATTCACACATGTTCACCAGACACATGGTCTATGTATACACACACATATATATGTGTATTTGTGTGTGTATGTGTGTGTGTACATATGCAAAGAGACACAAGAAATGACCCCTGCCCTTGAGTTTGTAATCTGGTTGAGAAGTCAAGATCTTCCCAAGAAGGGTTAGGAAATGGGAGACAGTATATTATAATAGAGGTCGTACTATTTATCTATTGCTGCAGAAAAAATACTCCATAACCCTCTAGTGTCTTAAAACAACAGACATTTATTATCTTCCATAGTTTTTGTGGGTCTGGAATCCAGGAGTGGCTTAGGTGGTCGTTCTGGTTCAAGATCTCTTACAAAATTGCAGTGTCAAGACCTTAGCTAGACTTGAGTCATCTTAGCTAGGCTTAAGTCATCTGAAGGCTTGACTAGGATTGAAGAAGCCACTTTCAGGGTGGTTCACTTATATAAATGGGAGTTCATGATGGCTGTTGGCAGGAGTTCTCCATTCCTTACCAGGTGGACTTCTCCACAGGGTGTCCTGAATGTTCTAAGTGTATGTCTTCTCGAAGAGTGAATGGTCCAAGCAAGCAAGGCAGAAGCTGCAATGTCCTTTATGACTCACACTTAGAAATAATGCATCATTTTCATAATATACTATCAGTGACATGGGTGAGTCCTATCAATGTGAAAGGGGGTATACAAAAGGACTAATACCATGAGGTAGGAATAACTGGGGGCCATGTGAGAGGATGTCTACCATAGGTGTCAAGTGAAATGTTTAGAATTTAGGAGCTGTAGAAGTCAAGAAGTAAGAGAGATAACTTTGGGTAGGAGTGTTGTATTAGTTTCCTCAGGCTGTCTTAAGAAATTACCCCATCCAAGATGGATTAAAACAAATAACATTTATTTTCTCACAGTTCTGGAGGATAGAAGTCCAAAATCAAGGTGTTGCAGGGTTCCTTCTGAAGACTCTAGCAGGGAATCTTTGCTTGTGTCTTTCCTAGCTTTTGGTGGTTGCTGGCCAATCTTGGCATTCCTTGGCTTACAGACATATTACTCCCATCTCTGTGTCTGTCTTCACATGTTTCTCTTTGTGTGTCTTCACATAGCCTTCTTATAAGGACACAAGTCATTGGATTTAGTGTCCACCCTAATCCAGTATCACCTCATGTTAATTTAACTAATTACATTTACAAAGACCCTAATTTCCAAATGAGGTACCAGGAGATAAAACTCAACATATCTTTTTGGGGAGCTCAATTCAACCCAAAAGTGGTCAGGAAAAGAGGGCATGAGGAAACAGAATTGGAGCTTCAAGTAGGGTTAAGATGTGGATGGAGAAAGAATAATACTCTAGTTGATGAGATGTGATCACAAAGAAAGGAGGAGAAGAAGCAAAGGAAGTTGAGGAACCGTGAGTTCTATTCAATAAAATTAGACACAAGAGGGTGAGCCTGATTGGAGAAGAGATGTGGTAGGACTTCAGTTTGAAGTTAGGTTATGAGTATATTGTGAAAGATCTTAAAAGACATGCTAAGGAGTTTGGATTTTACTCTTCACTCAATGGTGAAGTCACTCAAGTTTCTCTCTCTCTCTCACTCCTTCTTCTCTTTCGAAAGCCCAGAACTACATTTATTTATTTTTATTGTATTAATTGAAGTATAAATCACATACAGCAAAGTACACAATTCTCCAATAAACTTTTACTTACACATACATATGCACACATACACACACAAGTAAATACCTCTGGATTAAACAACAATTCTGACACTTCAGAAGGTACGCTTTGTGTCTCTACCCTGTCAATATCACCCCCTAGAAATCACTGTTCTCACATCTATCACCATAGAGTAGCCTGCTGTTAAACTCCATATAAATGGAACATATTGTATGTACTGTTATACGTTTAGTTCTTTTTGCTCATCATGGTCCGTGAGTTATCCATATTGTTGTTTTGTGTAGCGGTAATTGGTGCATTTTAGTGCTATATAGTAACCCATTGTATGAACACATCACATTTTATTTATCCTTTCTACTGTTGATAAACACGCTTAAGACTTTTTAATGTACGAAACAGCTTGATGAAAAGAGGAACTGTTCCTGGCATGCACTGTTAGATAAATGAATGAATAATCTCCAGGTGGATTGAATTGGTAGAAAAGGGTTTCTAAAACTTTAGGGTATACAAATATCACATGGGGAGAGCCTGTTAAAAATTTAGATTCTGGAATGCCAACCTCAGCTATGGCTTCTCCAAGGGTGAGTGGTCTGGAGCCTGGGAATTCTGCACTTCTAACAAGCTCTCTTTGTGATTTTGTTGGAGGTGATCTTTGACCACCTTTTGAGAAACATTGAGAAAGAACTTGAATTTAGGAGACAGGAATTAAATAGTGTGTTAATGATTGCCTGAACTGGGATTTTGCCCTGGGAAAGGAAAGAAGGTGATGGACATGAGACGCAAAAGACAAAAAAACGACTTGAAGGCATTGTTGATAGACTGTCAGTGAGGAGTGAGGGAGAGAGATGAGTCTAAAATGACACTGAGGTGTCACACCTGGATGACTACACATTGGTGACATCATTTGGGTTCAGCACAGCTCTGTTGTCTGGGAAAATGATGTAGGCCTGTGCCAGTAATTGGATGATAATTGAGGAAGATGCACTGATGTCACTATTATTTCTGATCAGACTGCTGCCATCTTGTTGAGCTTAGTAGTTGTCAAGGTCATAAAACTACAATTCTGAGAGGTACCCCAAAGTTCCTCTAGCTTTCTTTCTGCTGCTCATCAAACCAGCCGAGGAAGGACGTTAAGGGTAACTCTGTTGCGGTGTGTTTGGGCAGACCCCAAGACCTCTTTTGATATTAGAGATAGTTCCAAGGATTTCTGTAGCTTAAAAACTCAAAGATTTAAAAATCTCGTTCAAATGCAAGTAAAACGTATCTGGTTGTTCTTTAATGATCTTGCTTTTCCCTTCAGGTATTTCTCAGAGTCACTGGTTACATGCATTCCTTCACACACAGGGAAGTGGAGAGCCCTCTACTCTTACCAGTCTTTTCTTCTCCAGGATATAGGAAGCCAGTTCCATTAGTATTTCTATATAGATCCAATTTCCCAAACCTTTAATCATTTTTTGTGCCTCTCATCTGGAAATATGTGATTACATGCTTGACTAAGAGAAGCATTTGTTTTCTTGATTCTGTGTTGGCTTTGCTGGAAGTGCTGAAGGGCTTCAATCTACAGGTGTTGTTGCTCACTTTCACGGCAGATGTGTGCCCTAAAAATGTGAATATAAATCACTCTTTTGGGGTGAAATCAAATGGCACTTTCCCCTTTGTTTAAATTTCAATCTCAGCAATGCTTTCACTTTATTTCTCATTGGCCTTCTGGGAGCTCTAACTTCTAACCTTTTACTATAAAGTATGTTCTTTCTAAACTGTCAATGGTCATAACTGTCCTTCCAACCCCCCATAATAAAATTTATCTTTATCATGATTTGGCATTGATCACTCTTTTAAAAACCAGATTTACCGAATTGGGAATTTTAAAAGTCTCTTTTTAAGTCATGGAAAGGGAAAATACCAGAGGGTCAATAATCCTGGGAGGATCCTGGGTAGCAGTTAGAGGCTCCTAATTCACAATGAAAGACAGTAAGAGACTTCACCTCTCCTTGACTCAGGAGATTCACATGCTCCACCCCACCTCTTGCAGAAAGCAGGACTCAGTCACCATGGCTGAGCTGGGCAGGGCTTACCCATGGAGATGGGAAGGGAGGGCACAGCAAGCAAGACTGGCTTTCCTGTTCAGTTACTTAAGCTTGTGAAAAGCAATAGAGAGCAATTCTTTATCCTGCTCTTCTGAGTATTTGATGAATGATGAGGGCAATTGCAGTTGGCAAAGTATTTGCAGCCCAGAGAGGTTAAATGATTAGCTGAAGATGATGTTGCAAGTAAGTGACAGGGTTAGAAGAAGAACCAAAGATTATACAGATCCAGGATTTTTTTCCCCAAGAGACGAGAGGGTCTTGATTATGGTGAATGACGTCAGGCTTGAGAAAGATGTTTGTCACTGGGGCAATATGGATCCATGCCCAGAGAAGCAGGAAAATCCTGTTTTCCCTCACAACCATCAACCTGCTTTGCATAGACTTGGAGAGAGCATTACATATCAATTTTTTCAGGAAGGTAAGGTAATTTACATAAGGCTATAAAGGGACAGCAGAGCCAGAGTGGAGAATGATGTTCTGTTCTCCCTCTTGCTCCTGCTGAATGACAGGGTATTTATCTATTGTCTTTTTTGGTTGTCAGTATTTATTTTGGTGTTTCCCTAATCTCACTTGGAGCATTGAGCTTTGTTTCCCCATTTGTGAGCTTCCCTGTATGGTTTACCGAGAAGGTTCTGGGCTTCAAGCAGAGCAATGCTCTGGGTGAGGAAGGCGGAGCCCCGTATTGCCCAAATGGAATCATGCATTAGCTTTGGTGTATTTCTTGAAGAAAGTTCAAACCAAATGAAAGCCTCCCTTCCTTAATTTTGGCAGGAGAACTGTAATATTACTTTTACAATATCCTCTCAAATCTGGGTGATGCTCGGAGGAAGTTTATAGAATTCACTCTTTCCCCACTAGGTTATTTTGCCAAAAGCTAACATAGTCTCTTCCAGGGAGTGAGGCTGTCTACACTTCTGGCAAATAGTTCATCTAATTAGAACCATGGGAAACCCCTCCGGGGAATCCCTGGCTGTGTGTGACTAGGCTATGGCTGATCTGAATAAACACACACTAGGGGATATTTGTCTTGCAGAGGCCACAGGCTTCCCCCCTGTGCTGCCTCATTTTTTTATTTTTTATTTTTGGAATGAGAAGTTTTTGTTTACTGCAATGGTCTGAGAAGATGAGGGTTTTTCTTACGATCTCGAGTCCCTATTCCTTTGACTGTCTGAAAACTTCTGGGAGCTCTGCTCCCTTGCATAGGGCATGGGGAGAGTTCAAACCCTGCATAGCACTTTAGGCTAACCATGCTTTGGGGGGGAGCTCACTATCTTAGTGATCTTTTTAAATTTTTATTTTATTTTCTTTTTTAGAGTAGCACGATCATAGTCAACTGCAGCCTCAAACTCCTGGGCTCAAGCAGTCCTCCCATCTCAGCCTCCTGAGTAGCTGGAATTCCAGACATGAGCCACTGCTGCTAGCTTATTTTTATTTTTTAAGTAGCTTCTTATTGAAGTATAGTTAACATATAGAAAGTGCATGTATCATAAGTGTATAACTAGATGAATTTTCCAAAAGTGAGACTAGACTGTGTAAGCAGTCTAAACATGAAGAAATAGAAGACATCAGGACCCCAGAAGACCCCTCGGGCCACCTCCTGTTCACTACTTCTCCCTTCAAAAGGTGACAACTATCCCGAATTCCAACATCACAGATTAATGAAAATGTTTAGAAATGAAACTATACATCATGTTTCTCGCATGTCTGGCTTCTTTTGCTCAACATTATGGTTTTGACATTCATCCATGTTGCAAGGATGGTAATAGTTCATGCCCTGTCGTTTCGCTTGGTATTCCATTGTATGTAGGTAGCACAACTTCTTTATCAATTTCACTGCGGATGGACATTTGGGTGGTTTTTTTTTCTTTGGATTTTAGCTCTCTTTTGATATGTCTCTGCCCTGTGTACACACAGTGTACACAAGCTGTCACATAAATGGGTGCCTAGGTGTGATCTTATTCTCTGCAGAGATATAGCTGCCAGAGATGATCAATTTTGGGGCTCAGGCCTGATTTCAAATATACTTATTGTTCCATGAGTGTACTTCAGCTTATCAAATGAGTTATGCCAAGTTTCAGTTTGGAGAAAATGGTTTCTGCAGATATAAGACATGTAAATATGTTTCTTACAAAAACCCGTTCTTCATATAGAACTATGTTGATTCCTTGTGACTTTCAGCTATGCATTAAGTATGTATGTTTAGAAAAAACTTAAATTACATATAAAACCAATCCAGGTTATTCATATACAATTTGAGTATGGCTTACTTTTACATGGATAACATAGGGAATGTTTTTACCCAAATTATACTTCTTACCCACTTTAGTTGGAACCACCTTGCTAAAGTATACTCTCTTTATTATACATTATTTTATAAGACTAACCATTTATTCAAAAAATAAAAGCAAAATGTTTTTGGAACAGGCATGGCTAGATATAACGTATGTGACTTGTGTTGTATGTTTATCTACCATGGGATTTTTACCTTTCATATTTTTAGCCATTAGAGGTGAAAAAATGGTTTGTCTTTCTTCTTGGTATATCTATAAACCAACATATTAAAGTCGTTTTTACTAGATTAATAACTAACTTTCTCTGACCTGGTTCAACTTCTAAAAAGTCCTCAGTTATATTATCCAGAACTCCATAAGCAACTGTGATAAATTACCCTATATGCCAATGGGAGATGAATATAACTCTTTCTAGGATAAAATGGGGCAGGCAACAAAATTACTAAGAATGCTCTCCCCTCAAACAGTACAAGTACTTTTTAATGCATTCAAAACATGTGAACAAATATTTGGAACATACTTCTGTGTATTTTTTTTAGTACAAACATTGTTTACAATAGTCACCAATGAACTACTAATGCAGTAATTAATTTACTATGCAGCTCTAGTTGGGAACATGGCTTGAAATTGTAAAAATGTCTTGTAAAGAATGATTTAATTTAACGATTTAACATCGAGTATTATCCCCTTTAAACTCAAATTTATGGAAAACCCTTCTGTGCTGTCACCACGTGCCTCACATAATAATTTAGTGAGGAGAGGAGCCACATCAGGGGAGACAAATGCTTTCACTCCAGCATGGGAAGGTAAAGGGAACCCATCTTGCTTTGTTGCTGGTCTCCCCTGATTTTCTTCAAGTAGCCCTTTTAAGGGGTTACTTGGGGGTTAGAGACTGTCACCAACCTGTCCCCCCACTACACCTAGTAGAAACAGAGAATGTGATGGGAGAAATGCAGGCACATGTGGCATTTACCTTCCTTCCCAGGGATAGGGCCCAGACAGCATCGAGGGTAAAGGTTACTTTTGAGTGTGTGTTTTTATTGGTGTCCATGACCAGCTCTTGTGCTAAATATTCAGGCAGAAAAATCCCGATGACTTCCATTTTCTTGGACTAGCTAAATAACTGGCCACATGTAGCCTGAGTTCCCTCCACTGCTGATCATGACCTTGGATAAGTCACGTAGCTGATCTAAATCTGGAAAGGGGGATGACCACATCTCCCTCATTGCCTTGTGAAGCTCAAACAAAAATAATAGCATTGGAAAGCTCTTTATGAGTAAAGCACTCTCATATTTACTATGGTTGAGGGAAAAATAGATTTTTTTCCCCCCAGTCTGAATTGTGCCAACCCTTCTGGCTCACTCACTGCAGGTCCTGCATTCAGTTTGTGGAGTGTGGATTTTGCCTGTTTGTATTCTGATATTCTGCCTGTTTTGGAATGGAAGCTTTCTTTTGTGCAATGATTGTGGTTTTCTGTGAATTATACAGAGTTCTGATCCAAGCATAGTAGAAAAGCTTCATGTGTTTTAAAAAATAAACAATAACAAAAAATTACTATTTTAATGAGCCAACACATGGTCTTTATGTGCCAACCATGGACTGAGCTTTGTAAGATTTCTTTTTTTTTCCTTAGAATCAACAGCAACATAAGAGATATACTTAATGATTTTGCTTCTATAAACTGTAACAGGAAATTCTCCTGGCCTCCAGCCAAAGGATGTACATAGTTAGGTGCAAATTAAGATTAAAATGGTTAGTCTGTGTCTGATCCCATTCCGGTTCTTCCCCCTGGCTGCAAATAGACACAAGGAGAAGGAGTTGTCCCAGTGTTTTTTTCCCCAGGGTCTCCATGTGATCTGTGTGATTCCAGCTGATTCTCGCTGGATGACTTGCCCAGCAATGCAGCAATGCTTAGAGATTTCTCACCGGGCCAGAAGAATCTACATGCACCTGGAAGCACATGCTTTCAGCTTGGGCATAACTGATTGGCTCCAGAATGTGTCTGTGGTTTGCTGGTCACCCTTGAGTCCCAGCAAGAGCAGGGTGCCTCATACATCATAAAAGGCTACATGGTGCGTCTTCCAGGAGGGTGGGCAAACTGCTTAACTACTCAATTTGCTCATTTTTAAAATGGGGTTATAATATTACCCATCTTGGTGGGTTGTTTGGAGCATTCAGTGAGATAATGCTTACAAAGCAATTAGTGCAGGGCCTGGCTAAGGTTAGCTTTTAAAATTGTTGTGTGTCTCCCATCTCCACCTGTGAAGGAGGCTGTACCTCAGTTTCAATGCCTGGTCAAGTAGTACAAGGCTCTTTCCCAAAGCTGCAGAGGCTGGATCCCATTGGGGAGCTACAATAGAGAGACAAGCACCCCACAAAGATTGCAGGATTCCTGCCCTTCTCTTATTTCTGCTCTTCCAGCCTTATCTCTCATCTCCATTAGCAAATTTACTTTCTAAAGCCAGTAGCCCTACCCTTTAAAGGGATTACTTGGTGAATAGTTTAAGAACAAACAATGACAAGTATAATCATTATAGCAATAACTCTTGGTTGGCCTGGATTGGTTTCTTCCTTGCACACATGACAAGGGAGACAGAGTGAAAGAGAAAGGGCAAATTTTTGCATTAGCTTTCCCTGTGAGGGGAGTTAGGGACCCTTTCCCAGTTGAAAAGAGCAATGCTGCTTGGTCCTGGGTGAGACACAATGTGACAGTAACATGCCCCCAAATTCATAAACGCTGGAGGGAGTTGACAGCTGGTATTTTTAAAGGAGCTGATTTGGTGGCTAATTTTATTTATCTTGCTTCCTTTGCCAAGCTCAGCTGCTTCTTTGCCCTGTGCCATTAAGTCCCAGGAGGTCCATAGGCAGCAATTTACAAATCTATTCCTTTCCGTGGCGAAGGTTCTTTTTACCGCCATGGGTTTTTCATACAGAAAATAGAAAATCTAGAAGCCATATAACCAGAGTGATCTTTAATGTTTCATCAAAAGCTGTCCTATATGGGTATTTATTTATATTTAGCCCAGAGTGAAAGGTCCCAGGAGGCTGCAGCCTGAGCAGATTTGGTTCAATATCTGCAAAGGAATTTAAATCAGCTTACCAATAAAGAAATCTTCCTACAAGAGGAAAAAAAAAAGTGGAACTTGAGTCTGATTGACCTTGAGACAAAGACAGCCTGGAAACCATTCAGTAGTCAATAACAGAGCCATGCAGCCTGTAGACATATCTTTGTGAGTGTGCTTATGTGTAAATCGGGCCAGAGGTGCAGGTAGGGAAGCAACATCTTCATACAGTCTCCATGGTTGCATTAGACTGAAAAAAAAGGAATTGATATTTCGTTATAAAGCTGAATGTTAAAAATTAGCATTCCTAAAATTTCTGACAATCTGGCTTAAATAAAATAATAACAGATGTATGTGAAAGTGATATTGCTAGAGAGTAACAGTTGTATAATGGATATCCTGCTGTACAACATTTATGAATAATGCATCATTATCTATTATCTTTAAATCTATCCAGGATTAATAGCTTTGCAGATTATTTAGCCTCCAAGATATAAGGGATAAAATCAATACATATATGTTTTGATAATCGATGACAATCAATTCATTAAAAATAAACACCTAGCCAGCCTCAGTTAAATGCTCAGGAGGTGTCCTTATTCTCTAATTGTATTGGTTTATTTGCCATGCTAGCAATTTGGGATGATATCTTTATAATCCATGTCAATGTTGAAAAAAAAGAGAGAGAATGTTCTCCAGATCCAAGCAAGAAACAAACAAACAAACAAACAACCCAAGACATCTTCTCCAGGAGTTTCAACCTAAAAAAACCAGAGCTTTCTATTGCCCTTGGGGTTTTGCTGCTGCATCTCCTGACACCAGGGGCTGGACAATGATTGGTTTCCTTTGATAAAAAGTTCTTCAGGAAAATAACAGCTTAGTCAGAGGAGGCCACCAGGCTGTGTGCCCCAGCAGTGCAGCCTTGGGCAGGGTTGAAGAGGGGAAAGAGGAAGAAAAGCCACTGCCTCTGCAGCACCCACAGTGGGGAAGCAGTGGGCCTGGAAAAGGCGACAAATTGCTCATGTTACATTTAGAATGATCACTATTCTTCCCCATTTTGACATGGATGTCACTGTAGAAAGGGATTTTAGCTTAGATTACTGATAGTTGTGGGAGTGAGGAGAGATTCCCCCACCCCCAAATTCTGTAGTAGAATTTTTATTCTTGAGTTCATCTTCTCAAGGTGACACTAGACCCTAATTTCAGACAGTTGCTATATCTTTCCTCTCCCTCCACCTTTCTCTCCCTTTCACTTTCTTTTTCTCTATAATGCTGAGCTTTTGGCAAAGATACCAAACAGACAATCCATTTGCAGCCAAAAGTTTATGTGTATGTTGATTGTTTCTGATGAGTGGATGGAAACCTCAGCTTCTCAGTGCCCTTGAGCAAAAAGGGCTGAACAAGTTGTGTGTTTCCACATCACATGTCATCTCAATAGCTAATTCTTAGGTTGCAGAATATTGTTATAATATGAAATTCTGGGGTTGTAGTTCAATTCACTCTCCTTAGTAAGCTACTGCACACACAGATCTGATTGTGTCACAGCTTTTTGTTTAAACCAATAGCTGGTTTCACAG
The DNA here is from genome assembly GCF_000001405.40 of Homo sapiens. Taxonomy (NCBI): domain Eukaryota; kingdom Metazoa; phylum Chordata; class Mammalia; order Primates; family Hominidae; genus Homo; species Homo sapiens. The sequence continues at coordinate 207,282,888 of NC_000002.12, read as the reverse complement.
GGGTTAGAAGCTGTGTTTGAGAAATGTGTTTTCCATCGATTAAAATTTCTTAAAGGACACACCACAATTGAATGACAGGCTATTTTAAAATTATTTACAAGCTCGACATTTTACTCAAAGCAAATTGTCAACTAAATCTAGTTATCATTTTATCTGCTGGACCTATTCCCCCTGAGCATACCAACCATGAAAAAGATTATCTCCTCAATTTATTGCTTTAGCAATTCAGTAGACATCTTCTTGGCACCCCCCTCCTAGTACTAAATGATGATAGAAAGGCATTGATGAGTTTTGGGGGCATTTGTTTCCAGAATTTCCCCAAACACAATTTTTCAATTGCATTATGAATGAAGGCCATGATATGAGAGCTTTTTCTGGATCTAATTTCCACTATAATCACTCTCCTATGGAAAAACCAGAGATTATTTTTCCACTTGCATTTTCCCCATGCTACTAATAATATAAATTGACGCAATTTCTTTTGGTACCTCTCTAACCATGTACATATTGCTATTGTATTGTCATGAATGCAGTTCCAAGCTCTTTTCCATGTCACTGCTTATACACGTCAATTCCCTCTGTCATGGGGACATTCTTCCCATTGACCTTTGCTTGGCTCTGTCCTCATTATCACCCAGATCTTAGTCCAAGTAACAACTCCTCTGGGGGCTTCCTGGACCACCTTATCCTATGTTACTTACTTCCCCCAATACCGTTCCAGTAGTTATCTATTACATGTTACCTACTTTATGTCACTTACTACCATCTAAAATACTCTTACTTATTAACCCTACAAGATTCTGGTTTGTTTTTCTCAGCCAAAGGTAAGCTCCATGAAAGAATCTCATTTTTTGGTTTACTACTCTTTCCCAGTGCCTATCATGGTGCCTGGGATATAATAGACAATAAATATTTGCCACACAAGTGAATGAACAGGTACAAAATTGCAATCAGAAAACCTAGCTACATTTCTATCTGTATTTTTGGTTTTCTGCATGACGCTAGACTTTCTATTTAACCCAGTTGATTTTCTACAAACCCATAAAATTCTAGATTTCGGGACCAAAAGATATCTGTAAGGTTAGATAGTCATTCTGTTGATGAGGAACTGGAACACAGAGAGGTCGAATCACCCAATGAGTGGTAAACGTGAGTTTTAATTCCAGCCCTCCAGTTTTCTTAGAACAGTGGTTTTCAACTGGGCAATTTCCTCCCTCCTCCTCCCCCTGAACACCAGGGACATTTGACAATGTTTAGAGACATTTTTGGATGTCACAACTTGGGGAAAGGGTGTGTGTTACTGGCTTCTAGTGAGTAAGAGTCAGAGCTGCTGCAAAACATCTTATAGTGCATGGGACAATGCCCCACAACGAAGAATTACCCAGCCAAAAATGCCAGTAGTGCCAAGGTTTAGAAAGCGTGACTTCGATCTATAAACAGCAATAATGAGACTTCTCCCTTCTGTTTGAGAATCAATGAGAAAAGGTCCATAAAACTTGGGTTTTTCAGGATTTTGTAGTACAGAATTGTTGATTGGCATTTTTTGCAACAAAAAAATTTTAATTCTTAAAATAAAAGTGCTTTATTATTTGTTGATTATAGAAGTAATATATGCTTGTTGTAAAGGAATTCAGGTCAAAAGAAATATATTAAAAAGGAAGAGGAAATCATTCATAATCCTACCCCTTGGACATAAACATATGAGCATGTTGGTGTGTATTTTTCAAGACTTTTTTTTATAAATACATACATACACCTACATAAATTTTGACAAAACTAGAATACCGAATTTATATATACTCTTGTAATGTGCTTTGTCCTCTTAACAATATTTTATTGACACATTATAACTCTATAAATAAAAAGCTAATTATAATTTCTAATGGTTTTGTATTATTCTGATGTATGGTTGATGTGAAATATGTTTTACCATTCACCTATTGATGAGTATTTGTGTTGTTTCTGATATTTTAATATTATAAAAAACAGGTCAGTGAATATCCTTGTTTATTCATTCTTGTTCATTCTCAATTCCTTCCTTAGGATAAATGACTGAGTGGGATTGCTGGGGCAAAGGACATGTGATACATGTTGTCAAGTGTATGCCCAATTACTAATTGGAACCAAATAATTAGAAATCTCAGTGTGCTGGAATTCTCTGTCACCCCACTTTCTGATGAGAAATGCAATTTGTAAAGCAAAATATAGTGAGGCATGGTTTTTTTTCTTTATGCCCTAGTATTAGAACAAATGTATTCTCACCTCCTCCACTCATTTAAATTTGATTCAAGAAAAAATTATTAAGGAGGAAGGAAAGAACATTCACCAAGTCCTACTGTGTGTTATTCACTATATGTTAGGAATTTGTATTCTTCCAACAACCTGAGGGGTAGGCTGTCTCTTCCTGTTCTTAGGTGGGGAAACTGAGAATTAGACACTCTCACTGAATATCACAAACATGACACCTGGTAGAATCAGAATTTGAATGTGGTTCTTGCCTTTAAGAAGTTTAGAGTCTACTGTAAGGCAAAATGTGCCAGGGACACTTGCCATATTAATGTCAGGTATGATGAGATTGATGTTCAAATTATGACCCTCAGGATTTTAAGATTTTAAACCTGTGAAGAAATAGTCAGTGAGGTTCAGGATATTGTACTTACCAAAGCAGGAAAGTTGATTAATGTATATTTGAAAGTACTTTCAATAACTAAGATTGAAAAATGCAGAGATGTCTGATCTCTCTCTAGTAATCAAAAAATTTAATCAGTTAATTGAGTTTGTACTTGATACATTCCTTTTTTCAAAAGACCCCAGGATATTTGCCTATCATCAGCATGTAAGATATATGGCTCCAGTCAATAACTATGGCATAAATACAATTTCTTTTAGAAAGCTGAGAAGCCAAGAATATTAGAGAGCTCTCTTGTCTACTCATTTTCTTATGTCCTTTTATTCCCCCTCATTAGAATTCTTAAGTCTTCTCAAGCCTGTGTACTCTGGTTAAGCTATGTTAGGGTCTCCAAAAGGTGTAAAAATGGGCAGGGCCCAGGCAAAGAGAGATCAGACAGCTTGTTTCAGAATGAGATTTGCAAGATGGGAGAAAACCCATGGGGTGGAAATATCTTTCCATTGGCCTCTGTGGTTTGAAATGCTCTTCAGCACTCCACTTCTGAGTAATTCATTAAGAAAACACTCAAAGATGTACAAGTGTATTTATTGCTGTATTGTTTTAGATAGTGAACAATCAGAAACAGAGTAAATGATCATCACTAAGAGATAAACTATGATACATACATACTGTGGAATAATACGCAGCTGTTAAAAGAATCTATTGTGGGTAGGTGTTTTTTGTTATGTATATGTATCGTGAATATTTTTTGTAGCTTGCCTTTTCACTCTCTCTCTCTTTTTGAGATGGAGTCTTGCTCTGTCGCCAGGCTGGAGTGCAGTGGCACAATCTCGGCTCACCGCAACCTCCACCTCCTGGGTTCAAGCAATTCTCCTGCCTCAGTTTCCCAAGTAGCTGGGATTACAGGCACGTACTACCACACCTGGCTAATTTTGTATTTTTAGTAGAGATGGGGTTTTTCCATGTTGGCCAGGCTGGTCTTGAACTCCCCACCTCAGGTGATCCGCCCACCTCGGCTTCCCAAAGTGCTGGGATTACGGGTATGAGCAACCATGCCCAGCCCAATACCACCTATCTTTATGAACATATATACAAATGCATATGTATCTCTGGAAAGGATATCAGGTGTTACCATATGTTGGCTTTCTAAAATTGAAGACATTTAACTTGACTCTATTATCACAATTCTGTTGGCATCAGTTTGGCAGTCGAATTGGAGATCAGATCATTAGGTGGATTAAAGTTTACTCAGAGGGTCTCAGCAAAAGGGGCAATCAGGTGCTCCTGTTTTTCTAACACTTAAATAGAGCTGTTGACCAAGAGTTGAAAGGTCTTTGAGTACCAGTTGACCATGAATAATCCCAAACCCTGTGCAAACTGCCTTAACACTAGCTGTCAACTTTAAGAAAAAATATCACTCAAAAGCAAGTATTCAAAAGGGCACCTATTAAGAGAACCAACCATATTCCAAAAAATTTTACAAATAAGTAGAGAAAAGTTGGCTGGGCACAGTGGCTCACACCTGTAATCCCGGCACTTTGGGAGACTGAGGTGGGCGGATCACATGAGGCCAGCCTGGCCAACGTGGCGAAACCCCATCTCTACTAAAAATACAAAATTTAGCTGGGTGTGAGGGCACACGTCTGTAATCCCAGATACTCAGGAGGCTGAGGCAGGAGAAGTGCTTGAACCTGGGAAGTGGAGGTTGCAGTGAACGGAGATCATGCCACTGCACTCCAGCCTGGGCAACAGAGTGAGACTCTGCTTTAAAAAAAAAAAAAAAGTAAAATTAATCATTTTATTTTTCAGGTAGCTTGAGACTAGACAATAAATATGAGGGCCAACATGTATATTTGAGAACTGCCTAAATCTCTGCTGTTTCCTCTATCGATAAGATATAGGAAATGAAGCCACAGAAGTCAGAACAATGAATTGTCCTACTGAAATCTCCTGGGAATCACAGGGAAAGCCATTGTGGGATCTCCTTGCAGTTATATGGGCTCTATAATTAAGTTTTGGGGAATCTGGGGGCTGAATTTAGCAGCAGAGGAGAGAAGGGATCCAGGAACATTAGGAGGAGTCCTTTAATATTGGGGTGGAGGGAAATCAAAGGGACTTTAGCACATCTGTAATTTCATTTGTTTGATTTCTGGAAGAGAGTGTAGCTAGTGGTGCTACGTGTATAATAAAAATTAAAGCCCTCCATTAGTGTAAAGGCCAGAGTTGATTCCCTAACCTTGGATGGTAGAGGCCCTCTTTTTAAATGTTTGCATTGTACTAGAGTAAGGGTAATCTTGTGTTATTATGGAACCAGAGAACCGTGAAAGGTGGAAGGGCCTTAGAGCTCATGATTTTAGTGGCTCTCAGTGCAGGATGTCTATAAGATTCACCTGAAGGACTTTTATAATGTTGAAACTGAATCAGTGGGGTGAGACTCAGACATATGTGTTTTTCAAATGCCCCCAGTGGATTCTCATGCCTGGTGTGGGGTGAGAACCACTGATCTATTCGGTCCATTGATTTTCATCCCTCTAAGGCTCCATGGCCTACCTCAGACGCTTCAATAGAACTGTGCCACTTTATTCTGCTGTACGGCCTTATTTGAAGAAATAGTTCTATTTCTAAAGGCTAAACTCTGGGAACCCCTGATTTAGTCTAATGAGCTTCCAGCCATTCCTCTTTCTTCACCTGGATGTATTGGTCAGATTGGTCATTTGGCGGTAATCCCATAGAGACTGAAATGTGAAACAGCTGTCTCAGATTGTCTCTTCAGAGCAGATGCTGAGCCCGAGTTTCCAAAGCGAGAGGCTCATCAGATCAACACCTGAGAAGGGAAGAAAACAAAACCAGGATTGGGGAAGGGAGAAAGCTGACCTGTGATACGAGCCTGAAAAGGCCTTGGCCAAGCTGGTCGGGAATGCCAGATTGAATATTGCCCATCCACCTGGTTTCCCTGTGGGCATCTCCCTCAGTCAAGGTTGTGGGCTATCCCGGGAAGAGTGTGACCTCAGGTGGAGAATGTCTCTCTGCAGCCAGGACATGGCCTGAAATAGCTGAAGGCAAGAGTGTGACCTCAGGTGGAGAATGTCTCTGCAGCCAGGGCAGGGCCTGAAATAGCTGAAGGCTGGAGGAGGTCCACTACCTGCACTCCCACATCAAGTCATTCCTTGAAAAGGAAGCTGGGCGCAGCTCTGGGGTCTATATTGCAGGTATGCCGATTTGGGAAGGGGGAATGTAGGGAATGCCTGTGAACTGGTAATCCACAATTCAGAAAGAGAAAGGGGTTCAGGGAGGCAGGAGGGAGGGAATTTTAAGCATCAGGTGGGGTTAGATAACTTCCCAGAGGATACTATTATGTCTTGACTTTTGTCTGTTACCTCTGTCTCACGCCATGGACTAACTTTAGTACAAAGGAACTTTAATTGTTGCAAATCAGATTCAGCATGCATTTATTGAGCGCCTAGTATATGCCACCTGTGCTAGATATTTTGATGTATGGTCCTACATGCCTATACTCTCATCTTAATTAGTTTGTAATGAAAATTACCCTTTGCATGATTTTCTTTTGATTTTTCAACTTGCTTGTTTGTTTAAAAACTAAATGTAGAGGACATCATTTTCTGAACTGAAAACAGTGGAATCCCTAGAATCTTGTTACTAATATGGCAAATAAGTTCTCATTGTGTTTAAAAGATTCATTGTTATCATCACTTTAATTATACTTGTAAAATAAATCTTTATGAGCAGGAATGCCTTTAGCTATGTTCTTAATTTTAAGAGACAGTGCACAGCCCTTTTATGGTGGTTGAGTAGATTAGATCTAGAGCAGTGAACTAATACTGAGTTAACTATCACAAGATTGGTTGTTTATATCAACATTCTACAACAAACATAGAACAAGTCAACACAGGCTGTTTTCTACTAAAACTCACAAGGTTCAGTAACAAATTCCTGTAATGCACTTTAAAATATTTCATTTTCCATAAAGAACACTTATAGTTTCAAGGTTATAAGACAAAAGTTCTTAGAACGATTAAAATACACTTTTAATGTCATAAGAAATCTCTTACCCATAAGAAGCAGGCTTAGAAGCTCAACTTTAAGATATAAACAAGGGATTAATTCAACTTAGATATTGTTAACTGGTATGTAAATATTCAGTAATAATTTTCTTAACTATCTATTAAGGAAATTTCTAACAGAAAGATTTGTCTAGTCAAACAACCAGTGTTGACTGTCTCCCGAGAGTTCAAAGTTTCTCATTAATCTGCTCACTGAAGCTTGTAACTCCTGGCTTCAGTTATAATTTCAAGCCAGAGGTATGTTAAAAGAATATGGAACCTATTAAATTCTGTGGTCAGGTTAACCAGACTTTAGGTTTGAACAAGTTATCTGTATTCTCATTTTGGCCCAAACGTGGACATCTAGAACTGGCCCTCTGGCAGTTACCCTAGGCAGGGGCAGTTCCTAGCAAAAGATTGTGCGTGGGCTTGCACCCCCAAAGCCGACCGGCACTATGTGTTTCTGATCAGCCCGTGTAAAGTGAGGGTCAGGAACAGAGCTGTACAGAGGGTGGCTCCCTGTCTTTGAAGGAGCTACGCTGGACCACTCTACTCCTGTAGCTTCCGAATTATACACAGTGGAAGGAAGGGAGACTTGGGCATCAGGGATACTATCTTTTGCTCGTGAATGAAGGCCAGCAAAGGGAGGCAGGTGGAGACAAGATCACAGTGTGACTTTCGTGGGTCCTACACACTGTGGCTGCTGTTGCCAATGGCTACATTGGCCATGCATGGAGATGCTGTTCAGATGCAGTCTCAAAGGTTCTGAGTTCCAAGTCTCCAGTTGTACAAATTCAAAATAACAGGGGCAGTGCCAACTACTCTAGTTGACAGTGAATCTGGCCCCTTCAGTTTCTGCTGGGAGAAAAAAACAAACAAACAGCTAAGAGATCATCATCAGGGACATAGGTGAAGAGTTACATCTGGTGGAGTAGTCCATCATCAGAGTAGCTGTTTGAAAATATTATTTTCATAATTAAGGGGGGATGGGAGTGGATAGGTTCAAGGGATCCAGCATTTTGGAGAACCTACTACATTAGGCAACTGGAAGACCCCAGAGATGCAGAGCCCCTTCTTAAGGGGCTGAAATTGGTGCTCCCCCACCACTCACTTCCCTCTATCAAAATCTCTTCAGGGTAAGGCCCTCAAGTTCTCCACTTCCCATTCACATCCTATCACTAAAATACCCTGCGGCTGGCCCTTTAACATCTGTTGCGACACTATGGCCGAATATACAAAATACAACATGAGAAGCCTCCTTAGGACCGTGTGGAATCTATTTAATTTGAGATGGTTTGTCTGTGGGAGGAATAAAAACACAACAAGCCCTAGAAAATAACTACTTCATCACATCTTATAATTTACTCCACTAGGAGGTTGGAAGTATGCCTCCAAATTGCCCTAGTACAATTTTTGTGGATTTGGTGGCTCATACTAGTAAAACTAAAGTCAGTGGAAAATTTCCACATGTGAGAATTATAGTATTAAATCCTTTAAAACAACAACATGTGCACACACAGCCCCCAACATTTCTGTGTCTGGAAATCCTGATCATGACTCTGAAAAGCAGGAAGTCAGGATCTATTGCATCAATTGTGTTGGAAAGCACTTATGCGGTGTGTTTTTTTAATACTAAAAAATTGTTTGGTTAGACTTAACATGCTTAGTCTCATTTCCTGAGAGGATTTCTTCTTAATTGCTGCTGTGAAAAAGTTCTGCTTTACACCATTCACAATAGCAAAGACATGAAATCAACCCAGGTACCTATCAATGGTGGATTGGTTACTCAAACAGATTTACAAGAAAAAAACAAACAACCCCATCAAAAAGTGGGCGAAGGACATGAACAGACACTTCTCAAAAGAAGACATTTATGCAGCCAAAAAACACATGAAAAAATGCTCATCATCACTGGCCATCAGAGAAATGCAAATCAAAACCACAATGAGATACCATCTCACACCAGTTAGAATGGCAATCATTAAAAAGTCAGGAAACAACAGGTGCTAGAGAGGATGTGGAGAAATAGGAACACTTTGACACTGTTGGTGGGACTGTAAACTAGTTCAACCATTGTGGAAGTCAGTGTGGCGATTCCTCAGGGATCTAGAACTAGAAATACCATTTGACCCAGCCATCCTATTACTGGGTATATACCCAAAGGACTATAAATCATGCTGCTATAAAGACACATGCACACGTATGTTTATTGCGGCATTATTCACAATAGCAAAGACTTGGAACCAACCCAAATGTCCAACAATGATAGACTGGATTAAGAAAATGTGGCATATATACACCATGGAATACTATGCAGCCATAAAAAATGATGAGTTCATGTCCTTTGTAGGGACATGGATGAAATTGGAAATCATCATTCTCAGTAAACTATCGCAAGAACAAAAAACCAAACACTGCATATTCTCACTCATAGGTGGGAATTGAACAATGAGATCACATGGACACAGGAAGGGGAATATCACACTCTGGGGACTGTGGTGGGGTGGGGGGAGGGGGGAGGGATAGCATTGGGAGATATACCTAATGCTAGATGACGAGTTAGTGGGTGCAGCGCACCAGCATGGCACATGTATACATATGTAACTAACCTGCACAATGTGCACATGTACCCTAAAACTTAAAGTATAATTAAAAAAAAAGAAAATAAAAAAAAAAAAGAAAATGTGGTACATATACCATGGAATACTATGCATCCATGAAAAAGAATGGAATCATGTTTTTGCAGCAACATGGGTGCTGCTGGAGGCCATTGTCCTAAGCAAATTAAAGCAGAAGCAGAAAGCCAAATACTGCATATTCTCACTTATAAGTGGGAGATAAACATTGGATACAGAGGGACACAAAGATGGGAAAAACAGAGGGACATAAATATGGGAGATTCGGAAGGAGGGAGGGAGGAGGGAAAGGACTGAAAAACTACCCATTGGGTACTATGTTTGCTACTTGGGCAGTGGGATCATTAGAAGCCCAAACCTCAGCATCATGCAATATACCCATGTAACAAATCTGCACATGTACCCCTGGGTCTAAAGTAAAAAAGTAAAAGTCCTGCTTTAAATCATAAAGTAATATATAGGGGTTGATGGATTGGATTTTTTTTTAAGTTAGGTAAACAGTGTAGATAGAATGTGGTAGAAAACCTATTGCTGGTTTTCATAAAACAGTTAATGGGAAAGAATCAATCAATCTTTCTCTCTCTTTTTTTGTTCCTTCTTCTCTCTCCCTTATTCCTTTCTTTGTTGCTTAAACAATCCTAGCTAAGACTATGAGTTTGCAAGAGCCACTGCCTTTAGATTTTCTATTTATTCTTGCTCTCAGATGGCAACTGTATAAATCTTGTTCTGACCTAAAATATCTTGAAATCTGGGAACAGGGACTGGGTTGAAAACTAGAAAGGTGCTAATTTTCACTGACCCTGGTGTTCTGATCATCTCAGCGCTACCACACATGGGCTAACGCCTTCCCTTAACAGTTCCTCTGGCTTGGAATTGCTTTCCTTACTCAGACCTGCTCTTATCATGTAGGCCATTTTCTTCCTTCAAAATCTACAGTTTCTATGCTATAGGAACCAAAGTGCAGATAGAAAGAGGTAAAAATGGAGAATCATAGGTTAGAGCTTGGGCTGGCCTTTGGGAAAGGGGTGATGAGTCAGTGGAGGGCTTAGGAACAGAGTTACCATCAATCCAAACCACAGTGGTATGGGGGAGGATAGGGGAGAGACTGGTGGTGCTGGAAGAATCCCAGTTCAAACTGGGCCGACCAGTTCATGGAGGTTCCTTAGCAGAAGATGCCATGCAGCAATGTCAGTAGATACCAGGGGTGCTTGACAGGAGTCTCTTCATGTGAACCCTACACCCAAACCATCTGCAAATCCTATTGGCTCTACTGCCCAAATGTATTTAAAAGCTGATATCCTCACCACCTCTGCCACAAACACCTGGGCCAAGCCACCATCCTCTGTTACTTGAATTATTACCTACCTGGCTTCCTTGCTTCTGCTTGGGCCTCCCCCACTTCTCAGTATCTCAATCCAGCAGCCAGAGCAATCCTATCAAGACTTAATGGCTGAAGGTAAAAGCTCACATCCTTCCTAGGGCCTCCAGGGTCCTACACGGGTCTGTCCTTCCCCTCTTCCCTCTTCATCATGTCCTCCTCCTCCGTCACTCCCTTGGTCCTGATGTGATGGTCCACCGACTGCTTTCCCCATCATCCCAGGCACACTCCCACCTCAGAACCTTGCTCCTCCCTCTGGCTGGAGCACCTTCCCTCCAGGTAGCTGCATGGGCCTCTCTGCCAATTCCTTCAGATCTCTGCTCAAAGGTCTCCTTCCTGTGGAATCTTCCCCAGCCACACCTTTAAACCTTGCGCTCTCAGCTTCACCCTACTCTATCCCTCTCTCCTGCCTTTTGTGCATAGTGCTTACTACTGAGGTACTTACTTTGTTTGTTGGTTTATTTTCTGTCTGTACTCAGCAGAAGCTGAAGCACATTTGCTTTCTAATGTATCCTCGGAGGGTAGAACAGTGCCTGGCATATAGTAAGCACTTAATATTTCTTGAATAAATAAGTGAATAAATCGGTAAATTAAACAGGCCCCTAGTAATGACAAGGGGAATAGAATGGAGCTCAGAATGTTCACCAAGAGTCAATGGGACAGTCAGGGTCCTGATTTCTGGAGCTGAGGCTGTGCTGTTAGGAAAGCAAAGGCAGATACAGTATTGTCTATATTTATCTGGTGCTCATAGTGGAGCCATCAGGCACAGGGTGCTACCAGTTTGTCAGAGAATGGTCAATGCCTATGGTCAAATAGGTTCAACCTGGCCAGAGGCTGCCACTTTAGGACCCAAGCCTTCTGTGAACCTCTGTAACAACCACTGTATTATTCATTCATTCACCCATCCATCTGTCCATCCATCAATACATCCACCCATTCATTCAATCTTATAACAGTTATTTACCCAATGTCTTTTCAAACCCAGGTTTTCACTGCTTGGATTTTCTGAACATCATTCCTACCACATTCTATGTCCTTGTGAGCAGGAACTCCTATGTCTTCAAATTCTCTCATACCTTAACATGTCTTAAATGAATGAACCTTGGACAAGAGATTTCACTTGATTGTGCCTTATTTTGTTTCTTTATAGTCAAAGCAAAAGAACAATGAAAATGGATAAATTAATAGATCAAAAGTCTCAGAATTTTAAAGTTAGAATTCAAATCTCCAACTAGTGCTGAATACTCTCGCAGTGCTTCCCGTATGTCTCTGCTAACCTCTCATGATCAATTCCTTTTGTTTAGAGCCTTGATAAATCCCAGGCTGACCCTAACACTGGAAAAGGGGCTTCATTCCTATTTATTCCATTAACTGCTAGGTTATTTTAGTCCATTCATCTCACTGACTTTATTTCTCTTTCTTGTTCCATGTTCTTCTTGAGTTTAAATAACTGTAGCCATTTCACATAATAAGGTTTTTAAAATGGGTATGTTGGTGCTCCTCCAAGCAGATTTTAATTCTTGACTGCCTGTCTTAGTCAGCTTGGGCTGCTATAAGAAAATATCAGACTGGGTGGCTTAAACAACAGAAGCCCAAGTTCGGGGTGCCAGCATGGTAAGTTCTTGATGATGATTGTCTTCCTGATTTGCAGATGGCAGTCTTCTTCCTGTGTGCTCATATGGCCTTTCCTCAGTGTGTGGGCTGAGAAAAAGAGAGGGGGAGAGAGAGAAAGAGGGAGAGAGAGAAAGAGAGAGAGAGATTTCTTCATCGTCTTACAAGGCCACTAATCCTGTTGGATTAGACTCCGCCTTTACAACCTCATTTAACCTTAATTACCTTCTAAATACCTTATCTCCAAATACAGTCACATAGGGCTTCCACATATGAATTTTGGTAGGCACTATTCATTCCATAACACTGCCCTATTTTAAGATGCCCATTATACACAGTAGCAAGTATTGATGGGGTTAATTTCATTGCAACTTTAATTTGATCGTAACTCCGTGCTGTGTTTATGCCCAATCTTTATATTTTCTTCCTCACTTAGCATGCATTTCAAGTCACCACTTAAACCCACTTCAGGAAGAGTGATTTATAGATTAGTCCTACTTTTGCCCCAGTTGTCAAGTTTTTACTTTACTCAAAATCTGGTTTCTTTTATTTTTGTTGAAAAGCAGGTCAGTATAGAATCTGCTGTCCCTATTAAACATTTTGTACACATTGTCCGGCTCTGTCTTCTTGATCTTATCTACAGTTGCACAGATACAAGCGCAAGATTGCTCTTGCTCTCTGTCTCTCTCTCTTTCCCCTCACGTAGCTGCTTTCTTCTAATCATTTAGGTTTCTGTTTAGAAGCTGCAGAGAAGTCTTGACCAAACACTATCTATGGAAGTCAGTCATCTCACATCACCTGTTTTTTTCTGACACCTAAGACTGCTGCTGTTTTGCAGATGGAGAAACCGAGGCTAGAGAACATATGGAATTTGTTCATGGTTATTCAATTTCTGTGTAAAAAAGAGAAGGCCTGAGAGGTGGGATGGGGCTCAAAGGAGTCTGGAGGTAAACTGGCCATCCCTTACAGAAAGCAAGACAGTGTGTCATTAGGCTTTTCTCTTTTCAAGGTATTTTCAAAGTTGTCCTCTCTCCCTTCTTTTCTGTCTTGACCTCCTTGACAAAATCTGTCTGGCAGAGTGATAGGATAAGTATGTGGAGGGTGGTGGGGCATTTGGCCAGGTGTAGGTTGCCAGATTTAGCAAATAAAAATGCAGAAGCACAGCTAAAATTTGAATTTCAGATAAACAAATTTTTCTTAGAATAAGTATGTCTCCATGCAACATTTGGGACATACTTATGCTAAAATATTATTTGTGTTTCATCTGAAATTCAAATTCAACTGGACATCCTGTATTTTCTCAGGCACCTTTAGCCAGATAGCTATACCACAGCATGTGTCCTCTGGGTAAAGGTTACAAGCCTCGCGTGATAGTGAGTATGCTTAAAAAAGAAAACAAACAATAAAGTCACATTGAACTTCATTGTTTTATTTACTTTAGTGACTTTTGACATTCTTTGACAATAAAAACAGCACCATAAATATACCAAATTAAATATGTATTCTACTTTGGAAATTCTGACCTACACTAATCTTTATCAGCCCAGTTCTTCTGAAATTTTGTGAATTCACAGCATTTAATATCTAGCCCAAAGTAACTAGAAAACAGCATGGCTTCCTCATTCATCGTGAAATCACCTTAGGGATAACCTGGACAAGCTATTTAATCTCTCTTTTTACCTCCGTTCCTTCATCAGCAAAATGGAGATGCTAGCACCCATCTCATCCAGGTTTTGTGAGGAATAATTGAGAAAATGTATATGCAAGTGGCTGGTCCAGTACTTGCCAGGTAGTGGACATTCAAAATATCAGCTTCCTTTCTCTTGCCTTTCTGCTCCATTTCTGAGAATGGACAGCATCGCTTTTTAGACCACTGCAAAATATTAGGTTAAATAAGTAACACAGATATGTCTCAAAGAAACATTGATTCTTACTACTTACTGATACACAGGTACCAGCTGAGCCACATCATTTTTATAACCCCTGATGATGATTAATCAATTAATTGAATCACTCATTCAACAAGTATTTATTGAGCACCTAATATATGATAGGCACACGGTGTTCTGGGAGTTGGGGATACATGGTAAACAGAGCAAACTTGCCATTTTACCTTGAGAATTGCTTATATGATAGTGGGGGCAGGGGCGATAGTAAACAAATTATCACAAGCAAAGATACTATATTATATGGAGCAAACAATCAGAGCAAATGTTGTGAAACTGAGTATTTGGTTATGTGGAGATCATTGGTGACCTTAATAATAACTTTTTGTTCTCTGAAGATTGTTCAAGAGAATGGGAGGAGGAGGAAGTTGAGAAAGTTGAAGACTCTGCTAAAAAGGGGAGCAGGAAAATTAGTGGCAACTGAAAGGGGATATGGAGTTAAAAACCTTTTCTTTTTTTTGTTGTTTTTGTTTTTGTTTTTGAGACAGAGTTTCACTCTTGTCGCCCAGGCTGGAATGCAGTGGCACGATCTTGGCTCACCTCAACCTCCATCTCCTGGTTTCAAGCGATTCTCCTACCTTAGCCTCCAGAGTAGCTGGGACTACAGGCGCGCACCACCACGCCCAGCTAATTTTTGTATTTTTAGTAGAGACGCGGTTTCACCATATTGGCCAAGATGTTCTCGATCTCCTGACCTTGTGATCCGCCCGCCTCAGCCTCCCAAAATGCTGGTATTACAGGCGTGAGCCACTGCACCCGGCGCTTTTTGGTTTGTAAATTTTTATTTATTTATATTTTTTCGGAGACAGTGTCTCTCTCTGTTGCCTAGGATGGAGTGCGGTGGTGCCATCACAGCTCACACAGCCTGGACCTCCCAGCCTCAAGCAATCCTCCCACCTCAGCCTCCTGAGTACTTGGGACTATAGGTGCACACCACCACGCCTGGCTAATTTTTGTATTTTTTTAAAATTTTGTAGAGACAGGGTCTTGCTATGTTGCCCAGGCTGGTTTGAAATTCCTGGCCTCAAGTGATCCTTCGGCTTTGGCCTCTCAAAGTGCTGGGATTATAGGCAGGAGTCACTATACCCGGCTGTTTTTTTTTATTTTTTTATTTTTTTGTTACAACATGCTTGTAAGCTGAAGGGAATGGCCAAGTGGAGGGAAATTAATAACATAGAAGGCAGAGGACAACTCTAGGAGTGAGTGCTTGACAAGGCAGTGGAGGAAGAGGTTCCACTGGATGAGAGAAGGGCTTGCCTTGGACTGCAGTGGGGAGGGTTTACTTTCTGTAGTAAGAGGGGAGGGTAACTATGTGAGGCTGTGGGTACGTTGGGAGCTTGCTCAGTTTGGCAATGGGAAGATGTAGAGGTTCTTTACTGTCTCAGTGAAATAAAATATAAAGTATTATCTTTCACTTCTCTTATCAATAATTATTGATTATTGACAAGCTGAAAATAGAAAAAATAATTATTGACAAGAAATTTAGCTTCCTCGTTGATATCAGGCTCTCACTGAGCACCCCCAAATGCTCTTGGATATATACCATTGTCTCCCCACTCCCACTTTGGGGAGTGAGAGTCTGATTTAATTTATTCACCGGCAGCTCTTTTCAGCTCACCAGGCTGACGTGCTGGTGTTTTGCTGTTTTTACCCATCGTGTGTTTCTCTCCATTGAGATAAACTTCTTCCACAAGAAGCTGCCTATCTTGACAAGTCTGTTTTGAGTCTGTGCTCCACTGCACAGCCAGACCTGAAAGTGACGGGAACTGACAAACTCTCTGAACTTGTCCCATTGGATTTGTCTAATGGGCCTTTCCCTGACATAGATGAAAAAGTCATTGACAGAAGCAGACCACTTACCATGAACCTGAGGAGAGGTATAAGCAGCGACAGATAAAATAGGGCTTGAAAAAAAGCTGGGAAATTCAGGAGCATACGATGGGCCCAAGGAGATCTTCACTTTGAAATGCGAAGCTGAAATGGATGGGTATTGGGTTTTGCAGCCCCAGGTCACCGGCTGACCAGTGAGAATGCCGAGCTCCTGTTCTCTATTGCTCTCCCTGCACTGCACTGCAGAGAAGCTGCTAAGTGGTGACTTGGGGGTCAGGGGTGGCTTTCAGCATCCCCTCTAGGCCTGAGGGCTGAGTTCTCTTTCCAAAGAGAAAAAAGTGCTATTTGAAATTTCGTGGCCACTTAGAAATTCTAGTTTGTTGGCAGAATTCACACTGAAGGAAGTTTTCCAAACAGAAGAGTCACATCTTAGGAGTGGTATTTTTAGGTTCTATAATCAACACCTAACGTGAACATCATATAAACTCAGAATTACCCTTGAAAAGCCCTTACATCACCCTTAAAACATATATCCCTGTGTTCTAATTTTCATTCACAGTGAAATTTGAAAATCATTGCGCTAGATTAAAGGAACAAAAACAGGAAGGAAACATATGTGCAGATGTCTGGCCTCAGACCATTCTGCCTTTAAGGCAGATACCAAATCCCCAGCTTTGAGAGAGCACTGAGGGGAGAACGCAAAACATCCTTGTTGGGCCACAGGGTTTACTTTATTCCCCTTGAATCTTAAGCCTTGACAGCTTTTACAGATGGTAAAGGATGTGTTCGTCATCGTGATGAGTAATTGAAATAGCGGCAACGCATCAGGTCCAGGTTAGGGGTAAAGTGAAATGATATCACTTCACTCTATTTTCTTTAAGAAGAAGCTGTAGATAAGTCAGTGGATATGTAAAGGTAGGATCCAGGTCTCCTCTACAAGGAGTAAGTTGGCTGAATGAAGGTTAAAATGGCTTGATTAAAGTAGTAAAGCAACTAATTTCTTAAATACTTAGGGAAAATGTAAAACGCAGCCTAGCATAGGAGAATCCTATGTGAAAAGATAGCTGATAGTTAGTTTTCAAAAGGGAACAGAAGGACCTCTCCATTGTCAGCCAACACTGGAGTCTGAAAAGTAGCACTCTGAGGAGAGAGAGATGGTAGAAGAGAAAAGGCTTTGAGGAGGAATAGAGCCTGAGCAACATGGCGGGCCACAGACAAGAGAGAGGACCAGCCATGGGCTCTCCATGATATGGTAGTGCTGATGTTCTTGGGGAACAGAGATATCAGGCCTTGACTTTTGTTTTCCTTTTCTGGCTTTGGAAATTCCCTTATGATCTTCTCGAGGCTTGGGTAGAGTCAGTTACCTAGAAACATCCCTAGGGAGTAGGAAACTATGCAAGGGGTCAGAATCCAAGCTGGAATGGAAAAATGAGGAGAGTTGGCTCAACCCTCCCAGGACCACTCTTCCCCAAAGAGTAGAAACAACAGTATATTAAATGGTTGTTGCAGGTCCAAGGACGTGATCAGCAGCAAAACCATCAGAGAAATTAAAGGTCGAACAGAGATAGGAAATTAGGAGCTAGGCAATGTGGAGGACATGGCTGCAGGAACCAATGGAAGAGTAGATTGAAACGAAAGTCCTTTCTCCTAAATATGCTGGAGTCGGAGTTGCTGACTCAGATGGCTACAGGTGCCAGCCAACAGCATGAATAGTTGAAGAGGCTTAGTATAAGCTTCGTGCTAGGCTCCTTCTACTACAATTAAACATCATACCCACTAAGTTACTTTGGCTTTTTTTTTTTGAGACAGAGTCTCGCTCTGTCACCCAGGCTGGAGTGCAGTGGCGCGATCTCGGCTTACTGCAAGCTCCACCTCCTGGGTTCATGCCATTCTCCTGCCTCAGCCTCCTGAGTAGCTGGGACTACAGGCGCCTGCCACCACGCCCTGCTAATTTTTTGTATTTTTAGTAGAGATGGGGTTTCACCGTGTTAGCCAGGATGGTCTCGATCTCCTGACCTCGTGATCCGCCAGCCTTGGCCTCCCAAAGTGCTGGAATTACAGGCGTGAGCCACCGCACCCGGCCTACTTTGGCTTTTAAAACATTGTGGGGATGTGTTGAACAGTAAAACAAAATAACTTTTTGGGTTTCATATTACCCCAGGCTCCCAGACTGCAGCCTCTGAACTGGGGAAGGTAACCCTCTAAAGGAGGAGTGTGATTCTGCAATCATGTGGATGGAGCTTATGCCTGTTCGTGTTTTCAACACGGAGTCCTTGGAACTAGCACTGCATGTTCACCCTGCCAAGGGAAATTTACAGCTGAGGGCCTTTGGATCCTATCCAGAGTAGCATCTCTGTCTGCCCCACTGGATACAGCTCAGTCTTTGGTCATTGCAGAGATCTTTTCCATTTACTTAGTGTTCTGGGGCTTTAAAGGGAATGTGCACTCATGCTTCTGCCACCATTTCTTGGTTTGCCACCACTGAGGCTAGCTCATCTCTCTCTTGGTCTAGGTTCTTCTGAAAACACAGCCTCAGTCAAGAACTGAATGCAGGTGTTTTATTTGGGAGGTGACCCTAGGAAGCAAAAGTGAGGGCATGGGAAACTGAGGCAGGGGAGGAGGAAAAACTAACACACAGGTGCATGGAGATCTCTGCCGTAGGCATACAGAGTGGGGGTGGAGTGTCGATCCATTGACTCTCAGTGGTTGGAGACAGGAGGAAATTGACTTAACTTCTCTGGCTGTCTGCGTTTTCCCTGTGTGAAGCTCCCAGAGCTTCAGAGAAGCCCTGAGGCGGCAAAACAGAGAACTTTAGTAGCAAGCTTGGGATAGGTGTTGGCAGTGTGGATCTGACTTGAGGGAAGTGGCACCATGCAGGGCATCAAAAGTAACTACTACAGTCTATAATGTGAAAGACCCATCCAGGAAGGACCCGTCCATCCTGGGAGTGCCACAGACTGGGTGCTGCTGCCCTGACCTGAGCTTGGCTTTCTTACCTCTCTTCTGCCCATTCCTTGGACAATGGGAAAATTGCTCCATGATATCAGCCCAAGGATGCCTCTTCTACACTGTTCTTTTCCTCCCTGGCTTTCCTAACACTCACACTCATGGGTTTCCATGTGTGAGCAGTAACTGCAAAACTTACTTCCCTTCTCTTTCCTCCTTTACCTTCTGTCTTTTTTTTTTTTTTTCCTTTTCATAGAGAATGGGGGTCTCACTATATTGTCCAGGCAGGTCTTGAACTCCTGGGCTTAAGCTATCCTCCCGCCTCTGCCTCCCTAAAAGCTGGGATTACAGGCGTGAGCCACCATGCCTGACCTCCTCCTTTACCTTCTAATGGCCTTTCCTTTTCCTTTTCTCTTCCTTACAAAACGTGGTTGTCTCTGACATTCAAGTCCCTAAGGCTCCAATCTTCTTCCTCCCCACATCCCCAGGGATATAATTTGGTCCCCAGTTTCAGCTCTCACAGCTGTGTCACTGCCTCCAGCTGAACATCTCCAGGTAGGTTTTTCTCTCTATTTCTGGCTCTCTGTTTATCCTTACCCATCTCAAAATTACCTGGCTATTATGATGCTAATTCAAGTTTGAGAACCTCCCTTTAAGTGTGAAATCTCCCACAGTGAGTTGGATCCTTCTTTTTTGGTTATCTTTTATTCAGCCCAGATCAATATGTCTAAAAGTGACATTTTAGACATATTGACCCCAGCCCATGCCTTTCTCATGCTTGCCAATGTCCTCTCTGCCCTAAAAAAAGAAAAGAAAACACTCTAACTATCCAACCTATGTGCATGCTACTGTCCATTCATGTCTACATGTGTTCAAATCTGGTACCACATTTAATTCCTCAGTGTCTTTGGTGGTGGCAGTCTACCTGGTATTCATAGGCCACGGCGTGGAGTCAGACTGAGGCAGATCATGAGGTGCATGGCCAAACTCACTAGAGTCTCAATATACAGGGGTGTTGTGAGTCAGAATGCCAATGCTAGAAGGATCACTAACAACTGGCTTGAACAACTCATCACATTAAGATGAAGAAACTGAAGCCCAGAGAGATACAGAGCTTTGACAAAGGACACAGGCCCGGTTCATGCCAGAGTAGGGCCTGGAGTGACCATGTTCTGTCTTCCTTCCCAGAGCCCTTTCTACAATAACATAATTAAACAAGGAGCCTGCATCAGGGACTTTTTGAGACGGAGTTTCACTCTTTTTGCCCAGGCTGGAGTGCAATGGCACTATCTTGGCTCAACGTAACCTCTGCCTCCAGGGTTCAAGTGATTCTCCTGCCTCAGCCTCCCAAGTAGCTGGGATTACAGGTGTGCACCACCATGCTCAGCTAATTTTGTATTTTTAGTAGAAATGGGGTTTCACCTTGTTGGCCAGGCTGTTCTTGAACTCCTGACCTCAGGTGATCCACCCACCTCAGCCTCCCAAAGTGCTTAAATTACAAGCATGAGCCACCACACTGGGCCACGTCAGGGACTTTTTACGTGCAAGCAGAGGGTACCGAGCTCAAACTAGCTCAAACAATAAAGGGAAGTTATTTCATATAAATGAAAAGTTTAGAGGTATCTGGCTTCAGGTGACATTTGAACCAGAAGCTTAAATATGTCAACAAGAACAGGTGGATGGAATGCCTGATTAACCTCACCTAGACCACGTAAGTCCCAGGATCATATGAGAAATTCAAATAGAAATAAGGGATATTGGAAAAGGGGAATGAAGACAATAGATGCGTAACAGGGGCCGACAAAAAAAATCACGACAATATCCAAAAGGGGACAAAGATATGTGATATGAAGTCCAAATGATCCCAGTCATAGCTGGACTATGTCCACTTGATTGAGTACAGTTGGAATGGAGATCTTGCTTTGGGGTTGAAGCCAGAGGGAGCTCTGGGACTTTTTGTTTGACAACTGCCCCTGGATAATTCATACCTGTGCCCTGAACATTCTTCCTACCTGTTCAGAGGGCAGGGCTATATTCTTGGGGTGGCCTGGACTCCACTGGAAAGCCCAGCATGCTGGACAGTTCTGCTATTTTAAGAGCATGTGAGAAGTAGAGGGAGCTGAGACAGCTGCCCAGCTAGGAAGAAGGTCTAGGAGCCAGACCTTCCCCGTGGGCAGCCGTCTTCCTTTGAAAGCTGGTCGGTGGTCAGGACCCTGGTCCCTGTCCTCTGTTCCTCACAGTCGGTAGACTCAAAGCTCTGCTTATTCTTCTTCACAGATGCTGTCTCTTCCTCTACCCACCCATCTCTGCCTCTACTCACCACTGCCATACCTCAGCTCCCGTGTGAATTGCCTTGTGCCTGGGCCGTGGCAAGGGTCTATAAGCTTGCCTCCCAAGCTTGCTCCCCACCTGCCCCCGCACATCCTGTGCCCTGTGCTAGGGAACTCACCCCTGACAACAGTTTTGGCATATCATTCTCCCACTCCAAGCCCCTAATCCAAATTCAAATGTCACCTCCTCTGAGACCCCTTCACTGCAGTGATCATTCCCACTCTGAACCCCAAACGGAATGTCCATCCTGCCCAGTTGGAACTGATCAGGTTTTCCTGCTTTCCATTGTTACAGTTTCAAGCATCTTTGGTCTCTTTACTCTGATGATGTGATCCTGGACGATAGAGATTTACATGTCTAACTATGACTCAGTATACAGCTCTATACCCCATAAGTAGTAGATAAACAAATAATACTAATTCCTTGAGGTTAGCCTCTTTAGCTTCAAATCTTGGCCAATTAAAACTTCCTTATCGTCATATCTTTAAATCTCTAGAAATGTAGGTTTGAATTTTGAAATAGGAAGAAGATAAATGGAAGATATTTTCCCGCCCCATTCTTGCAATTAATTTTCCTTGTCTGCTTGAGTATATACCAGCATTGATATCTACCTCTGACTTAATTTACCAGAAGGTGCTCTAAAAACCTAACCAATGTGCATCTCTACAATTCAAACGGGCATATGGTTCAAAACACCAAATTTGTCATGTCTCTAGTGTGCTGAGCTCAGAGGAGTATTTCAAAAAACAAAACACACACACTCAACATGGGTTGAGGGACAGGACATTTTAAATGAGAGTTTTTAAAGCATCAAAAATATCACAGGTGTGTTCTTTCTTGATGCTTACCCATTTAACTATTCTGTAGTTATGGGACCAAAATTCATCCCATGAGCTCAGCATTCCTGCTCTTGAAAAGGGCTGTGTGGGGCTGGACGGATAGTTAGGACTTACCTGAGCAGGAATAAGTTTTCAATGGTACAGGCAGATGCTTTGGGAATCAGGAAGTGACCTGCTCCTCCTTGAAATGACTCTGGGCTGGGGCAATGGTGACACTGCCACCTCATGGGATCTGGGGTTACCTGGTGGAGGAAAGACGCAGGATGAAGAGAACCAGGTATAACCCTGCCACTTGGAGTTTTTCCTACAACTTGGGCTGGTGAAATGCTGAATCTCAGTTTATGTTCAAAATAAATGAAACCTCATTCTATTACCAAAATAAACTGCTCACATGTGATGTTGATAATGAGACAGCCAGACAGAAGCTGCCTTCATACCAAAACAAGTGAATCAGGTGGTAGGAATAAATGAACAAAGGGCAAGGCATTGTCACTGCCCCTTTCCTTCAGCAGTAGAAAGACTGACTAGAAAATTCATACGTAAAGAAAAAGACCTTTTTTTCTGTTGTTACAACCTGAAACGCCATGGAATTATTTGATAGAGCCTTTTTTGGAGAGAGGGTGTGGGCAGACATGGTAAGGGCAGATCCTGTGTCTGTCTGTGTCAGGGGCAGTATTTGCGTTTGCCAAAATGTTTATGCAGACACAGAGAGGAGGGGACTAAGCTATTTGGCCCTGTGACACCAAAAAATTATAATTGTTGTTATTGGAATGAATTGTGTTATGTGTTAAAGTCCTAACTCCCTGCACCTCGAGATGTGGTTGCATTTAGAAATAGGGTCTTTAAAGAGGGAAAATGAAATGATCTCATATGGGTGGGCCCTAATCCATGGTGTCCATGATATCTGGTGTCCTTGTAAGAAGAAGTTAGGATGTAGACAGACACAGAGGGAAGACCTGTGAAGATGGAAGACCTGTGAAGATGTCACAGGAAGGTGATCATCTGCAAGCCAAAGAGAGACACCCTTAGAAGCAACCACCCCTGCTGACATCTTCATCTTGGGCTTCTAGCCTCCAGAACTGTGAGATAATAAATTTCTGTTGTTTAAGCCACCCAATCTGTGGTCTTTGCAGTCCTAGCAAACCGTAATTGTTAAACAGGAGCAGAGGGAGGCAGACTTACTATGGAGAAACACAATATCGGGGCAGCACTGTGTTTTATTGTGAATGAATAAAGGAAATAATCCATTCATTTCTTCAGCACATACTTTATTTCTGATCTTTAGAGGGTGGCATGTAGCAGCTGGGAGAGGCTCTCCCTTTCATTGTCCCCAGCAGAGAATAGGAAACATGCTGTGTGGGCTTAAAAACTTCTGGCCACCAGCCACTGGCACCCTGTCTCTGGGAAGCAAGGATAAATCTGGTGATCCACTGATCACTGAGCACTTAACAATGATCACTGGAATGATATAACTATTATCTTTTCATATTTCTACCAGACTTAACCTTGCAGGGTCAGTATCATCCCTGAGCTTTAAGTTCTCAGCTTGTATATAACCTTGGATGAAACTGTGAATGTTCAATCTGGATAAAATAATTAATGTCTTTTTATTGCCCCTTTCAGAAACACACAAGGTCCTTGTTGGCCTCATGCATGGAGTATGGACAAGTAGCTCTTTACTTAGCTGGTCTTACAAGCTGCTTTGCAAATGTATCTGGCAGGTGGTGCAGTGCATGGGGGAGGGCCCGCAGTCTGTCCCTGGAGGCTCAGCTGAGTATCTCTGGCTAAAGCATCATCTCAAAGGCTTGAGAAGCCTAAGCTCCAGCCCCCACCCCTTCTTGAGCTGATTTCTCCCTCCTGACTCATGTCTGCTGCCTCATTTGTGTTACTGTGCAAATGTTTAGCCAAGAAGCCATACCAGGCCGAGTGCCTATTTATGACCGCCTCAGGAGTTTACAGTCCAGGCACTGAGGCAGCATTCCATGCCTAGCCTCTGGTCAAATAAGGACAAAGTGAACCACACCTTCCCTTCTTGGCAGTGAAGCAGGGGCAGTTAGAATGCTGTGTGCTGGGTGCAAAAGCCTCCCCCAGGCAGGGCCAATTCTTTCCTAGCTTCCCAATGACCTTGAAGTTGTAGCAACATAAATTAGAAGAAAAGAGTGTAGAATATTTGTGACATGACTCAGGATGCTGGGGGAGAAGAGGGCTGCTTGTTTGGTTCCCTTTCTGGGCTTCTGTAGGAAGTGGATTATGAATTCTCATTGGTCTAAGAGAAAAAGCACTTTTGCCATTGTGCATGTCCTGCTTGTCAGCAGGGAGCCTCGTAGAGAAAAACCCTCGAAGAAGGGCATGTAACAATACAGTCTGAGACACACACATGTGTGCACACACATATGCACATACGCCCAAAAAACAACCCAAAGGAATGCAGACACAGCTACCATCCTGGGAGAACCACCACGGCAGACACCAGCCTCAACGTGAGGATTTGGAAATAAAGGTGGCTGGGGTAGGGTTTCTCGTTTTAAGAGACTGAAAGTGTGCTTGCAATCAACCAGAAAATTTGAATTTGTTCTCTGCAAGCCTTTCCTCTTAGCCTTGTCAGGAAACACAAAAGCTCCCCAGACTCAGCTCCTGGCCAGGAGGAGTTGCAATCCGATGTGGTGGTGGTGGGCTGGGGAGGTGTACAATTGCACATAAAAGCGTTCATTGACAATTCAAGACCAGAAGAATAGCAGGGATAGTCAGCACTGTGGGCAGGGTCTGGTGACCAGATGGGTCAGACCCTTCCAGAAATTCTGAAGTTTTGCTTCTCCATTTGCTTAATAGGTGATAACCTAATGTCTAAGCAGCTAGACCTCCTGTGTGTAAACCCCCAGGGAGCAGGGTGTCTGGTGGAAATAGTGTCAGCCATGACTGTGCCATCCGCTAGCCCTTTCCCGGAGCTCCAGCTCTCTGTAGAATGGGCCTCATGCTACCAGCTCTGTGTACCTGAGGGGGTGGCTAAAAGGAGAAAGCTAACAAAATAAGGGGCAGCATGGTGCTTGGCACACCATAAGTGTTTTACAAGGCATTGGAAGGTGAGAAGGTAAACGATCTTCTGTGTCCTCACAGAGGACCCTATACAATAGCACTCAGCAAATATTTGCATGATCGTGATGGTGTGGGCTTTAAATAAATCCCTCTGGGGTGGGGAGGGAGGATGCTTCTTCATAAGATAAATATTTATAGCTACAGTGAAAGAGCAGAAGGAAAAGGAAATAGGCCATGGGGCTCCCTAGGCTTCCCAGAAATATCTCCGTATCTCTTGGTCCTTTCTTTTGGAGGCGTTTCTTTATGTTCTATCCTCTCCACCCACTGCCCTTCTACCTGCTGCACCCACTGTCTTGTCTTTGGGAAAGTTCCTTCTCCCACTCTCCTTTCTCCACTGTTCCCAGGGGTCTGAGAGTCCCCACTCCCGCCCAGCTTGGTAAGGTGAAAAAGACTTCTCCTGGGGGAGCTGCTCCCCTACACTTTTTAATCAGCTTCCATCCGGTGCTGTCGGTTTCAGAACACACATGCTTTCTCACTGACACACGCGCTTTCACAGCTTGGATAACAAGGCTCTGCCTCCCGCCCTTCCCACCCTCGGCACTGCCTGCTCTCCCCTTCCCCCTGCCACATGCACAGGGTCTTTCTAGAGAACGGCTTTCAGGACCACTAGGGAAGTCCCATGTGTCCTTACAGGCAGTTGAGAGGCCACATAGCTTGCATGTAGCTCAGCCCCTTGCAGGCGGTGTGGCTGCCATGTAAATTGCTTGCGTGTATGTCAGGGGATACATTTGTAAATAACCTTTTTTTAGGGGAGGAGGGTAGAAAAATGAGGAAACAAAGGACAAATGCAGGAAGGTGGTCAGCTCAGGACCACACTTCTTCATTGTTCATTTCCAAATGAGATGGCATAGCTCTGTTAGTCCATAGGGGCTGTGTCTGGCATGAGTCAGCAACCAGTACAATCTACTGCCAGTTGATTAAATTAGCATTTGTTATAAGCCAGAAAGGGAGGGAGGGATGTTGTGTGCAGAGATAGATGGAGAATGAAGAAAATCTTCTTCATGCCTTTTGAATTATTTATGGCCTGGAACTTTACATGCTACAGCCTAACCTGACGTGATAGAGAGAGGCTGGGAAGAACTCTCTCTTCCCTTAAAGTCACAGAGCACATGCTTGGGTCCTTGGGAGGACAGGAGCATGCTAAGAATGATGGACTATAGTGGAAAAAGTGGAGCTCTCTTCATTTTATTATGACCTTGAAAACAGGACTGTTGCATAGAAATCCTGCTGCCATTAGGCACAGGAAGACAGATTTCATAGCAACCTTTTGAGCGATGGACGTGAATGTGTGAACGCATTTCACTTTGATTTTGCCGAGTGGTAACATGGGATGACTGTCAGATCAGTGGACAAAGGATAGGTCTCTTCGATCTTCGCCTCTGGCTTTCAGCCAGATGGGAGAGAAACAAAGACTCCAAAGCTGCTGCTCTCCTTCCCCCACCCTCTCCCTCCTCCCTCCTTTTCTCTCCTCCTGCCTTCACCGCCTTGGATGGAGTCTACTAACTACTAACTGCTCTTACATTTTGGGAAATCTTGTCTAATTGTTCAGGGTGTAAAAATGCAGTGATTTTATCTCAGAAAGGGGCTCTTCCTTTTGGGAGATGTGTGAATCCAGAAGAGAGCAATCTCCATGCCTCAGGGAGTCGGGCAGTGTGTGGATGTGAGTGTGCAAGACACCCAGTGTGCTCCGGCTGGGTACCAGGGCGGCCTGGCGGACATCTTTTGTTCTTGGCTCTTCTGACTGCCGGGAGCAGCAGGACAGCCCACATGCCCGCCCAAAGGAGCTGCCGCTGTTCATCATCAAGATCTGAGGCTTTTATCTGTGAGCCCCAGTGAAGAGGCAAACTGTTGGTGTCCTGCTATCGACTCATAGTCTGCCTCCAAAATAGCTTCAGGATAGGGCTGCTGCTTTTCAGCTGAACTGCTGCCTGTGGACCACCTTGTTATCCAAGGTTCTCACTGAATGGAAGCCGTCCAGAGGCATGTGGCTCTATCCCGAGAGATACAAGAAGAAAGGAGTAAGGGAAGAGTGGCCGAATGAGGGAAAGACAAAAGCAGACTGGCAGATGACAGGGACTAGAGTCAGACAAAGAACTGGGACGTGTGCTTTGGCAAAAAAGCAGGCAGGGCAGTCATTTCCTTGCTTCATCACTGCTAGCTCAATTTACCCATTTTATATACATACAAAATAAACTGTGTCCAAGACTGACCCTGTAGCAAGAACTTGAAATGAGTCATTTCTTCCAATCATTAGTATAAGTCCTACGTTTTTACTAATGCATAAATGAAACAAAGCAGGTGGTGTCTGTTGCAGTCCTGGGAGATACAAATGAGTAAAGGATGAAGACTTACAGATTGACGACGGAAAACAGGATGACAATGTTGAACTTGAGTGTGGGGTTTCCCCAACACCAAGAGGGGATCCATGTACCCCAGGCCATGGGGAAGGGTTTGATTCCTACAGCTCAGATACCATGTTCTGCCCACTTCTCCCTTAGCTACGCAAAGAAGGAAATTGAGGTCATTTTCATAATTTAGGCAAAACTTCCCTTTCCACTTGAATTACTGAGATATTTCGGGCAAACGCAGATTTCAAAAAGAAATTAAATAGCAAAATTTGAGTTTGGGAGCTCATTAACAAGCAGTGAGACTTCCTGTATTGCATCAATTATAAACAATTTGGAGGAAAGAGAGGTTGCTTTTTTCTCTTTTAAAGAAATTATCTGGAAAATTACCCAGGTCTTTGCTTCCTCTTTTTAGATGAGATCTGGACAGGCTGAGTTAAAGACAGTAACCTCATTAGGATGGGTTTAGATGATAAAACCAGAAGAAACCAAGAAGCCCAAACTGCCCTCTGGATTTCCTCCAACTAGCCTTGCCTCTGACGAGTCAGTTCATCTCTCTGCACTAGTATCTTACCACCCCCGCCCCACACACGGAAATGGAGCCAACTTGCTTTGCCACTTTTCTACTTCATAGGAATGCTCTAAAAATTAATATTCACTGTGAAACTAGGAAAGCCACAGAGGAATGATCCTATCTCAATATGAAGCATTATCAGTTTTGTTGTGCCTGCCACTCTCAGTTGGCATTGATACATTGTTCAGAATCTTTCTAAAAACCTCCGTTCTTTTTCCGACCCCAGTGACCGCTAATTGTGGAAAACAATGTACTGGACTATTCAAGAAAGAAATATTTTGCCTGTTCATCGACTCAGCCAATAAGGTTTAAAGTGACTCTGATCATTTTAAGTGGCTCAACGAATGTACCGTATAAGCTATGTACTATTGAAGGAGCTTTAGCCGCTGCAAATCTTATCCTTCCTCCCTCCAGGTTTTCTTCAGTGTCGAAATTGGTATGGAGACGTGGATGGAGATTTGAGTCTTAGGAATTTGGGAAGGTGAGTCATGCTGAGAAGCTATGTGACTTTACTCACTAAATATTTCTAGAATGTCTCCTCACCCTTCCATCCCTAGTCCTCCATCTAAGTCAGGCTCTTATTGTCTCTTGCCTGGATGTTTGAAGCAGTCTTGGGACGGGTCCTCTGGACTCCAATCTTATCTGTTAAGCAACTCTCCTCACTGCTGTTGAGTCTATCCAGAAAGCAGGCTTTATCACGTTGGTGCCATCATTGCCCAGAAAATATAGTCCAAGCTCTCCAGATGGAGGGACTTACATGTTCTCTTAACATCTTAGCTCCCTGTGTCTCTAGCTTCAGCTCCCTCCAGTCCCTGCCTTACAGATTTGTGTTCAACACAAGCAAACTGCATATGCTTCCCCTACTTAGACTGTGCTACTTTTTGCCTTTGGGTCTTTGCTTGTGCTGTTTGCTCCGCCAACAATCTCAAAGCAAGCAGACAGAGCAAACAATGGAGCATCAATAGCTCCTCATTCATCCTCGGGGTCATGTGACACGTACGTTGTCTCCTTTCTCCCCTCCTATGTATTTCTCCAGGGTTGTGGTCTCCTCTCCTGAATTCTCACCCCTGTGATACCCTGGGCAAGTCTATCATTAAGCTGATATGTAAGGTTCTATGGATCTTTATACATGCTTGTCCACCCACTAAACAGTGAACTCTCTGGAGAGAGAGAACTCTCCTCTGGATCTTGAGCAATACCTGGTTCAGGAAGGGGTCCAATATATCGTGAAATACATGCTTCTTAAACAGCTTCCATGTGTAAGGCAACTATGTGCTTGGTGTTTGGGGAATGTTTGTAATACTAAGTTGTTCAAAGAGAAAAACTGTCTAATAAGTACGTCAATGTATACTTGAGTGAATCCTTTATTTTTCTTTGAATGAATGATCCAGATTTATGCAAATAATTAGTTGGGGGGGAACCCTATGTCAACAGCAGGCCATCTGGCAGTGTGATGTCATGGCAGGTTGCATCTCTTTGCTGCCACCATCCTGGAGCCTGGGGCTTTCTTGCAGCTATGGCCTTGAGTGTAGAGATGCACCCGCCCCCCTTCTCTGGAGTTCTCTGCCTTGTATTCTGTTGCCATGGGAACAACCCACTTTCATTCTGGACTTGCTGCATGGGAGAGGGGAACCCTTTACTACAATGGTATAAACGATGAGGATTATTTAAAAAATAAGTTGACAAGGTTAATCATCACCACATGATACTAGTACCACAGATTCTGATTTTGTGAGACTGTAGTTTGTTAGGTGTTTCTGGCAGTACTGAAAATAGATTAGCTAGAAGAATAGAAGATTTGATATACCCTTTGTTTAAATGTCTAACTATCTCTGTGCCTGTGGTGATTCTATTTTTAATGCAAAAAATATTTTTATTCTCTTGAAGTATATGCAAAACCTGTTTTCAGTCAATCCAGTGTATCAAAGAAGGGAATAAAATTTCTAGAAGGAAGGCTGAATGATCTTGCAAGGTGTGGAAGGCTGGGATAAACAAAGATACTAACACCTGTCTAGGACTATGACAAATCTGCTCAAATCTGATAAGAGATTATGTGGAAACATAGTAATGTGTCATTTAGTTACTTTTTTGGAAGAGAGTCAGTTAAAAAAAAAAGAGAGAAATGGCTTGCAGACTTGCTTTTTAAACACCTTTATATATTCAGGTGACCAAGTGCAGATATATATTGCAGGAGCCTAGTTTATAGTTCAGTGACCGCAGAAATGTAACAGAGACATTCCATGTGCTCTAAGCAGGATGTTTTCATCTGGCTCTGTGAGCCTTGCCTCCTTGTAGCTCAACATCTCTCCTTTTTTTCCAGAGAGATCAGGATTCTCTTTCTAGGTGGAATGAGCTCCCCCTTGGACCTAGGCTGAGTTCCTTCCGTCTCTTTACCCAGGCAGCGTCTCTCTCTCCTAGTTTCCAGCTTTTACCCTCAACACAGATTGAGGATTCTGGTTTATTTGAGAGGCAGATGTCTGCTGAGTGTCACCATGCAATGGCGTGGTCCCCTGTCCCTAGCCTCCTCCTGATGCCTGGGTTCCCCTTTGATCAGATATACCTTGCAACACAGGCCCATTTGTCTTCTCTTGGAGGAGCCAGACAAGATTCTCATTTATTCACTCACTATCTGCTATTACCATCTCACAGAGGCACACAGCATGTGTGAGTATCGTTACACCAGGGACGTCATGTGTGGGGGCACAGGCCACAGAGGGGTAGGGATTTGACTGGCAGGCTTATATGTGACAGAATTAATCAGTAGATAGTTTTTCTGCAAAAACAAAGATGATCCTATGCTTACCAGGCATCACTCGCAGCAGCTGTCCTGGGCCTGGCCCTGCATGGTCGGGGGCTGTTCATTTTTAGTTCCTGTGACTCAGCATGTAGCCATACCCGATTGGACTGGAGTCGGGGGGCACCTCATGGGCTGGTCCAGTAGGATTTTGTCCACTGGGATTCTGTACTAAGAAATCTCAATGAGCTAATGAGCAGTGGGAGGTTGGAACAGTCACAGTGGGCCATATCCAGGCTGAGAAGCTAGGAGTAAGTAGAAGCTACACAGAGCATAAAGAGAGAAAAAGTAAGTCAGTGGCCAAAACAGAACAGAGCCGACACACACAAAAGGGGAAACAGAAATGCTGAGAGGGCCGGAGGGAGGTGGAGGAAAGGTAGAAATGTGGAAGGAGGGAGAGAGGAAGAGGGAGAAGGGTGGGAAGATGGAGGGCAATAGGGAGAATCCCTAATCTACTGCAGTTCCATTCAGGTTCCCCTGGGGTAGCTGACTTGTACTTTAAGGAACGTTCCTTGACACCAGCCATTGATTCAAATCCCGGCTCATCACTTACTAGCTGTGTAACCTTGGGCAAAGGCACTTAACCTCTCTGTACCTTAGTTTCCTCCTCTGTAAAATGGGGATCAGTACAGTATCTGCCTCTTAGGGATATGGTGAGGAACAAACAAGTTAACACACATAAAGCCCTTACAAAAACATTTGGCTCAGCTTGGTGCACCATGGCTCACACCTATAATCCCAGCAGTTTGGGAGGCCGAGGCGGGTCACTTGAGCCCAGGAGTTCAAGACCAGCCTGGGCAACATGGTGAGACTCCATCTCTACAAAAAATTTTTTTAAATTAGCTGAGCATAGTGGTATGCAACTGTGGTTGTAGCTACTGGGGAAGCTGAGTCAGGAGGATTGCTCGAGCCCAGGAGGTGGAGGCTGCAGTGATCAAGATCATGTCACTGTACTCCAGCCTGGCCAGTAGAGTGAAACCCTGTCTCACACACACACACACACACACACACACACACACACACACACCAAACAAAAAAACAACTGGCACACTACATAAGCGTGGTCTATTTTTACTACTGAAGTTCTTGGTTTCAATAGAATCTCCCTCTTACTACCTCATATAAATCCTGATAATAGCCCCCACCCCCAACCCCAGTTTAAATTGAGTACATTTGTGGGTATCTGTTCCTTATGATCAAAACCAGCTTAACTAGAATACTTCAAGAATACTTCCTAAATTTTTGAAAGTAAAAAAAAGTCATATTTTCTTTTGAATTTTATAAATTTAGGATAAAAAGAGAAACCAAGCATGTGCCTTATGGGAACAGAAATGAGTAGAGTAAAAGAAGAGACTTTCCAAATGTGTACATTGTCAAAACAAGTTATCACTAATTTGGGCAAACAGGGTGGGGCAGCTTCACCTTGCCTTTCCCCAGGGCTACTTCCTGGGGCTGAATGCTGCATAGGCAATGTTTTCCTTTATGGAAGGTTCTTCTCACTGCTTCAGTATTGAATGCATGTACTCAGGTTTTGCTTTCCTCAGATGTGTTCTGTTTCATTTATTCCCTGAGGCTTGAGGTCTTCTCTCCATTTCTCGGCAAATGTGGGATTTCTGCATCACCCACCACTCCCCAGCAGTACTCACCCCGTGTAATTTTGTTGCAAGTGTTTACAAGCATAGGCAACAAAGTTCCATGTTGAAATACCAAGAACAAAGCCCATGGAGATGGCCCACAGTGGCTAACATTGTCCCAGAAAGCGATTTTGTCTTTTGGAAGACCTGTGGTTGCCCTCCTGACACACTGACTGTAGGAGTTGGCCAGGGCTGTCTAGCAAAAGTTCCACAGACTGGGCAGCTTAAACAACTGGAATGTATCATCTCACAGTTCTAGAGGCTAGAAGTCTGAGATCAAGGTGACAGAAGGATTGGTTCCTTCTGAGGGCTGTGAGGATGAGACAGTCCTGTGCTTCTCTCCTGGCTTCTAGTAGTTTGCAGGCAATCTTTGACTTCCTTGGCTACTGCTCCATCACTCTGATCTCTGCCTTCATTTTCACGCCATGTTCTCCCTGTGTATGTGTCTCTGTCCAAATTTCCTCTTTCCTTAAGGACATTCATCATAGAAGATTAGGACACACCCTGATAGCCTCATCTTCATTTGATCACCTCTGTAACGACCCTATCTCCGAAAAGGGTGCATTCTAAGGTACTGGGAGTTAGAACTTCAACATGTCTTATCTGAGGGGAGAGGAGGACACAGTTTAACCCAATAACACTGACGTATTTGAGAAGTGAGTACCAAAATGATTTTTGGGGTTGCCAGTTTGGTGACGGGGCTTAAAGCTGTTTGCTGATGATGGAATATTTGCGAAGTAAGTCCAGTGGCTATAAAAATTGTGAATCATACCCTCATTGCTTACCATTCTCTTGGCTTTTGTATTTTCACACTTTCTTGGTTTTTATTCTGTACTGGTCTCTGTTAGGATTCTCTGCTGGACCTCTAATGTGCACCTTCCCAGTGTTCGCTATCTCAGTGTATAATGGCACCTCCATCGTTCCATGGCTCAAGTCAAATCCTACGAATCCTTCTTGATCCCTTGCTTTCCTCAGCTCCCTCCTATGTTCAGTCCAGCTTTAAATCCTGCTGGCTCTTACTCTAAGATATATATACAGTCATGCATTGCTTAATGCTGGAGACATGTTCTGAGAAATGCACTGTTAGGCAATTTAGTTGTGTGTACATCACAGAGTGTACTAACACAAACTTAGATGGTGTAGCCTACTACACACCTGGGCTATATGGTATGCAGCCTATGGCTCCTTGGCTACAACCTGTATGGCATGTCACTGTACTGAATGAATGCTGTAGGCAAGTGTAACACAACAGTAAGTATTTGAGTATTTAAACACAGAAAAGGTACAGTAAAAATATGGTATAAAAGATAAAAAATGGCATACCTTTAAAAGATACCATGAATGAAGCTTGCAGGACAGGAAGTTGCTCTGGGTGAGTCAGCGAGTGAGTGGTGAGTGAAGGTGAGGGCCTAGAACATTACTGTAGACTACTGTAGATTTTATAAATACTGTATCCTTAGGCTATACTAAATTTATTTTTAAAATTTCTTTCTTCAAAAATAAATTAACCTTAGCTTGCTTACAGTGACTTTTAACATTTATTAACTTTTTAATTTGTGAAAACTCTATTGCTCCTTTGTAATAACACTTAATTTAAAACACAAACACTTATACAGCTGTACAAAAGTATTTTCTTTCTTTATATCCTTATTCTATAACCTTTTTTATTCTTTTGTATTTTTATTTTTAAACCTTTTTTGTGAAAAACTAAGACACAAGCACACATTAGCATAGGTCTACACAGGGTCAGGATCATCAGTATCACTGTCTTCCACCTCCACACTGTATCCCACTGAAAGGTCTTCAGGGGCAATAACACGCATGGAGTTGTCATCTCCTGTGATAGTAATGCCTTCTTTAGAATACCTCCTGAACGACCTGCCTGAGGCTGTTTTACAGTTAACTATATTTATTAAATAAGTAGAGGGAGTACTCTCTAAAATAACGATAAAAGTATAGTATGGTAAATGCATAAACCAGTAACCTAGTCATTTGTTATCATTATCAAGTGTTATGTACTGTACATAATCCTGTGTGCTACACTTTTATAGGACTGGCAGCATAGTAGGTTTGTGTGCACCACTATCACCACATACATGTGTGTATGCATTGCCCTGCAATGTTCCAGCAGCTACGAGGTCACTAGGTGATGGGAATTTTTCAGCTCCATTATAATCTCATGGTACCACCGTCATATATGTAGTTCAGCATTGATCGAATGTCATTATGTCTCCCATGACGGTACCTGGCACCTCCTCACCTCTCACCGTCTCTGTGGCTACCGTGGCAGGCCAGGCCACCCTGGACAATTGCTATAACCTCCTAAATGGTCTCCTTTTACCACTCTTATTATCCAGTACTATCCCTCCTGGTGCTGTTCAGAATAATGTAAATCAGCTCTTGTTCCCCCTCCCCACTTTGCTTTAAATTCTCCAAAGGCTCTTCATTGCCCTGAGAATCAAACACAAGCTCTTTACTCTAGCCAACATGACCTACAATGACCAGGCCTCTGCCTACTTCCCGCTGCTCCTCATATAAAACCCTCCAAGCCCATTTTCTACCTACTTTAGGGCTCACACTAGCTGGGCTCTCTTTCTAGAAAACTATTCTTTCAGATGTTCCATTGGCTTCACTCCTTGTCATTTAGGTCTCAGCTCAAATTTTGCCTGTCCAGAGCTGCCCTCTGATTATGCAACATAAAGCAGACTCTCCCATTCTCCCTGTATTTCCTATCATATCTTCCTGATTACTTTTCATTCTGTCACTCATCATGGGCCATGGTCACTGTCTTCTCCTCCCACTAGACCAGACCCTGCATAACACTGGTTACATTGTCCTGCTTGTGCAGTTTGTATTCTCAAGGCCTAAAACAGTGTCTTGCACAATTGGAGCATCAGTGAATGCTTGGTTGTTGGATGAATGAATGAATGAATGAATGAAGAATTCATGGACAAGACATGAAAAGAACTTGCAGTTAGAATATATACTATAAGTCAGACATGGTTCAAGGCTTTGTTACTAGGGTTTCTTTTGATCCTCAAGAAATTCCTTAAGGTAGGTATTGCCCCCATTTTAAACAAGGAAATTGAGGCTCTGAGAGATTAATAAGGAGACTGATCCAATAGCTCATAAGCTGTTGAACTGAAGTTGTACCTGATCTCCGTATACTTTCTCCTATGACACAAGCTGGGGGTGACAAGCACATAAGATGATACATTCAATGCTTTAGAAGTAAGAGTGTAAGCAAGTTACTGGAAGTACTGAAAACAATGTTATTTAGTTCTGGATCAACTAGGGGAGATACCCTTTTAGACTTAATCTTCCTGTAACAGGAAAAATTAATTAAAGATTGAAGATTTCCACAGTAGATGGCATGTTCAGAGCGGGTGATCTGAAATAGAAGAAAATTTGAATTTTAATGAAAAAAGTTACCAAAAGGAAAAAAATTGGAATATTTTTATTACCCTGTTATGGGATTCAGCACCAAGAGGCACATTTCAAGTCAGGAGTCAGAGTGCGTACAGAGATGCTCTGTATCTCGCATGGTGCCACCTGGGCATGGTACTATGGAGGAACTGAAAAATATTTGTTGAATGAGTGAATGGAGAGAATTAAAGTATAAGTCTATGTAGACATCCCTTCTCTCTTCCCATGTCATCTTTACTATTAGCAGAGGTGGGGACTGGCGACTTCATGTGGCTAGACGGCTGGAAACCAGGCAAAAGACTTCCCACCAGATGCATGGGCAAATCCCCGGTGCTTAAAGTGTGAGGAAACGCCCCCACCCTTTCCTGGTTCTTACTCGCTCACCTACATGCACATTCATTCCCCTTATGCCTGTGAAGGAGCGAAGACTCAACACGTTACTTTGAAAAGATTGCCAACTCTTTCCTATTATCCTCTAATGGCCCTGCATCAGTCTTTTGTTGGTTGTAGTTACATTTGGGGAGAGCATGATTTAATCCATGATATATTGCATTCTTGGTGATAATGAACTATAAAGAATGGGGTCCTGTTGTAATTTATTTCAATAAATTTCAAATTACTATCTAGAAGTACTAGGAATAATCTCATGAATAAAAGAAATAAAAAAGGAATTTATGGGATCTTTACATTCCCTAAGGAAATAATTCAAGTACCAAAAGAAGAAACTAAATTTAGGTAATAGAAAATCAAGGTGTTTAAAGGAGAGCTGTTGTTTTACAATATCTGAAATAAGTACTTGGGATGCAATAAAAAGTGGTAAGGGTGTCTGCTTACAGAGACCCAGTGTTGCGAACCAACACAAGCATTAACGGAGAAAATTATCCAGGTCAGAACAAATGAGGTGATTCAATTTACAAACGACATAAAAGACAATGGAAAAGATCCTTTATGTACCCAGCAGGAACACCAGGGGAAGCTCTACCTCTTGATTAGATGTAAAGATGGCAGGACAGATTAACACCCAAAGACACATTTCAATGGGAAGCTGTGTTCACTTTGGGATCCTAGAGCAGGTTTCCCAGGCCACAGACTGCAGTGGAGATTTGCTTACAGGTGACTGGGGGCAGGGAGTTCTCTGGGGAACAATACCTGTTGGGGAGTGAAGGCAGCAGGACTAGGCAGAGGGGAAAGTAAACTGCGATGCAGCTGCAGCAGAGGCCTCAGCACCCCACCAGGAGCTGCAGAGCTGGGGTGGTTTTCCAAGAGATCCTGAATTCAGGCAAGATGGGTACAACCTTTGTACCACACTATGGACTAATCACTTGGAATGTATGCTGCCCCCAGGGTGGGGGCACATCCTAGAGCAAGGTGGCTCTTTTCAGCAATGCCTGGAGAGGGACTCAGCTGTGAGCCGTCAACAGCTAACA
Organism: Homo sapiens; assembly: GCF_000001405.40. Lineage (NCBI taxonomy): Eukaryota > Metazoa > Chordata > Mammalia > Primates > Hominidae > Homo > Homo sapiens. The sequence goes on along the minus strand of NC_000002.12, from coordinate 207,245,388 downwards.
CTTCTGGCAGATGGGGGGCTGCGTGGCTCAGTCCTGAAGAGGGAGTGGGAGTTAGGCCATGCATCTCTGTGTCTATTCTGCTGGAACCAGCACCAGGAACCTGAAAGAAAGAAGATGGTAGAATGTTGCTTAGTGTAATCTATTTTTAAATGTGACGCTCAGTTGACCTTCAGCTCTTCCCTGAGCCACTACAATAGCCTTCCTACAGTTCTCTCCACTTCCACACCTGGCTCCCTTCAGACTGACGATGAAACAATCTGAAAACATAAATCTAGTCCTGCCATACCCCTGCCTCATACCCTTCAATGATTTCCCATCTCACATGGGATAAAAACCCAGCTCTTTGACATGCTTTTAAAGCAGGGTGACCAGATAACTTATCGTGCAAACCAGGACACTTTTGAGAGTGAGAGGAGGCCCTGTCCATAATTGTACAAGGACAAAGGTCTAAACCAGGACTATTCTTGGCAAATTGGGATGTATGTTCACCCTACCTACAAGGCATCTGATAACATGGCCACCTTTCACCCGTGTTTCAGCCTCTTCCCAATGTCCACTCCCCTTTGCCTTCCATTAGATCCTGGAACAAATTAAGCTTTCTCACCCCAGGGTCTTTGCTTTTGTCACTTCCTTCCTCCTCTACTTCTCCCTCCTTTATTCGTCAGGTCACAGCTTAAAATGTTTCTATTTGGAGAGTTCTCCCCATCTAGTCTCCATTGTGGTGCCAATTTATTCTATCCATAGCCCTAACTACTATCTGAAATTACAATCACTAGATTTTAAGCCCCAAAAGGACAAGAATCTGCTGTCTAATCAGTGTGTCCCCAGGGATTAGCCTAATGTCCTTCCATAGGTTTGGTATCAATATGTACAAAGTGAATGAATGAGGAGCTTAGGAAACTGTTCTGAAACAAAAATATGTGTGTGTGTGTGTGTGTGTGTGTCAATGAAATGGCCAAGACCACCACCAAAAGACAAACACATCACCTATATCAGAAATTATACAGGTGGCTGCTCACCCCAAAAAGGTGGACATAGAGAAATGCAAAACATTAAACAGTCAATTTGCAAACACCTAGAGGATCACAGGCTGCTGGATAGCAACCAGCAGTTTAGTGATGAGGAGATACTGTCAGAACAATCTAATTTCCTTTTAAGACAGAGAGACCTTCATCAAAAGCGTTTATTAAGTGTCTGTCTGCACACAGTCAGGAGGAGTCCATTGGAGGTGGAGAGGCTTGTGTTCAGCTGTGAAGCATCAGATTTAATATGTGTCTTGACTTCAACCAAAATCTGATTTTGCTTCTGTGATAATTTCCTTTCACAGGCCAAGCAAATATGAGATCCTTACAGTAGAAGGTAGTAGCAGAATTGTTACCAAGTTAAGCTCAGTATAATTACCAAAGCCTTTAATTGAAAAAAAAAAAAAACCCCATTATTATGATTAAAGGATGATATTTACTCAGGTTAAATGAGGTTAAATTTTCAGGGCTCTGCCTTGTAACACCTGACCATGTCCCAGAAAACAGAATTGTACTCAGATGAGCAAGTGAGTGGTTTTAGATTCCTGTGGAATGGTTACCAAATGCCCTCTTTTGAGAGAGGGTTCAAATGGAATCCTGAAAGTGAAACTTTTGATACTGATTCACACACAAACATCCTGGTGAGCATTGCAGATTAACTGAAATGCCTTTTTAGGGGTCAAAAAGTCACATGCACCTTCCCTGATGCCACTGCCAGGTATTATAAACTTGACTTTTACAGAGACAATATTTCGGGTCAAGCTGACACAAACCCCTCCTATCACCCAGCCATACAGACCCTGCAGATGTGTGAATTGAATACAAAGCAATTAGGAGATTTCACAACAATAAACACTTATAAAAATCTTAAAGGTGAGGTCGAGGGAGATGAGACCATTGGATGTAGTGAAGGTTAAGCTTTTCCCAACTGTAGGGATGGCACAGGTACCAAAGAGCAGCTCACCAGCCCACAAGTGAGATATCTACAGCTGAGAAGTCAGCTGCAGTCCGGGGATCTGGCCCTAGCCATAGCCATAGCATACTGCCCTATAAAGACCCCGAAGAGCAAGATAGGACCCCAACCCAGAGAAACTGGAGTTTGGGGAATGTTGAAAAAAATGCCTCACGTCTGTCCACAGGGGATAAGTTAGTGGCAGCATGGACACGGGGGCCAGCACTGATGGTAGGAAGGCAAATGGGATTCAACATTGCTCCATGTACCCAATGTTTATTAAGAATGTATTTGTGGCTAGGTAATATCCTAGGTGATGGGATACAGCATGAACAAGACAGACACCATCTTTGCCCTCAGGGAGCTTATGGTTTCCAGAGAATTTAGATATTGATGAACCTGATGGGTCATTATATTTCTGGGCCTGCAGAGAGAGTCATGGAGTTTGGGGAATAACTGAACCAATGGGAACAAGGATTAAGTAGGGGCAGGGGTTGGTATTAACTAATCCCAGCTATCTAGAGTAGAGGCCTGTAGGACAGAGAGTCCAGATAATAACTTTACAATCCACTTTAGGTTCTGTGATTCATTATTGCCCTAAGGAAGGCACAATGCATTTGAATGTTTGCCAGATTCAATGCAACAAAGTCCTTGTCCCCTATATGTGCCAGGAGCATTTAGCACAATGGACCACGGCCGTCTTCTTGCCCATTCTCCTCTCTTGGTCTTGGAGACCTCCACATCTGTCTCTCACGTTACTGGCAGTTTCTTCTTCATCTCCTTTGCTGGCTCATTCTCAACTGCCCGACCCATAAATGTTGGAATGTCCAGGTCTTTGTCCTGGGCTCTTGTCACTCCTAATTGCTGTCCTCCAGTGACCTCATCCAGTCTAAGATTTATGCCAGTGACATCCAACCTGTTCCTCCAGTGCTGACCCCTTCCCAAAACACCAGGCCTGCCCCTTGTCCTAACAGGCACCACAGACTTGAATGTCCAGCCCCTAAACCTGCTCCTCTATGAGTTTCTTGCATTTCAGTTCATTCGGTTACTGGACCAAGATCTAGGGGTTATCCTGATTCCTCTCTCTCCTTTGACTCCCACATCCAATTCATCCCAAGTCCTGTCACTTCTTCCTCCAAAACACATTTGATCTCTTAATCTCCATTGCTGTAAACCTGGCTCAGTCTGCATTATCCTAACTGATTCAGTTCCTCCATGTCTTCCCCTTAATAACCACTCTGTGCCCATCAGCCAGAGGAATCCATTTAAACATTAATCAGATATGTTACTCTCCTATTTTAAAAGTGATAATAGCTTGCTCAGTGCATTTAGCATAAAGTCCAAATTCTTTACGTTGGCTTAAACGCCCTACCTGTTCTCTCCATTCCCTCCCCACATACCCTTTCTCACTGTGCTTTAGGCACAGTCTTCTTTCTGTTTTTTCAGACACCATAGTCCAACCTTGAGGCCTGGGCATTTGCAATTCCCTCTGCTTGGAGTGCTCTTCTCCAATTTTTACATGGCCCACTCTACACTGACATTCAGATCTGTCTAAATGTTTCTTCAGTGTGGCTTCCCTGGACACCAGACCAGTAATGCACGGTTATTCTTTATCATATAATCTTTTAAATGGTCTGTATGTTGCTTACTAATGCTGATATTGTTGTTATTTACATGCTCATTTATTTATTTGTGGTTTGTCTTCATCCTTTAGAATGTAAACTCTAGGAGGGCAGAGATATTGTATCCACAGAGCCTGGAACAATCCTGGTTATATATATGGCAGGAATCCAGTCAATCTGTGAAATAAAGTATCTGAATGCCCAACGGCTAGTATTACACCAACCTGTCATGAGTAAGTGTATCAGTCAGGTATTGCTGTGTAGCAAGTCACCCCAAAACTCAGTAACTGAAAACAACAGGCATTTATTATTGCTCACCAGCCTGTTGACTTGTGCCAGGTTTGAGTGATTTTGGCTTGACTTGCTCGTGCATCTGTGGTCAGCTGGCAGGATGGCTGAGGGCTGCTTGGTCTAGGAAGACTTTACTCATATGTCAGGCAGCTGTTTGACAAACAGTGATGGTGACAGGATGACTGGGCCGTATGTCTCTGTCATCCAGTAGTGTGAGCTTGTTTGCAGGGTAATCATGGGGTCTGAGAGAGAGAGGGAAGAAGTGCCCAAAACCTGTTGAGGCTGAGGCTCAGAACTGGCACATCATCGCTTATACCACATTCTGTTGGTCAAAGTGAGTTCCGAGGCAGGCTTAGATGTAAGGGATGGAGAAATAGACTCCACTTATTGATGGGTGCAAATGCAAAGTCACATTGCAAAGGTGTGGCCTCAGGCAGGGGCAAAGGGCTGAGGGTATTTTTGCAATTAATCAACCATATTAAGGATGGCAATAAAAGTGGTGACTTTTCATTGCCACATTCTCCCTCCCAGACCAAGGCATAAAGGGCATGTACAGGCTCAGAAGTACCTTTTCCTCCACAGGAAAAGGGCTGGCCACAAGATACAGTGTGTTCTTGGTTGCACAGCTGTGGTGACTGGGGAATCGGGGGACCTGGTCCCTGCATGCACCACTGCTGGAGAACTGTGTGGACTCATTTGTGGCCAATGAAAGCCACAGAATCCCCAGTCCTTCCTGATACTCACTCAGTCACAAGGAGCCAGCACATAACTGAACATATGTATGTGTGTGTGCATGGTGGGGCCTAACACAGGTGCTAATACCCCTGTTGAACACCCCCCAGAGAAGGCAGCAAACACCAGGCCTTCTTTTAGCACCAGATGGCTCCCATTTTGCAAGTATCTGGTAGAAAACAAGGATAAATCAAAGTCCCAAAGTTCTCTCCCTTCCTCTCTCCCTCCTCCCAACCTCTCTGTCTCTCTCTTAGAATTGGGGTCTCACTCTATTGTCCAGGCTGGAGTGCAGTGGCACTATCACAGCTCACTGCAAACTCAATCTCCCCCGGGCTCAAGTGATCCTTCCACCTCAGCCTCCCGAGTAGCTGGGACTACGGGTGTGTGCCACTGTACTCAGTTAATTTTTTATCTGTCTCCTCTTTGAATAGAGCTCAAGTGATTCAGAATGAAAAGACCTTGGCACAGACCTGTTAAGGAAGCTCCATATAAGGTGAAGAAAACAACATGCTCAGCCATGTCCTTGCCTTCTGCACACGGTAGTGCATTCACTGCCTGAGAATTCAAGGCTAAAACAAAAAGAGGAGCTTTTGTTCCAACAGATAAGTACTTACCTTTTTCAAAAAATGCATAAGCTGTCCTGGGTGTTTAGCAGTTATTCGCACAGCTTTCCAAAGACTCACAGCATTTAAAAGCTAACTCTACAGAGATTCAACAGCTTCTTCCAGATCCCACCACAGTGGAAAAGAACTCCGGTGTCCTGGCTCCCTGTCCAGCTCTTCTCTCTCCCCTTCCAGCTGCCAGTTCAGCTTTAAGAAGTTCATTCTCCACATTCAGATGCAGGCAAATGCGTTTGACTTGAGCATATTGATTTCAGGCAGGTGAGAGTGGATGTAGCGATTCAGCTTGACAAATATTTAGATCAGTTAAGTGTCCTTTATAAAGAAGCACTTGAACTCAGTGTTTCCTTTACCCGACCATTTCACTCCACAAGCTACCTCCCCAGCATAAAATATTCAAATTATTTCTAAATTTCATCTACTGAAAAAATACTTCTAGGCCCTATAGCTACATGATATCTCCACTGGGAGCCCTGTCCTTTCCATGCCCTGGGAAAACCCGATCTAAAGCAGATTTAAATGACTCAGCAGTAGGACTCAGGTCTCTGTCTCTGCCTGCTTACTTGGGGAGTGCTCCAGCCTTAGGGGCTCTCTTGCACTCCAACATAGGAAAGAAATTATCGATGGCTCCATTCCCCAGCATTTGAGACTTTTCTTCCCACAGACACATTCCTGAGGACACCAGTCATGGGTAAAGAACTCCACTGGGGTCAGCGTTGGATCCCACTAGGCAGTTTAGGACTTGTAAGTAGAGTAGTGTGGACTTGGTGTTCCCAGAGCCTCTCACTCATGATTCATGGCTCTCCACCCCAAGCATCGGAACTTGCCCAACTTCACCACAGAAGGAAACAGACTGTAAGCTTGGAGGGCCAGGGAGGAAACCGGAGGCATGTGTGGGAGGATTAGAAACATGAAAAGATATTTACAGTAAGGTTCGCTTGTCATCCTCTTGAACTGGGGGTGCATAGAGTACAATAAGACCCCATGTGAGTATGTTAGATGATAAGGCTCAGGTTGGATGGGTGTGTAGAGTAAAGGCTTTGCATCACCTTTGCCAGGGTGAGGGAAGGCTATGGATAGCACAGGGGACCTTGATGATCGGGTGAGGGAGCCCATGTGGACATAGTGGTCACCAGCTACTTCCTAGTTCTCTACATGGGAGAAAGAGCCCTTCTCTGTAATCATGGAAGCTCAAGTTCTTGGTGGTTCAGAGGTTAGAGACCTCTGATTACTAGGACAGAGCAGAATAGCAGGGCTGGTCCTGGTAGATCAGACATCTCATGACATCCTTTAAAAGGGACTAGAATATTCAGAACTCCGGTGTAACTAAATGATCCTCAAGCTTTACCAGCAGGTGAGCAAGGTCCCATTGTATTTGGTACTCACATCCCCACCAATTCTGTAAAAGTTTGCCAACTTTCCCCTCCATCCCCTGCACCCTTTCACCAAAAGATATGCCTAAGAGTTCCCAAGAGACGTCTAACATAGGCCTGCATGTCAGCCCAGTCTTCTGGGCTGAGCTGCTGCACTGTTGCTGGCCTTGATGGCTGAACCTGATCTCTGTTGTGGCACCCACCACTCTTTCTCAAGCCTTGACACCTTGGCAGGCTTTGGCAAAAAGAGGAGAGCTGTTCTTCCTCGGCATTATGTTCACTTAGCAGGGTCCCACAGCAGGATTGCTTGGACCCCAGAGTATTGTAGGGCTTAATAAGACCAGCCCTTTCATCTCACACGCTCTATCCTTTCTCTCACTGGTGCACCCACGTCAGGTGTCTTGAGTGGGGAGTGCTCGAATATCTGCCACCAGCTTGAGTCAGAACCTCGACTTCCCTCAGCTTTTCAGGGTCTGTTACTGAGTCTGGTCCACACTCCAGGGTCTTTTCCTCACGGTCTGGGTCTGGTCTTTTTCAGGTGCCTACCTTTCCTCCCTGCAAACTGCCTTGAGTTGCCTCCCCTTCTCCCTTCCTTCCTGGTCTGTCAGAGACATCTTGTCTGGGTGCATATTTGAACCCCATCAGTAGACAGAAAACATGTATTTCCTTGAAGGCCCCTCAGACCCCAGGTACAAACATTGAAGTAAATAACAGCAGGGATGGGGGTTCTGCCTCGCTTCACCTGCCAGCCACGTGCAGACCTTGTTTCAGTCCAACTGAGACTTTAGCAAGTGCTTCATTCTGGTTTGTGAATGGCTTCCCAGTGTCTGTCACTGTGTTCACAGGGCCACCGGGGTTGGCTGAGTCAGAATACCAGCCATGTGGCATGTCGCATGGGGCAAGAGCTGTGCTGCCCATGGGAGTCCAGAGAAGGAGCACACTAAGGACCAACACCAGGTAGGCCTTGCCCAAACAGGACTCTAAAGAAGTTGGCCAAAAGAGGGTTGCAGATCTAGTAGTTTAGAAGTGGTGCCAAGATAAGGTCAGATTCCTTATCTTGAGCCACCTTGAGGGTGGCTGTCCTGACCACCTGCAATTGTTCACTACTCACCTGTATAGGCCAGATTGTGTCTGCCAGGCGGATGGACCAGGCTGGTTTGAAGGACCAGGGCAGATTACATGCCCCAGACAGGTGTTATACAGTGGTTAAAGCTCCTCCTTGTGTTTAAAGGATTATTTACAAAATGTAAAAAGACCCAAAGACTTTCATTCCTTTGTAATGTTGGGATTAAAATCTCAACTAACAGTAGTCTAACTGGATTGGAAATGGGGGATTTCCTATGGAAATTTCATTCTTTTGAATTCCAGCTGCATACACAGTAGATTTTTTCCCCCTATAAATGAAAGTGTATGGCAATCTGGGTATTCTCTTATTCAAGTAAAGATAGTAGTAAACTAAATATTTTTTAGTGAGAGGATTGCTTTATATTCTGCTTTTTCTGCTGTTGTTCACTAGGGCTTCTAATACAAATGTAGTATCACCCTCAATCAGCTCTTCTTATAATACCTGTTGTGTATGATGATGTGGATGCTTAGGGGAACAGGATAGGGGATCTCTTGTATTTCAGGGGATGCAGGCATGAGTGGATGGCCCAAGGTCAAATAATGAACTGAAGTTCATTATCTCTGTTTCCAGCTCTGCAGATGAGCAATATCATCACAACTAACCAATTGATCAATTATTCATTCAGTCATTTAATGAGAAGCTACTGTGTACCCATCCTTTCCTTGGCCTTCTGGACAGTTAGACATGGTGCCTGTCTTCAGATTGCTCACACACCAGTTGGAGACACAAAAGTTACATGCAGTAAGCAACAATCCCTAAATGCTCAACAGCTCACCAAGCCTGAATAGAGAGGAAGAGACCTTGGTGTGGCCTGGAAGGAAAGAGCAGCTTTGGGAAGGAGTGGCATAAAAGAGAGAACTTAATTCAGCAGTTTTTCTTCCTCTATGCCCAGATGGTATTACATGTGTTACTGGCCAGTGTTGGGTAACAGTGGCACTGATGTGGTCACTAAGGGGCCCTTGGTACCAGGGCTGGGACAAGGGTGGGGAAAGCAAGACATCTAGGCCCTTCAAGAATGAGCACCTCCCTAAATGATGTGCGTAGGTTGTCCCTCCCTGGCCTCTACCTAGTCCCAGTATGCTTTCTCTGCCTCTCTCTATTTCATTCTCTAGCTCCACCTTCTTTTTATTAGTGTTATTTTTTCTCCCTCCTGGTTGTTTTTCTCCATTCTTTCTCTTCTTTTTTTTTTTTCTTTTCCTTTTTACTAGTCTACTTCTAATACTCTTCCAGTGCCCCTCCGTAATCCATTCCAGAAGTTGCTGTATTCTTATGTAGACTGGTGCTAGAGGTCATGGGGTGGATGTAAACAATGTCTGCAACCTGCCTTAGCATTGTTATTTTTAATCCTGTGATAACAATAGTACTGACACATATTACAAGTCATGTCTTTGGATCTAGTTTCTGAGAAAGCCCAAGTTCTTTTTATGAAAGAACACCCATGTAAAGGAATGAGATGATCTAAGTTACATGAAGAAATTAACTGCAACAAAATGATATTAATACATTTGATATTCTTGGTCAACTAATGCTTCTAAACATCTTCCCTTCAGAGCATAAGCTCCTTTCTCATCTTATTCTCCACAGACTCCTCTCCATTGGATCTCTAGCACCTAGAATAGAGCTGGGTACACATGATGAGGTGCTTAATACGTATTTGTCAAATTGAATGTCAAGTTTTAGGAGTTTAAAGAGTGTTTTCAAATGGGGAGAAGCCGAGACACAAATAGTCTCAGGAATGAGATGAAATTATTTAACCAATTGGAGATGAAATTCGAAATGGAAACTATGACATGACTCAACATCCTCAAGCCCTGAAGTAATAATTAGCACATAAAGTTGGTCTGTTATGGACTTTGTGTTGTGCTCCCTGCAAAATTGGTATGTTGAAATCCTAACCCCCAATGTGATGGCATTGGGAGGTGGAGCCTTTGGGAGGTCATTAGGTCGCAAGGTTGGGGACTCATGAATGGGATTAGTGCCCTCATATGAAGGATCAGGAGAGAGCTTGCTTTTTCCTTTTTCTGTTCTCTACTTTGTGAGGATACAGAGAGAAGACAGCTGTCTGCAAACCAGAAAGAGAGTCCTCACTGCACTTCATATCTGCCAATGGATCCTTGCTCTTGAACCTCCCAACCTGCAGAATCATGAGAAACAAACATTGTGTAAGCCACCCACTCTACAGTAATTTGTTCTAGCAGACCGAGCTGACTGAGGTATGGTCTCATCACGTAACCACTTTTAACCTTAGTCTTTCTATCTGTAAAGTAAGTGGGTTAGAGAAATCATTCTAGAAGATGTTTCTGCTTTAAAACAAATTCTTCTATTTCCTTTCCAATGTGAAGTTTGGGTGGTCCCATTGTAAATGACTCCATTTGATTTTGGTTTTGAATTTATTGTCTTTCTTCCCACTTTCATCTCAGGTACTTAGTGCCGGTATGTGCTTTTGATCACAGCCTCAGAAAATAGAACAGTGTGTGGCATTGGGAGGTGGGGCCTTTGCTTAGGAGCTTTGAAAACAGAAGTAATTTTCTTGTCTGCATGTTCACAGTTTAAGCCTAAGTTCTTTAAGTTTTAGTCTGTATTAGTATTGGTTTCAAACATTTAATGTATGGATTATTCCTTTGGTTCCTGTATTCCTGCTTTCATAGGCATATTGACTTGTTAAATAAGGAAAATTAACTGAACTGTAGCCTAAGAATCAGAATCTTCAGGGCTAAAAGGAAAAATGTAGAGTTTGGTCACATCTCCACCCTGCTTTCTTCTGGGACCCTCGGGGTAAGGTAGCTGGTATTTGGTTGACATGGTCCAGGTATTGAATAGATGTCCATGCTTTCCTTTTCTTCAAGAATGAGGAAGTTGTCTTCAGATGCTGAAGTCGGAGTCTACATAAATAGCTGGGATATTATATCTGAGCAACCTTGGAGGAACAGTGTTCACCCTGCCTTTAGTTTTCTGCTAATGTTGTCCAACATTCTTTCCCAATTTGGTCTCCTTCTTCCTCTCCATTTTGGCAGTTCCACTGGCCTTCTTTTCTAATCTAGAAATGGTGATAGGGATGGTGGCTGCAAACACCAGAGAGGAGTTGGCGGAGGGGGTAGGGATGGTGGGGGGAGGCTATTCTTTGACGAGGAATAAAACAGAAGCCTAACTGTAAGGCCATCAGTTCACCCTCTGAGTGTGAGCAGCAGATGATAGCTTCAGATTATCTGGGAAGACAGTCACCTTTTAGAGCAGGAGTTGCAAACTGGCAGACCAGCAGTGAAATTTAGCCACAAACGTAATTGTTCAGCCAGCAAAGTGTTTGGAATATATTTTACAAAGGTCCACAGGTCTTACCACCCCTAATGTCTTGTTCTGGACCTGACACACACTCATACAAATTGCTTGTCCCTTTGTGGGGAGTTTTCTTTTACAATCTAGAGTCTGATCTCAGATAAAACTTCTTCTCCTACCAAAAGAAGATCCACACCAACTCATCATCAACTCACTTTTTCTCCATCTTTAGTTTAGGCCATATCAAAAACATTGATAACCATCTCTGTAGACAGTAACCGCAAAAATTGCAAAAATTAATATCCAGATTCACTATTAGAAATCGGCTGACTCCATGTTTTACAGCCTCTCGTTCAACTTTTCTCTGCTGTGCTAGACATGTGACAAGCCAAACTCTCTCTGTGTTGGTCTTCACTGTGCTGAGCTCTGTTGGAAGCCTCTGGGAGCTCAGTGTGCAAAGGAGATAAGCCAGGAGCATGATGCTTGTTTAATGGTTCTCTCTGCAGTGTCCTTGTTTTCTCAGCTCCTTTTTTCTTGCCCATTTCCTTGGCCTTTTATCATAAATTCCCTGTGTTGTTTATATACCACTCTTGGCAGGATTGCCCACTGTATTCCTTCATTAGCTTGGTTTTATAAGGGAAAGGACACTAGGTGTCTTAGTCTGTTTGGGCTGCTATAAAAATACCTTAGACTGTGTCATTTATAAACAGAAATTTCTTGATCACAGAATTTTCTTGCTTCTGGAGGCTGGGAAGCCCAAGATCAAAGCACCAACAGATTTTGTGTCTGGTAAGGTCTCATCCTCTACTTCATAGATGGCACCTTCTTGCTGTGTCTTCACATGGCAAAAGGGGCAAACAAGCTCCCTCAGGCTTCTTTTACAAAGTTACTTAATACCACTCATAAAGGTGGAGCCCTTGTGACCTAATTATCTCCTAAAAGTCCCCACCTGTTAACACTACTGCATGGAAGATTAGTTTTTAACATATGAATTTTGGAGGGACACAAACATTCAGCCTACAATACCAGAGTACTATTTGATGTTTTCTCTCTGTCAGCATTTTGATACTCACATATACTGGAGCAACACTTTTTTTTTTTTTTTTTTTGAGACAGAGTCTCTCTCTGTCACCCAGGCTGGAGTGCAGTGGCACAATCTTGGCTCACTGCAACCTCTGCCTCCCAGGTTCAAGTGATTCTCCTGCCTCAGCCTCCTGAGTAGCTGGAATTACAGGCATGTACCACCACACTGTGCCCAGTTAATTTGTTGTATATTTAGTAGAGATGCGGTTTCACCATGTTAGCCAGACTGGTCTTGAACTCCTGGCCTCAAGTGATCTGCCCACTTCAGCCTCTCAAAGTGCTGGGATTACAGGCATGAGCCACCTCACCTGACCAAGCATCACATTTTAATAATTTCATGTAGCACCCTTTGGCCAAGCAGCTGTTTTCTCTTTCTGGACCCTACTTCATCACCTTACAGAATTTCATGGTGTCAAACGTCTCTGATGTCAGAGATTTGCCTACCCCAAAGAGCATTTTCTCCTCTTCACTTCTGTGTAAGAATCTGGAAACCCCAAACACTTGGAAGGTTAAAGGGAAGGCCATTTGATTATCTCTAGGATAGCACAGAAGCGAGTCCTACTGGGCGGACTGCGTAGGGGGTTGGGTTTTAAGACCTCTTCAGTCTTTTCTAGCTTTTCTTTTTTTTTTTTTTTTTTAATTTAATGCAATAAGTTCATTGGGAAGTGTTCTCAGGGTCAACATTGTTGAGGGAGTAAGTAAAGCAGGACTGAGCATAGGGAGATGTTGGACTGTGATGCAGCATGGCATTTTTTGTTTGTTTGTTTTGTTTTGTTTTGTTTTCCCATGTCTTAAAGGGGCACTCTGGAGCTGGAACGGATTTTCAGAGATGTCCTGAATCAGGGCAAGGGGACTAGGTCTTTATAACCCACACAGACCAGTAAGTCAATGCAGGATTCCCTCAGGAAAGGGGGGTGTGACTTCAATCATATTTCAGTTCTTAGATTCTGCACATGTGTGAAAGGACGTGTTTGGCTGTTTGTATAAAGCAATCTGCATATATATCCAAAGTCCTCAGAATCTAATGCCTCACTAAGGTATTCTATGATTATTGCCTTGAAAATATTGTCTGTGAATGACGTGGGTAACCACAATTATTAGTAACAGAGTATTTGCTTCAGCTAGAAGGAAGGGGACAAAGAAAAACATAGCATGCCAGGAGGCAAGACTGGATACCAGAGAGGATGACAGAGGGGGTGCGTATGGAGAAGGAGACCTCACCCTCCAATGAACTTCTCAGAATGGAATCTGCTCAATGTCTGCCTTGGGCACGAAGCAAGCCATGTTTTATCTTTAGCTTCTGCTAGAGGAGTCTGAGTATTTTCTCAGCTTACCTTTTCCAATATCTCAGGCTGTTCACTCTGGGTGCCTCACTTGAGGATTTGACCTTTTCTCCTTCTTTGTGATGGTTGTTTTGAGTTTACAAGGAATCAAATATTTTGTGGGCATCCTGGGGTTTGACTGTTCAGGGGGGAGCCAGAGACAGTACAAAGCCAGTTTCCCACTTTTCAGGCTCACTGAGTGATTTGCAGAATGGAGGGGGCTTCTGACACATGGAGTGTGAATTGTGTGCATAAGCAACTCAAAACCCAGGCAACCTTCAGCTCAGGGTTTCCTGTGAATCAGCTGGGTTTTCTGGCATAGCAGTGAGCAAGTGGCATTAATGAGGTAGGCATAAGATGATGCCAAAGGGGCTCGTCCATTCAGTAGGAGTTGGGCATAGCAGTGGTGGAGAAACAATAAACGAGGGGGCTGTTTTATCCCCTCCCCCTCCTTTTTTTTCTTTTTCTTTTTTTTTAACAGTAGCAACGTTTTGGCTGATTAAAGTACTTTTCGTGGTTCCGGGAGGGAAGTGCCTTTTGTACTACACACTAGAATGTCAGTTCTCATTACTGAACCCTGGCTGTTCAAATGCTATCTGAATTCTCCCCAAGGCCTCCTTGGGGAGGCTGTAGGCAGAAATTTCAAGGAGCTTATGCCAATTATTTTCTTTCTATCTACATATTGATGGCTCACCCACAGTAATCATGTGAGTCAGGTGCTATGAACACAGTTTCCTTTATTTCATTCATGACTTTTAAGACAGATAAGTTTTTTTTTTTTTTAACACTTTTTTCCCCTTAGCCTCTGCAACTGCTATTTGTGTTGTCTACTTGAGAATTACATGGCAAATCAGAGGGAGAAGTGACCCAGATTTTTTTGGGGGGTGGGGATGAGAGATAATTGTTTGGGCATTATTTTTGTTAATACCTGAGTTAGTCAAGGACATATAACATAAACATATTCTGAGGCCTCAGTGGTGGGAGCAGGTGTCAAACTCTGGACTGCATTGCTTAAGAAGTCTATAATTTAGTCATTTTGTTGTAAGTTACAGATTTTACTCTGTCAACTCACAAGGGAAAAGAGGAGTTAATTGAAGGATATGTAGTAGTCATTTAGCAAAAGCCAATGCTGAAAATCAAGTATCAGAAAGTACTGGAACTAGAGAATTTAAGTAGCAGGAAGTAATAGTCTCTTTAGGGAAGTACCAGTGTTTCACGTCATCTTCAATTTCTTTCCTTTTCCTGTTCAAGGTTAAAATTCCTATGCGAATCTGACTGACCCAGCTTGGGCTTCATTCCAACCTCTTGGCTAGATAAGAGTGTGGAACCTTAACTGATGGTCCCTTTGACTGCCCGCCACAAGGGAAGATCCAAAGTGTGGCAGAGAGTGACCAGGTCCCAGACAGGCAAAATCAGCAGATGTCCATTCGCAAGCCAAAAGAGCTCCAGGTGCCCTAGAAAGGGACATCAATGCCCCAACCTTACACTGTTCCTTGTTGTTAGTGCAGAGTGGCAGGACAGCCTCTGGGTCCCTTTCCCCAGTGCTCCGGGATGGACTCCATGTTGCCCCCTTTGGAAGAAAGATGAATTACAGTTATCCTTCTTGGTAAAGTGATCACAAAAACCAATCCATTTTAGCAGACTCAATTCCAATTTGAGAGGAGAGGCTAGGGCACAGAGTTGGCAAAGACTCTATCTCCCCAGGTTTCGGAGATTTGTCTTGAGTGGCTGTGAATGCTGAAAGGGAAGGCGATGATTCTCTAAACCCTTGTTCTCAGGCCCTCTGATGGCCGCCATTCCTTCAACTGCTCAGATGGGCTCCTATCAAGTCCTAGCAGGCCTCATGTGTATTATTTATTTGATTTTTTAGAAATTGTGCCATTTGCTTTTAAGGAACCTCTGGGAATGAGCATAATTAAGCATAGATTAAAATGTCTGAAAGACTAAAAACCACCATAGCGATACAGTAAAACGAACACAAGAAGCTTAGAAACAGCCTCACATTGTCATTCCATCACAGAATCCCCGTTTAGAATGATACCTAAAAATCAAGCCTTACTGGAGATGATCAAACTGAGATTTCAGCTTTTGGACTTTAACCGTGATTCTAACGATTTGTAAAGAATAGTATGGGACATAGGTCTTCTACACCATCAATGGAGGCACAAAG
This sequence comes from Homo sapiens, assembly GCF_000001405.40. Taxonomy (NCBI): domain Eukaryota; kingdom Metazoa; phylum Chordata; class Mammalia; order Primates; family Hominidae; genus Homo; species Homo sapiens. The sequence continues at coordinate 207,229,802 of NC_000002.12, read as the reverse complement.
GGCATCACTCAGATTTGAAGGAGGAGCAGATGAAGGAGGAAAGAAAGAAGAGAAAGGAAGAGGAGGAGAGAAGGAAGAGAAGAAGTAGCGGGTGGAAAAAGAGGAGGAGAAGGACCCCCTGAAACTCCTAAAAAAAACACTGCAGGGGATTCTGGTGCCCACCAATGTCTAGAATTTTGCTACGAGCCAAGTAATGTTCTGGGTAAGACAAACAAACTGTCAAGTGCAGAGACATTAAACAAACAATGAAGATATTTATATAGAGTCATAACTTCTATGAAGGAAATTGTGACTGAGACAGAGTTGCTGGGTGGCCACTCAAAGTTGGGTGCTCAGGGGACTTCTCTCTGACAAGATGAAGTCAGTGGAGAGAAGAAAGCAGCCTTGGGAAGACTGGGGAGGAATTTTCCAGTAGAAGGAGTAGTGATTGCAGGGGCCAGGAAATGAGGCAGGATGACGTCCAGGTTGGCCTTTCCTGGAGCATCTGGGGAGAGGAGCAGGAGATAAGTAAGTCAGGTGAGTAGCAGTGGGGTAGGCAGGGCCAACGCTGAGAAGAAGAAGTCATTTCACACCCTTTCTCGGGGCCTGCTTTTAGGTAACTCTATCAGTTAGGTGCTTTGGGCTACAAGTAACAGAATCCTAACTGGTGGTAGACTAATCATATAAATTAATTTTTAAAAATCTAACAATAAGTCTGGAAGTCAGCAGTTCCAGGGTTGGTGGAGCAGCTCAATGACATCAAGTTCCTGGGACTTTTCACATTTTTATCCTTAATATCTCAGAGGTGATTTCTCTCATAATTTTGAAAAAGATGCTTCAACTCTAAACTCTGTGTCCTCATGTGGCAGCGGGCCAAACAGAAAAGAGGATGCAAAAAACATGTTCCTTGTAGAGCTCTTTCCTTTTATCCAGGAGGAAAATCATCCCCTGCTGTCCCCCAGCAGATTTCCTCTTAACACCTCTCTGCACAGACTGACTATGTGTGCACCCCAGACTGGGAGGGTCTAGGAGGGGGTGAGCTCAGGGAAGGCCCTATCTGTGCCCAGCATGGGCAGCTGTCCACAGGGATTATTTGAGAAATGTTTGCCCACATTATCTTAGGAAACTAATGGAGTAACTGAAGTAGGGAGGATGTTCTGGAGGAGGCTGTTGTTTCGGGTTCACTTGGAGGAACAGGGCCAGAGTGGTCTTGGCTGGGGTTTGCTGGAGTGGGAGGAGGGGGCTGCTGGCATGCTGTGGAGGACACAGCCCACCAAGCTGTTCTTGGAGTGTAAGATGGAGCAGAGGGGAGGGCGAGCTGAGGGTAAGAGGTGCAGGCTCTGGAGAGACTCCGTGGGTGCAGCACCACTCACTAGCCTTGTGCTGTCCTGGGCTTCATCATCTATAAAATAGGAGTGACAGTAGGGCCGTTTCAAAGGGTCTTATGACAAATACGCATTTTATACATGTAAAAGCACACAGAGCAGTAGTGGCATGAAGCAACCAGTCAATAAAGGCTGGCTATTATTTTATTGTTCTTCTGTACCATCCACCTCTTCCTATGTCAGATTATTCCACAGTTTGTTGCAGATTTTACACTTTCTTTACAGATCACAAAGAATCTTCATGTGTGCCAATTCACTGGCCACTTGGTCTCTCTACCCTCTTGATGATGTCTGTGGTCATAGCATGAGAAATCCCTTGGTGCTACCAGACCCATAGGGGGTAGAAGTCTCACAGGAGCCTTTGTGAAGGCCCAGCCCTGTTCCTTTTAAGGGACAGCTCACCCAAGGGGAGTGTTTTGAGAGTTTGGATGAGAGTGGTCTTGGAGGTGCCTCAGAACCGGGAACTGCAGCAGCAGCTTCTTTGAAGCTCATGAGGTCGGGGTGTTCTTGGCATTGCCTCAGTTTCTTCTCACTGTGCCTTGGGGGCTGGGGAGAGGGGAGAGGTGATGAGAGGAGAAGCACAACCTTTTGATTTCTTTCCTTGCTGCTGAGAAGCTTTCACTCCCTCCGGAGTCTGGGCATCTGTGGGAGAGCTGGACTGTTTTATAGCAAGGATTTTTTTCCCCCTTCTCTTTTTTTATTTTCCCATCAACACTTGTCAGGGATTCAAGGCAAAAAGCCTGGCAAAGGCCTGGGCTTCTGCACCAGCGCAGGCAAAAGATGGGTCTAAACAGGGAACAGAGCGAGGCATTGTTCCAACACTGCAGAGTGGGGAAAGTAGGTCAGGGAAGAAAATGCAGGTTTGACAGAGCTGGGAATTGAACTTGTCACCTCAGAGCCCATTGGTGTAGAAAGTGAACAGCCAGCAAGGGACCAGGGAGGAACTGAAGTCTGCTGCCCGGGCAGGGGCAGACACACGCTGTGAAAAGCCGCCTGCATGACGGTCACTGCCCCCTTCCGCGTCATGGCCGAGCTGCCATCTTCCCCCTCCCCCCACCTCATACCCTGGGAAACTACACCAAGTGATCATTCTAGACAGCAAGAGCAGCTGAGACTCTCTCTGGAGAGAATGCCAGGCGGCAGCTTCCCAGCCACCAGCTGCATTTGCGGGACTGGGATTTGAGACAACCACCCCCCCTCCGCCCCGCCCCCTCGTCCGCCCAGAGAGGAGGCTCTAATTACAATCAACATCACCTTCTAGGAAACTTCTTGCATGAATGGCTACCAGCAGAGAAAAGCTTTCTCCTCATCACCCTCCTGGTTAGCACCGTGGTGGCTAGGGGTGCTAGACGTACCCGAGCCTTGGTAACTCTCCCACTTTCTCTGAGTCCAGGCACTGAGCGATTTCGAATGAAGGGTGCTTTTTACAACGCTAAGGAAGTTTCAGATTGGAAGCAGCTCCAAATTCTTTGCTCTGATAGAGGCCTCCTCCTCCTCGCAGGTCTCAAACATGCTTCAGTAGCAACAAGAGGGACTTTGAATTGGTCATTTCAGGCCTGCCTGCCACACCTTGGATACCAAGAAATGAAAGTTTATTAGACACTCCTTCATTGAGTACTTTCAACATACACTTGAATCTGAAAGATATGCATAGCCACAAAGACCACAAACTTATGTGCCTACCACTTCTCCCTGGTCTTTGTTCTGTAATTAGTGACTTGTTTTCCCTCTTTGTGAAATGGGGATAGCATTGGGAATAACACCATCTCTTTGTAATGGAAAGGTTATCTGATTGGATGCAAAGACTCAAACTCCATTTCTGCTTAGTTCACTTACCAAAATTTGTCACCTCCAGATTCCTCAGCTATAAAATGAGGACAGAGTGTCACATAGAGCAGAGTTGTAAGGATTCAACCACAGATAAATGAGTTTGATATGTGGAAGCACTTTTCCCAGGCCTGGCACCTACAGGAAGCTGAATCCAATCCAGGAAGCTGCTCCCTTCCTTCCTCCTTGTTGATAATGCTGAAAGAATTTCTGGTGGGAGTATCTGGGAATAGATATACTCAGGGCTGGCTCTAAATAAACAAGCAAACAAACAAAGGGAGCAGAGAATAGGATCTGTCTGGTCACCTTGTCTTGCACATGTGGCTGTTTAAATAAAAATTAATTAAAATTCAATAAAATTAAAAATGCAGATTCTCAGTTATGTAGCTAAAAGTTAATCATTCAATGGCCACATGTGAGTAGTGGCTCTCATATTGGACAACACAGAGACAGACCATTTCCATCATTCCAGAAAGTTCTATGGGACAGTGCTGAGAGCATTCTTACAGAAATGAGCCTTGCCCTACCAATGAGAACAAGCTTCTTAAAGCAAAACCCAGATTTCCTTTCACCTCAGAGTGCGTCGTCTTCTTTTAAAGACGTTGCCTTTAAGACACACAGTATTTATTTCATAGCCTAACCAAGAAAACCACACTATGTACCCAGGTGTGTTCACATCCCCCTTTCAGCTGGTCTTGTACATGTGTCTTCTGACCAGCTTCTACGCCCCCTGCCAAGCAGGTCGGGGGAAGACCCTACGAAAACAATGTGGGTGCAAATTGGGCTTTCCTATTTCATAGACCTTGCTCCCCTGGATGGCTTTGTGCCTAACATAAAGGGAGAAACATACCACCACATTCTGTAATTGTATTGTGGAATATGAGATGACTTTAAAACAGATAAGAGTGCCTACTCTGCCTGCCTTCCAAGAGCTGGGTCAGAAAAGAGTTTTTATTTTCTTGGTGCAATGAAGGAGGCAGTTTTTATTATTGGGGGTAATATAAGGAAATTGGGAAAAAGACTTTTTAAAGAAAAATGAGTGTTGTGAAAAGAGGGACATTTCCTAAATCCCAAGTCACCTTAGCCTCTGGCCGGCAATATTAGTGAAAGGACATCCCTGGTCATTTTACACGGGTGTGGCTAAAGCCCCAAGCACTGGTCACTGTGGGCTTCCACACGACACCCCTTCCTGCAGGGCAGTGAGCTCACACTTATTCAATCGCTCTCACTTTCTGTGATTCAAATAGAGCAGAAGTTTCCAGGAGGGATTAAAATGTACACCTGAATGACTCCAGCCCACTCCAGCCCAGAGAGAAGCAAAATCGGTGTGATGGGGGCGGGGAGGCATGAAATAAGTCAAGGTTAATTCAGCATGTGAGGAAAGTTTGAATTATTCATTTTCTGACCCTGTACCAGGTACTTTTTACTGCTATAGTCTCTTTGGGGGCAGAGTAGTCACACATGTGTCTCAGCCATCTTTTAAACACATGCTTTGTCTTTTAGTTTTAAGCAAAGGGTTGCGAACATAGGACTTTGGTGCCAACAGCAGCCTGGGAGATGCCTTTTAGGAGCACCCAAATGTGGTACAGCTGAGAGGAGGGAGGGAGCAGCCACTTAGCACTTCCATCCCATTTACGCTAAGTGATTGGGCAGGAGGAGAGGAAAGATTAAAAGCAAGAAGTGAGAAAAGCATCTAAGGGTTTGGAGGAGGGCAGGAAGGAGGAGGAAGTTTCATAGAAGAGGCGTGATTTGGTTTCCTTAAGTCATCAGAGCTCTTTCTTTGTCTTTAAATGACATTTCCAATTGGAAATTCATCTGAACAAGAGAAAAAGAGACAAAGCTCTATTGATTTAAAGAGGCAGGGAACATCATAGAAAGATTCTAGTACATATTAAGAGAAATCAGAACTGTGGACCTTGGCTAGGTTGTTCTTGTATATTAGAGGCTATTTCTCGCCTCTCATCCCACTGTGAAGTGAGTATCACAAAATATGCCAAGCAGTTTCTGGATCTCAGGCTGCTTTGGCTGGCATTTTGTTTAGCTTGTGACATTCTTGGCTGTTCTTATTCTGGTGGGCATCAACACTGCCCAAATCTGTTGGATTGAAATTCATGTTCAGACTACTCCTTTGTTCTAATAACTACTCCATGGCCATCATCCCTGACCAGGTTGAAATAGTGGAGTGTGTATATTCCAGTGCTGCATCTCTGCATTTGTGAGGGTGGAAGCCTCACAAAGAGTTGTGGCCATGTTTACAGCAGGCTGCCATGCAAGGCTAGTGGTAAACCTTTCAGATGCAGGAACTGAGATGTATCCATGCACAAAATGTGCTTGGCGGTTCTAGAATGCAACCTTATGTTTCTGGTTGAATCTAACTCAGAAGCCATTTAAAGTACAGGTCACGGCCGGGTACGGTGGCTCATGCCTTTAATCTCAGCACTTTGGGAGGCCAAGATTGGTGGATTACGAGGTCAGGAGATTGAGACCATCCTGGCCAACATGGTGAAACCCTGTCTCTACTAAAAATACAAAAATTAGCCAGGCCTGGTGCTGTGTGCCTGTAGTCCCAGCTACTCGGGAGGCTGAGGCAGGAGAATCGCTTGAACCTGGGAGGCGGAGCTTGCAGTGAGCCAAGATCGCACCACTGCACTCCAGCCTGGGGACAGAGCAAGACTCTGTCTCAAAAAAAAAAAAAAAAAAAAAAAGAGAGAGGTCACAAACTCAGATACCTACAGAGGCCCAGGTAGATGTCAATGACTGAAGAAAATGAGTGAAGTGGGATGGGAGTAAGGTAATGGGAAGCAGTAGGGATGGGGGCTAAGTGGAGAGCATACAGCCAGTTCAAGAGAAAAACTAGAACTCAGCTTCAGCAGATTGGTGTCACACAGGGCTGGGTTTTTGAGATAATCTAGAAATTCATATTTTTGTGAAATCTCTTAATTTTTTAAAATATTGGCCCAACGTAGATGGTCTGGCCAGGCAAAAAGCAGCCATGAGCCAGATTCAACCAGTGGGACACCAGTCTACAAACCATGATTTGGAAACCTCTCTGACAAGCCTGGTTCTAATGCAGTGATTTGCAAAAGTAATCAGCTTCATGGCTCCCATGATCCTGAAATGCCCCCTTAATGGCACTAGTATCAAACAAGGCCAAGGGGCTGAGACTGTAAACTCCTTTCATGTGCAGCCATTTTGCTAAGTGGCTCTTACCAGCTGTAGGCTGTAGAGTTCCTCACCCTGTTCCAAGCATGGTCTGGTCCTTCTTGGGGATTGGAAATTGTGCTCTCACTCCTCTTCCAGCTAATTGCTTTAATGCATCCTGAATGTATCTAGGCTGCCGCCCCTAACCACTGGGTCATCATTTATTCACAGGCCTGAAGTCCCTTAAGCAGCCTCCTGCTGGCCCACACGCTGCAGGGGATTAATGTAGTCTGGTTGGTGAGTCAAAAAGAAAGATGACATCATTTTCATGTCAGGAATGAGGATGTGTGTTTGTCTATGTACGGGTTATAGAGTGCAAAGACAGGAAAACTGAGGCTACTTCTTTTATAAGGTAGCACAATAGCCCCCTCCCTCTTTGTCTTTTGCTTTCAATCCAATCTGGCTTCTCCCAAGTGAGTTATTAATATGGGACACAGCCTGACTTCTTCCCTTCTGTCTCCTCATATAAATCCAACTAATTAATTTACTTTAACAAGAGGAATCTTTTTCTATCTCTTTCCATCTTCGTCGTTCAAGCTCAGTTTCTCTGAATTCAAATCCAAGATACACAGCTACTTCAATAATTACACTTTGAACTTTATCTCTGAGGCTCAGTGTGCAGAGATCTCTTATTTTGCGTCATCAGATCCACTGTCATAAGCTAAGGGAAAAAGAAATCTTAAGTAAAAGGGTTATTAAATGAGAAGAAGAGTTAGAGAGGGCAGGTAAAGACCAGACTCATATTCTGTCTGGTTCAATTAATGAAGGGAAAATGGAAAGAATACTGCAGGTGCTGCAAACTGGACAACCTAAAGATATTTACACATTTTTTTTTTAAAGCTCCACTACGTTGAGTTCATTCAATACCACAGAATGGTGGCAACAGAGTGCCTCCTCCTGAACAATTACTTGGTTAAATCTTGTGTCTTCTTTTAACATATGAATGGAAAACTCCACCAAAATATGCCATTTGTTGCCAGTTAGCCCAATTAGAAGCCTCCCCACCCTTCCAAAAAGAAAGCTGAAGCAAACAGAGCTGTGTTGGTTTCAGGGATGCTCTCTCGTAAAACGGTATCTGCATGCCACAAGCTGAAGGAAAGGTTGATCCTGCAGAGGAAATTCAGGTCAGAACTGACAAAGGTGAGATACGGGAAATGCAAGAATAAACTAGAGATTGCCTTGTGTTCCTCCCAGCTGCAGGAAGGCGTGGGAATGATTCCCCATGTGAATGAGCACTGGTGGAACTTCCCAGATCATTGCTTAGAGCTCCTTTAATTCTTTCCTTGGTGCTGCAAGGGATTTTTCTTTTTTTGTGGAAAGTGTCAATGCTTGTCTTTCAAAAGCACCACCCCCACGCCTGCCACCCCCCAAGAAAAAGTAAAAAGAGGACTTGAAAACCAAGTGCCATCCTGCCCATTTGCACACCCATGCAGAGAGGAGTCAGGAACTGCTAATGAACGTACCAACTGTGTATGAAAAATCAGCCAAGCTCAGGCTTTGGGCTTTCATTTCTCTGCTGAGATCCTGACTCTAGACTGCCTGTGAGAAACATGAGCATGGCTTCAACCACAATGTGAACAGAGAGCAAGACTAATAAAAGTGAGGTTCTCCTGGAATATGAGTTAAAAATGAGCACTGTCTTGGAGCAAGCCAATTGTATCCCATTATTATTTCCTGACTTGGTCTGGTAACATCTTAAAATACAAGCAAAACTACCTTCTTCTTTTTAGGACCTATGACCTTTTAAATCTTGCTTTCCAAGATTTAAGAACTGGCAAGTATGGTTACTTTTTAGAATAAGTTTCCTATTCTTTCCTCACTTCGTCTCGCCTCCCTCCCTTCTTTCCCTTTTTCCTCCCTTCTTTTTAATACAATAAACTACCTAGCTATTTTTGACTGAAATGGATCAAAATCCGGATGAGTGCAATCTTGAGTATGTCTAGAGACATGTGCGTCTAGAGTATGTCTAGAGACAAGCTGCACCCTTTGTGCAGCTTTTCTGCGCATTCATGTCTATCATAATAATAATAGCTACTATTTATTGAGCATTCAGTATGCACCGAGCATTGTGCTATGAGCTCTGCATATATTACCACATTTAATGCAATTATTAAAACTGAAGAAAAGTGGAACTTCTCCTTTCTGTATTTCAGTAATTCTTCATTAATATTCCTTCATAGATATGCCACTATACCTAGCCCAAGCCCAGATGATGACTACTGCCAAGGATAAGGTTGTTTCAATGTGTAAATATTATTTGTATTCTAGAGGCAAGTGGGAGATGTCGTCTTCAAAGCAGTAAATCTGTGCTCACTTTCTGGAAGTTTGCTCCCAAGGGACTTGAATGTCTTAAAGTGAATTAAATTATTTGCTTCCAAAGCTTGGTCTTGGGCAAGCTATTCAATCTCTTGTGTGTGAATTTCCTCAACTTTAAAATGAGACTTAATGGGTGTATATGAGGGACTTAGAACAGTACATGGCATATTAATTGCTCAGTGAACGTTAGCTATTATCATTGTCATTGTTAAATTATCACAACACTCTGAAGAAGGCATTATCATCCCCATTTTACAGATGAGGAAACTGAGGCAAAAAGAATTCAATAACTTGCCCAAGGTCACATAGCAGTCAGTGAGGGAGGTGATGATTCTCACCCTAGGTTACTCTCAGTTCAGAATCTACAAGTAAAATATGATTTTACCTCTCACTATAGAAAGTGATATGTGGTCATGGCTGTATAGAAAACTTCTTTCTCCTATAGGAAACCTGAGCTATAAAGTAGACATAAAATGTCCTGAAGACTGGAAACGTGTCACATGAGAAGCATTTTCGATCCCTCTGGTAGAGAAGGAGTGCTTAATTACCATGTGCCACTGCTGTTAACCTTTGCAAATAAGTCTAATTATCACAGATTAATGAACAGAGCTTAGGCACATCTAAAGGGGCTTTGCTGAGGGGTTTTCATTTCTGCATTTCATTAGCTCCATAAACGCTGTTGTTCCCCATGCACACGGTTATAGGACTTTTATTATTTTTTTAGCTGCGCTCTGTGAAATATCAACAACAGAGCCTGCGAAATAGCTCAGGGCAGGGATCGCTTTCCAGGAAATCTTTAGGAAGCCTGTAAGTTGGGTGGCTGCTGCTTCACTGTTTACTGATGAATCATGCCACATTGGTTTATAGGGAATAAAGCCTTAGACAGTCGCCAAGGAAACAGGCTGAGATTTTGGAAATATCTGAAACCACAGAAAAAATTTCCAGAAAAAAATCAATGTCTTAGTCAAGAGTCAGGTTAACCTTATCTGCATCAAGGTGAGTAAGAACAATGGAAATACAGCTTAAAAGATCCATTCCTGTCTGTACCATGACTTAAAACCATACATACCATGTTGTGATTCTCAGAAAATGTTCTCTTTGAATAGAAACCATGTTTGCTATACTCATCCTGGAAAGTGGCCATCCTGCTGGTCCTTAGAGCAGGCTGTGCCTGGGAGCCATCTTTGAATATCCTCTGAGCTCAGAGGGAGAGACATACCTCTAGTGAGGATCCTGGAAACCTCCGTGTGACATTGTGGCAAGAGAGCAAGCTGGTAGTTCGCAAAGGGCTGCCGCCATTCAGAGGCTGGGACCTCAGGAAGATCTTTGGCACAATCTACTAGACACGTTTCATTAATAAATGATTAGATTTGCAAATCTTGTCAGTAGAGATTGCTATCACAGAATTAATGAAATAAATAATGAAACATTTCCAGTGTTTCTGGCTGGCTTTCAGAGCAGAGTAGATCTCTGCCTTTGTTGCAATTTATGGCTGTCTCTTTGATCAACTCCTGGGGAGTTCAAGGAATGATTTTCCTGCTTCCAACACACGCCTTCGGCTTTTAGGTTTGCCTTTTTTTTTTTTTAACTTGACTTTTCATATCATTTTGAGCTTCAAACACAAAGGTTCCCCAGGATAATTTCAGATAAAGAAACCCAGCAGAGTGAATAATCTGCAGTAAAGAAAATCTGAATTGTACTTTGAGAAACAACCCATTTGATGCTGGGTTAGGGAAGGGGTACGGGAGGGATTTTGCTCACAAATGAACACAAAAAACGTTCATGATTTTATTCAAATGTCTCCATTCTGCACAGCCTAAAGCTGAGAGCATTTCCTGATCCAGAAGCAAACCAAGATGCCACCCAGTGTGGATTACCCAGCAGGCAGACAAAGCATATGTTCAGGACATTAGCAATGCCAGGTGGCTGACATTTCTTTTGTTCAAAAAGAAGAAACAAGATTTTTCATATCTCAAAAAAAAAAGTGTCAAAATAGTCATGGAGAAATCAGAATGTTGTTGGAGAAATAAAAGCTCATTTTCTGACTTAGTATTATTTTAATTTGAATTACTATCAGGCACAAGAGGGAATGGAGCCCTAACATCTGTTCACCGTATGGGGCTTCTAAAACTCTTCATTTGCCTGGTAATATATGAAATTTCTTCCTTCACCCATTCTAGTCATAAGGCAATGTGGCCATTATCTGTAAGCCTGACATTTTGGGTAATCTTTCAGAGGAAAGCATAATATTAACAATATAAATAGATTTTCGGTTCTCTCCCTCCGCATCCCCACACAGTATGTGAATAGGCACACACACCATTTCTGGGAAATCAGTGAGTCCAAAAGTCACAGTCCTGATTGCTGCTGGACTTGACTTCTTGGGAGCTACCATTATGCTTATTGGGCAAGTTACAATGGAGCCAAGTTCAAATCCATCCAATTAAAAAATCCAATTAAAAATGTACCTTTGAGTATCTTAATCCTTTCTAATTTCATCCCGTGGCACAGCAATTCTACAGGCAAAACACTTCAGGCTTTGTCTCTTTACATGGTTTAGATTATTTCTTTGGGAACAAGATACTTTCCCAGTAGAAAAAGACTTGAAAAAGTAGTTAATTGTTAAGTTGAGGAAATAAAATTAATGCTACAATTATAAGGATCAGAGCAAAACAAACAATAAAAACTGCCCTTTAGGTTTGAAGAGGGGTCGTCAGGATCTGTCTACAAGGGGGTAAATATTTTTGCACTGTAGTTTTATGATACTTTTTTTACTTATCTCCCAGAATTAACTACTTCTCTAATGGGAGTTTAAACATTTGATTGGTTCTACTCTCCGAGATGAGAATTAGACTTTATTGTTATCAAATTATTACTCTATTTTATTGATTCTAAATTGCACAATTTTTTCACATTCTGTCAATTCTGAAATCATGAGGCATATCAAAATCACCATCAGCCAAGCAGCAGTCATGATGTACCACACATGGACGTTGAAACTTTCAAAATGGGAGCCAGCTACTGCAAAGGAAAACTGTAGGCAATGGAAGCAGGGCATCAACAATGCTCTTAATGGCACAGAGCATGATGTTGGGTGGAAAAATGTGGATGTTGATGGCAATGGGTCAGATAAACTGTACAAACCATGACATGCATAGCAAACTAAACATAAGGGGTTTTGATACCAGCTGGTTAAGACTAATATGTTCCAAGATAAGACCACTGACTTCTCATTACAAATTTCAACCTATCCCTGCCCAGCTCTCACTTACTACCAGGTTGGTGCAAAAGTAATTGGGGTTTTTGCAGTTATTGCAAAAACCCCAATTACTTTTGCACCGACTTAATAATTTCTGCCCCAGATCACCTTGTGACAACCCCTACACCTCATGGAACATGAGCAGTACCTTTCCCTGACTCGCCTTTTGAGAATACTGAAACTCTTAAGGTGGTGCTTTCTTTTGCTCAGCAAGTTTAATAAACCCAGTTTTTCTGTGATCAGCAGTTTTCCCTGGTGGTTTTGGTACAGAGCTTTGATACCTCAAAAAAAAAAAAAAAAAAAATCAGTAGAATCAGGCTCTAATTCTAACAAGTTTTAGGAATAAATTATTTAACTGATATTTCTTTTTTAATGTATACACAAGAATAATATATGATTAAAAAATACATATGTAGTAAGTTTAAAAGAACTTTCACCAAAGCATAAAATAAGAAACTGCCAGTAAGAAAGCATTGTGTTATAGTTGATTGGCATAAATTTTTCTTAGTGATACATAAAATAATGATGTATCATACAATCGATAGCATTTTATATTTACTAAAATACAGTAATAATGGCTAGCTAACTTTTTTCTGGACATTAATGATGCGCCATGCACTGTGCTAAATGCTTTACCTGAGCCGACTGATTTAGTTCTCAAAGCATTGTGAGGAGGTAAGTCCTATTGTTACCCTCATTTTGTAGAAGTATAAACTAAGTGTGGAGTGTTGCCTTACATTACACACTAATGAATGGTGGAAGAGTTAGGGTTTGGATCCGGGTATTCTGACTCCGATAGGATAGGAGGAAAGAAATTCCATTTGTGGGACTATTTTCTTAAAACCAGCAGAAAGCATTAATTAGAATGACAGTAATTTGTACAAGGCATGCACTAAATTTTGGAATTGGGCTTTTAAGGGTAATATATTTACCAGTTCTTTGGTGTTCATGGCAGTGAAGTTGTTTCCCTTGGGTATTTAAGAAAAGATGTATTCTGAACCTCAAATATTTGCCAGCTTGTTTCTTCCAAAAGAGAGTCCCTAGGTGTTCAAAGCCATACATCAGGGTTAAAAAACAAGCAACCAAATAAAAACAAACCCAGCACTTGGGTCATCCATTTAAGTCACTGCTTGACAGCTGTTCTGGGAATGGCTGTTGCCACGGGTTACTGCAGGGCACTTAGCATCTCAGCCTTACCCATCACATCCAGCCTGGGCTCCCATCTCTCTGAAGAGATGACCCTTCCTTCCTTCCTTTTCCCACTCCACCCCCACGTTTGTGGTTCATATTAGATTTTTTTTTCCTTTTCAACAGAAACAAAGTAATAAATATGCTAAAAATTCCCTAGATGTTTCATAAGGTATTATCTGCCTTTGATTCCTTTGTTGCCTCCTATTTTTCCTCATAGATCACAGCATCAGCACCACTTCTTCTGTAAGTGTCAACACGCAGTTCCAACCTGTGGCCCTCCACAGGTGGGGTCACAATTGGGCATTGTCAAACAATGAGTGTAGCAATATAAACATCAAACAATTAACATGTTCTTAATTGGATTTTGCAGATAGTAGCCATCACAGTGTATTTCCAGGACTTTCATTGTTCTTGTTTTTCTTTCTAAAATCTTTCTCTCTTATCTAATCAATGCATTTTCATATTCTTTTTGGCCAATAAATTTGACTAAGGTGCACTGATTTTCCTTCTACCACCTGCTTCCCTTTCTTCACACACTGAGAGTTTCAGAAATCCATTAAGACCTCACTTCACCCCCATCTTTATGTTTTAGGAAAGGGGGTGACTAAGGGATAGCATCTCACTTAGGTAGTGTTACTTATTAGAAACATACATGCAAAATACAAGCATTACATATCATCTATAATGCTAGTTGTATTGAACATTTCTGATTGTCAAAATCTTCAAAATCATGAAATGTACTTGTCGCCTATTATACTTTTCAAAAAAGATTATTTGTGGAAAGCATTTTGAGATTCTTGTAAGAAATGTAGCATATTATTATTCCTTTGTTTCAGGTGTTGGATAATGTTTAAGAATTACAGCTTCCGCTGATGCTCTGAGTCAAATCAAATCTTGTCAAATCCACTGTTGGTTTTCTGACATTTATAAAAGGAATTTGTTCCCCATTACACTTCTTTTTCCTTTGCCTTTTCTTTCCATCGCCTGCTCCCCAACCATTACTTTCTAGTCAGCACATGCCCCTTTTCTATGGTTTGCTTATAGATTATTAAGAAAAAAGATGTAAACTCACAGGGAGGATTAAGGTAGGCACAGCTGGTGTCAACAAAAACAGAAAGAGATGAAAGAGTATTGAGCGTGTCTGAATGGACAGCCTGTGGGGCTCTCTTGTGACCCATCCTTGACCTTTACCCTCCCAAACCATGCCCAAGGCAAGTAAACAGCTTTTCAAAAGAGACTACCTTCTGGGACTCTTCATACATTTTCATTTTAATTTCTTTGCAAAATGGGCAAAAATAAATGTGCTTATGAAGAGAAATGCTACTGACAAAAGTTGAATTTGAAATGACATAGAATCACTGTGTTACCTATCACATCAAGGGTTCTAAATTGCTAATCAGTTTATCCCAAATGAAAAGAAAAGGAAATGTCTCCAATGAGTGTTTTAAACTTCCCTGCATCATTTAAAATGGTTACGTGAGCCTTTGAAAATATTGCCTTGAGGCATTATGGTTGACTTAATTTCTTCTTTGTGTTTTAAGGATTATCTGTTATGAGCATGTATTACTTCTATAGTCAAAAAGGAGACTATTTTAACAAAAGTGAAATTATTGCATAAATGTTTTAAATATGAAAATACCACCCAGTGCGTTATTTTTATAAATGACTGAGATAAAGAAAGCAGCTTCTTAAAGTTGAACTATGTAAGAATGTAGATAAACTGTCATATGCCCAAGAATTATTTTCTGATATAAAAGATGGATTAAAGATAGACTTAAATTTTTCTTCACTACATGGTTAGTATTATATCCCAAACTGAATAACTCTTCTTTCGTATATCTCTCAGCCCAAATAGAGAAAAGAAAATTTTCTATCTGTACCTGTGGTTTGCAAGTTAGAAGCGATTTTTGTAATTAGTCATATTCAGCTGCATGAGAAGAAACACAAGACCCCAAAATAATTTGACCTATAAAATCTCAGTCTCTACTTGATAACAACTGGGACTTCTGGAACAGCACAGAACAGAATGACGTGTGGGCAGAAAGCTGTCATCAGCCCTTCATCTCATTTTCAGTGGGTTTTCTTTTTTTTTTGGTCTGACAGTACCACTTTATTTAGGATACCAGTTTATCTTTAATTAAGATAAATATTGGAAATATGGGTAAGATAGTTAAAAATAGTTTTCAAAGTCAACACAGAGATGAGGAAAACAGTCCTACTCTCTGGTTGTGTGAAAATGACTTCAGACAATCATTTTATTTAGTAAATACACATTGAAAGAGAAGATCTACCCAAACAAAACAATATGATTTCAGTTAAAGCAAACTGCTGAAAAATCTAATACAGATATGTGTTGTAAGTGCTAGTTACACGACATCCCAAATATCCAGCTTTTTACAGGCTTGCAAATCAAATTGCTTTATGGTTAGAGGAGCATTTAATACAGTGTGACCAGTTTAAAGTTAACATTTTGTATTCAGAATGATTAATGACACCATGTTGTATTTCAATTACTACAAGATACTTCTCTATAATAAACGATGGCAATAATATTCACATTAAGTCAATAAAAAGCATCTTCAAAGTGTGATGTATAAGTGCCATTTTTATAGTATAAGTTGATCACATCATACAATGAATTATCAACAGTGTAACAGGAAATCTCTACACCAAAGCATATATTTTCATCTCTGTGTACAGGGATTTTGGCAGATCCCTGTGCATTAGTATTAATAGGAGTCAAGTAAAAATCCTCACATGCATTAGCTAGAGAACTCCTCCTTCTTCTCCCAGCCTAACTACACTTCACTTGCTCCAAACTGCATTTTAGCAGGTTCAATATGAAAAACCACCTTATTTCCCAGGGCACCAAAGTCCAGAGGGAAATAAATGTGGCAAGTGACTTAACTATGTTCTGGAAAACCAACGCTTGAGGAAAACAAATGCCAAAGAATATTATTTATTTCCCAAAAGGGTCTGTCTACTTGAGAGAGGGAGTTTGGGCACCTGGAACTTGGAGAAGTTTCTGGATGATAAATCCTCAAGGAATCACTGCTGTTTAAATGGTTCTGAATGGTTCCTGGTTACAGTTGTGAGGATTACAGAAGCGAGGGTGTCAAGGAGATGGTCCAAGGAGCTCAGAAAAGGTGGCACATGGGAAAAAGTAGGGAAGGTGGGTGGTTTCTGCTTCCCCTCTATCTGCTCTCTTGTCCCTCCCAAATGGTTCCAGCTCACTTGGTCATCATGACAGAATGACTGGATGAGAGGCACAATGGAGGATGTGCTGGGAGTGGGAGCCAATGCCGCTGACCTAACAACTCCACAGAGAAGAGCTTCTAATTTGGAACTGCACCCTGCCTAGAGAGTGGCTGCAGGTGGGAGTATCAGATGAAAGATCAGGGCCAATGTCCAGGGACACAGATGTTTGTTGGGAAGGCTGTCCCCTACATCACTGGGTAGTCATGTCTGATTTTACTTCTGTAGTTACGCATAAGTATGATCTACAGACCAAAGGGAGGATAACATGATCTCTTTTTCTTCTTCACTCGTACTGTTTTTTTTTTTTTTTTTAAATAAAAAACTAGTTTTTAAAGATAATATTATCTCTTGCAGATCTCATGATACCACAGGTCCAGGTAATTGCTAGTGATATTGTGGAATCAAAATAACTTTTAAAATAAACTTAGATATACTCCCTAAATTGGTCAATTGGTCATTAGAAGAAAAATGAGTCATTGGTGTGAATGATCAATATCAGAGTAAGGGGCCCAATTTACTCCAATACAAGCCAAACTCATCAAGGGAGTATTCAATAAAACAGCAATATAAGATGAATATAGACTCCAGAATATAGTTAAATTAGATCCATATCAAATTGAAATTTTCTTAGAAATCTAGGTTCCCTGCCAACTGTCCATGGCTTCGCTTATAATTCTCTCTCTCTCTTTTTTAGACAGGGCCTCACTCTATCACCAGGCCAGAGTGAGCTATGCAATCATAGCTCACTGCAACCTCCTGGGCTCAAGGGATCCTCCCACTTTAGCCTCCTGAGTAGCTGAGACTACAGGGAGTTGTCACCATACGCAGCTAATTTTTATTTTGTATTTTATATTTTTAAAACAATTTCAACTTTTATTTTAGATTTGGGGGTACATATGGAGATTTGTTTCCTGGATACATTGTGTAATGCTGAGGTTTAGGGTACAATTGATCCCAACACCCAGGTACTGAGCATGGTACCCAATAGTTCATTTTTCAACCTTTTCTCCCTTTCCTCTCCCCTCTAGTAATCCCCAGTGTTTATTGTTGCCTTCTTTATGTACTCACTGAGCTCCTTGGACCATCTCCTTGACACCCTCGCTTCTGTAATCCTCACAACTGTAACCAGGAACCATTCAGAACCATTTAAACAGTACTCACTCTTTAGCTCCCACTTATAAGTGAGAACATGTGGTATTTGATTTTCTGTTCCTGTGTTAACTTGCTTAGGATTATGGCCTCCAGCTACATCCAAGTTGCTGCAAAGGACATGATTTCATTCTTCTTTATGGCTGCATAGTATTCCATGAATTATATATGTACAACATTTTCTTTAACCAGTCCACCATTGATGGGCACCTAGATTGATCCCACATCTTTGCTACTGTGAATAGTGCTGCAATAAATATAAGAGTACATGTGTCTTTTTGGTAGAACAATTTATTTTCTTTTGGATATATACTCAGCAATGGGATTGCTGGGCCAAATGGTAGTTCTGTTTTAAGTTCTTTGAGAAATCTCCAAACTGCTTTCTACAGTGGCTGAACTAATTTACATTCCCACCAACACTTAAAAGCATTCCCTTTTTTCTGCAGCCTCGCAGCATCTGTTTTTGTTTTTATTTTTTTATTTTTGTAGAGACAGGATCTTACTATGTTGCCCAGGCTGATCTCAAACTCCTGGTTTCAAGCCATCCTCCCACGTCAGCCTCCCAAAGTGGTGGGTTTACAGCCTGCACCTGGCCTGGTGTTTTTTGACATGTTTAGGATAGCCATTCTGACTGGTGTGAAATGATATCTCATTGTGGTTTTGATTTACATTTCTCTGATGATTAGCAATGTTGAGCATTTTTTCATGTTTCTTGGCCACTTGTATGTCTTCTTTTGAGAAATATCTGCTCAAGTCTTTTGCCCATTTTTTAAATGGGGTTCTTGACTTTGTCAATGCATAGTTTGCATATATTTCCTCCCATTCTGTAAGTTGTCTGTTTACTCTGTTAATAGTTTCTTTTGCTGTGCAGAAGCTCTTTAGTTTAATTAGGTCTCACTTGTCAATTTTTATTTTCATTGCAATTACTTTTAAGGACTTTGTCATATATTATTTCCCAAGGCCAATGTCCAGAATGGTGTCTCCTAGGTTTTCTTCTAGGATTCATATAGTTTAAGGTCTTAGATTTAAATCTTTAGCTCATTTTCCGTTCATTTTTGTATATGGTGAAAGGTAGGGGTACAAAAACTTCATTCTTCTGCATATGGCTAGTCAGATATCCCAGCACCATTTATTGAACAGGGGATCTTTTACTCATTGTTTATTTTTGTCAACTTTGTCAAAGATCAGATGGCTATAGGTGTGCAGCTTTATTTCTGGGTTCTCTATTCTCTGCCATTGGTCTATGTGTCTGTTTTTGTACCAATACTATACTGTTTTGGTTACTGTAGCCTTATAGGGTAGTTTGAAGTCAGGTAATGTGGTGTCTCTGGCTTTGTTCTTTTTGCTTAGGATTGTTTTGGCTATTTGGACTCTTTTTTGTTTCCATATGAATTTTAGAATAGTTTTTTTATAATTCTGTGAAAAACGATGCTGGTAGCTTGATAGGAATAGCACTGAATCTGTAGATTGCTTTGGGAAGTATGGCCATTTTAATGATATTGATTCTTCTAATCCATGAGCATGGAATGTTATTCCATTTGTTGTATGATGTCACCTATAATTTCTTCCAGCAGTATTTTGCAGTTCTACTAGTAGAGATCTTTCACCTCTTTAGTTATATATGTACCTAGGCATTGAAACTTTACTGAAGTCATTGATTAGCTCCAGGAGCTTTTTGGTGGAGTATTTAGGGTCTTCTAGGTATAGAATCATATTGTCAATAAAGAGAGGTAGTTCTTCTTTACCTATTTTGATGGCTTTTATTTCTTTCTCTTGCCTGATAGTTCTGGCAAGAACTTCCAGTACTGTGTAGAATAGGAGTGGTGAGAGTGGGCATCCTTGTCTTGTTCCATTTCTCAAGGGAAATCATTCCAGTTTTGGCCTGTTTAGTATGATGTTGGCTCTGGAATTTTCATAGTGGCTGTTATTATTTTGAGGTACGTTACTTCAGTGCCTACTTACTTGAAGGTTTTTATCATGAAAGGATATTGTATTTTATAAAAAGCTTTTTCCACATTTATTGAGACGATCATGTGATTTTTGTTTTGAATTATGTTTATGTGGTGAATCACATTTATTGATTTGTGTATGTTGAACCAAGCTTGTATCCTAGGAATGAAGCCTACCTGATCAAGGTGAATTGACTTTTTGATGCAATGCTGGATTCAGTTTGCTAGTATTTTGTTGAGGATTTTTGCATATGTTCATCTGAGATATTGGCTTGTAGTTTTCTTTTTTCATTGTGTCTTTGCCAAGTTTTGGTATCAGGGTGATGCTGGCTTCATAGAATGAGTTAGGGAGGAGTCCTTCCTCCTTGATTTGTTGGAATAGTTACAGTATAATTGGTACCATCTTTTCTTTGTATGACTGGTAGAATTTGGCTGTGGAGCCATCTGGTCCGGGGCTTTTTTTTTTTTGGTTGGTCGGTTTTTTAATTATTGGTTCAATTTTGGAACTCGATATTGGTCTGCTCAGGGTTTTGATTTCTTCCTGATTCAATCTTAGGAGACTATGTTTCTAGGAATTTACCCATTTTCTCTAGCTGTTTAGCTTGTGTGCACAGAGGTATTCATAATTGTCTTTGTGGATCTTTTGTATTTCTGTGGGATTGGTTGTAATGTCACCTTTGTCATTTGTGATTGTGCTTATTTGGATCGTCTGTCTTTTTTTTTTTTTTGTAATCTAGCTAGTGGTCTATCAATCTTGTTTATCCTTTCAAAGTACAAACTTTTGGTTTCATTGATTCTTGTATGGCCAAATCCTACACCTTCCTATACTTGTGGTTTGCAGGTTATAATCAAGTTATCAGATGGCTGTGAGAAAGCTGTTAACTTCCAGGGGTCTTAGTTTCCTCATTTCATAGTAGAGATGATGCCTGTTGTCCAAGGTTTAATCAAACAGGTATGTGGAGGCCCTCACACAGTGCCTGGCACTTCATAAGTCTTTTCTTAGTCCATAGTCCCTCATTTGTAATTCTAAAATGCCCCAAATTTGAAATAACAAAATTGTTTCATTTGTTTGTAAGTTGGTGTCAAAATTTATTCAGTGGCAAAGCCTGACTTGAACCAATGAGAAGCTATTTAATGGCTCTAACTCCACTTAGCATAATTTGCTGCAGAGATATTAATGCATTAAGACAGATTTAATTAGTGTACTTGAAGTCCCAAAATTCTGAATTCTAAAACATATCTAGGGCAAAGGGGTCCAGAGAAGGGGCTTTAAACCAATGATAATGATGATGATCGTGAAGATGGTAATGAAGATGGTGATAATCCCAAAACCTTTGCCTGTCATTAGCTTGCTCCTTTCTTCTGGTTATGGTACTTAATTCTTGATATTTGGCATCTGTATCTCCCCGTGACCACCCTGTATCGTGACACAGTTTCTGAGAGCCACCTGACACTTTCTCCCAGTTTCCGGTACTGACCTGCCTATACACCCATGATTTTGATTTTGCTCACCCTCTGGTACTCTGGGCTCAACCATTACTGGCTTCTGGGAATGAGAAACTTGACTTTATACTTGTCAAATGAATCAGGACCAACACTTTGTGGTTCAATTTGGCTGGGAGAAACAGTTGGCTGGCTTAGTAAGGATGGAAGGACACTGAGGGTGAGGACAATTTATCTCCTTGTGAAGTAGAATCCATTCACACACTGGCACCTTATTTATTTCTTATTTATTATGATTGTTTGTATATAAAACAGCTCCTTTCAAACAGCAGGCTTTGTGGTATGAATTCCATGGTCAGAAACAGGAATGCTATGGGAGACCTATGGATGTTATCTGGGATGGGTTCCCTCCTCTGAATCCCTCCACAGGTGGGTGGTCTATGGCTCCTTGGTCTCTGCCCCATGAGACGAGGATTCTATCTCCATCCATTGACATATAGCTGTAGCCCAAGGAACCCTTTCCCTCTTTCCAGGTACCTGCCTCAAGCATCTGGGGGAAGACCCCTCCTCTGCACTGAATAAGAGCCTCTATCTAAGATACCATTGGCTTCACTTCAGCTACAACCAAGCCAGCATCAGGGATGCTGTTTTCTCATTCCTTTCTGGGTCCAAGCTCTCATTGTTTAAAAATCACCATCTTCCAAAAGTTGTCAATCTAGGTATCATTTAAGATGTGTACATTTTGGACTGCATCCAAAAGAAGGTAGTTACTGAAGAATGAAAAGGCTTTCTTCTGAGGCAATTTCACTCATAAGGTGGTTCCTTGGCTTGGAACCAAAGAACATCCTCAATTACAAAAATAAAACATATACATGAAATAAGGAGTTTAAGTTTGGCAGTGTGTGATTTGTAACATAAATGACATAGGAAATAGGTATAAACTACAGGGTTTGGTGGCGAACGGAGTGTAGTTCAGGTTGAAGTGTCAAGAAGACATTTCTAAAGGGTGCTAAGTTTGACATAGGCCTTAAAATGTGTGTATGTCTAGATGATGGAGATGAGATGGAGATGAAGTGGAAAAATAATATGAACTGTGACAGTGATGAAATGGTAAATTTCACTATCACTTTAACAGAGTTCTTTAAATCTAAAAACTGAATTATTGCAATCATCAGTTTATTGGAAAGTATATAAGGAGAGGACAAATCCTTATATCCTGCCATAAGCCTTTCGTTGGTAGTGCGGGGAGGATTCCTATCAAGGAGCAGTGTTGGGGGAGGTAGGTCGGGATGGTAACTTAGGGTCTGATAGTAAAAGGCCTTGAATAAGAGGCCAGGGATTTCGGTATTTGTCTTATACACTGGAGACCTAGTGTATGTTTGGGGACAGAAGATACTCTTATAGTTGCTTTACTTTAGTAAGAGAAACTTGAAAGAGGTATAGAGTGAAGTAAAGAGGGAAGAAATTGATTATGAAAAACAGTTTAAAAAGTATGGCACTTGACGTGCATTATCTTGATCATTATAA
This sequence comes from Homo sapiens, assembly GCF_000001405.40. NCBI lineage: Eukaryota > Metazoa > Chordata > Mammalia > Primates > Hominidae > Homo > Homo sapiens. Next base: position 207,207,318 of record NC_000002.12, on the reverse strand, counting down.
CATCCTAGAGGTAGTTACTTATTGTTATCTCTGTTTTTCAGATGAGGCTTGGAAATATTAAGTAATTTGTCCAAGGTCACATAGCTAGCACATATCTGATCCAGAACTTAAACCTAGATTTGTTTGCAGCTAGAGTTGAATTTTTGTCTACTTTCTGGGCTGGGCATGGTGGCTTATGCCTGTGATTTCAGCACTTTGGGAGGCCAAGGCAGGAGGATTTCTTGAGGCCAGGAGTTTGAGACCAGCCTGGCCAACATGGCAAGACCCTATCTCTATAAAAATAATTCTCCTTATATACTTTCTGATAAACTGATGGTTGCAATAATTCCATTTTTAGATTTAAAGAACTCTGTTAGGATGAAAGCAGTGGGAATGGAAATGGAGGTTGGTTGTGAGAGATATTGTCACAGACCTAGTGACTGAGTGTGAGCAAAAAAGCAAGGACAAGTCAAAGATCTGGTTTTGTAACTTCGAGGCTGGACGTCAAAGGAGAATTATGGCAACATCAGTTGAGAAAGAAATTTAGGAGAAAACTCTGTTTCGGAGAGGAGATTATGAATTATTAATGAAGCTACAATCAACACTGGCCTTCAGCTCTTTATCCTTTCTTTCTCCTCTATCTTATCCCCACTATCTCTCCCCTTCATTACCAGCATCTATGAAAGGCAGTAAGATGCTTGTTTTAGCCCTATTCTAAGTCCTGTAAGATAAAATTTATATAATGTACAAGAGGCTAGGGTGAGTGCAGGGCTGAAAAGGGGGAATTAGTATTTAATGATAATCCTTAATTGTATTTCTCCTCAGTCCTTGGGATTCATTGCAATCAGATTTCACTGTAAAAATACTATTACGCTTACTTTGCACCACTATCCTAGTCATGGCATTGGGCCCATGGTGCAGTTACAAGACCAAATCACAGTAGGCATTTAAAATTAATGATCTTTTCGCTGTATGGCAACGATATCAATTGTAAGGCACAGCCTGAATACCATCTTGTGGTTTTTATAAGGGGAAAATTAGTGGCACTTGGATTCATGAAAGGCTTATGGCAGCCCTGGGCCCTGTGGTGGCACTAATATAGCCATCACTGGAATGCCAAGAGGTGGCCTGCTGTGTTAACAACTGTTATTTTGTGCCAAACTCACACAACTGAAAGTTTATGGGCCAATAAAAAAAAGATGCTGCTCTACTCCTTTGGTTATGAGATGCAAGAGCTAGCACTTTGGAAAGCAAGCTACCTTGTTTCCTGCTAACATATGCCTGTCAAAGTGTGCAGTTTCTATGGTGAAAGGCATATCGTAAATATGTTCTTGTTGGCATTTCTTTGTCTAGTTGGTGAGCCTTGCTGGAATATTGTGCTTGGATTTGAGTACTGGGCCAGCCAGGGAAGCTGACTTAGGATGGAGTAGCTTTAACATTTCAGTCAGGATGGTGGTTTGTTTGGGGACAAAGGTGACTTTGAAGGGCAGAATGGAGCAGATCAAAATGCCTGAGCTCTGGGTCAGAAAGACCAGGCTCTGCCACTTAGCAGTTATTTAATTTGGTACAAGTCACATAGCTTGTCTGAGGCTGCACTGCCCTATCAGTACAATGGAGTTAATGCCATTTATTTTGAAGGGTTGTTTAAAAGATCAGAAACAATGTGTACAAGGTGCCTTGAAATTGCAGTAAGAACACATTTATTGAGTTCTTATTATCTTCCAGACCACATGTTAAGCAGCTTACATGCATTATATAATTTGATTCTTATAATTGCCCAGTGAGGTAAGTAGTATTTTTATTCCCTGTTTTACAGATTAAAACACTGAGTGTTGGAGAAGAAATTTGCTAAAGTTATTTCTCCAGTTAGTAAGTGAAGAAGTATGGACTTGAACCCTAATCTGCTGACTCTGAATCCTGTATTACTAAAAAACTAAGTTATAGGTGTTAGTCATGTCTGTGATTTAGGTTCTGCCTTGCACTGTATAATTCTAGTATGATGAGTTTTCAGTATATCTCATCTATAACCTTTTTCATGTATGGTTAGTTGCATTTTTGTCATACTCTAAAATTACAGGTCCATGAGCTCAGATATTTATTATTTATGTAGGCACAGTTATTCAGAAGAGAAAGGAGTTTAATACTTAGAGAAGTGGGAATGGGTATTGTGATTACTCTTTTTTTTTTTACTTTTCAAAACCACAAACTCATTATGTATCTTATGGCAATTACTAGAAGCTCTACATTTGGATTAGCTATCTGGAAAATGGAAAATGCAAATAATGGCCTCATTTAGGAAATGTATCAAGGAATCAATTGAATACAAACAGTCCTGCTAATCTCCCTTGTGGAGCTATTCTGGTGCTAACACAATGATCCTGAGGTGTTGAATGCCATTATACAACCAATGGTAAACAAAACACAAGGCATCTTTAATATTAAGCATACCCCCATCAGAGAGGAAATGTACCCTCCTTTCAGTATGAGTATTCCTGGAATGCGCCATGGTTTTGCACAGTGATTGTCCACTCTCGTTCCTAGTGATTATTTGTAGGAAACATGGGTAACCCTAAGAATTTAGTTTTCTGTGAAAATGCACTCTAATGTTTAAATGTCTGCAGTTCTGAATTAGCAAATCTTAGACTCTAGTGGCTTCTTCAAAGTAGTTAATCAGGTAGCTGCAGTAAAGATGGATTCTGTATTTATAAATGCCTCCCAATATCCAAAGTTCTAGAACATTTTCTTAAAGGAATTCAGGTGTTTTTCTGACTCCTTTTGTGGCACTAGACATTGTCTTTATGCTTCATGGCAACCCTATGGAATAGGCACTATTTTTTTTTTTTTCTCGAGGCAGAGTTGCGGTCTGTCGCCCAGGCTGGAGTGCAATGGCGTCATCTTGGCTCACTGCAACCTCCGCCTCCCGGGTTCAAGCAATTCACCTGCCTCAGCCTTCCAAGTATTCCAGGGATTACAGGCGACTGCCACCATGCCCACCTAATTTTTGGCGCTATTTTTATCCCCATGTTATAGATGAGAAAATGTTCAGAAAAAGTAAGATCACTCAGCATGCACTAAAACTAGAATTCAAACTTCGTCTTATAATTTCAAAGCACAAGCTATAGAGTTCTACAACCTCTCTTAAAGGCCTTCATTTTTTCAGCCTCAGCCAAGTACTAACTCTACTATCAGGCAGTGCGATACTTCCTGGGAGACAGGGTGCAATGATTATTGAGCAAAGCATTAAGATTGAGTTGGGGCTCTGGGGCCTCTCTGGGTTTAAATCCTGATTCTGCTATAGAGCTGTGTAATCTAGGGCAGATGACTTAATCTGTGTATCATTCTTATGAGAAAATATTTAATATGGTTGGTGTAGAGATTAAATGGCTTAAAACTTAAATCACACAAAGGAATGTAGGACATCTTCCAAAAAAGTAGGTATATAGTAGGTACTCAAGAAGTATTTATAAATGATCAAATTAATGAATGCATATGAAAATTACAAGAGATTATAATCTAGTTCTTGGGACCAAGTAAGATTTAGATTTTGTTAGCTAAGTCCTCCTTTAATCAGCATCATTTGGCATCAAAATGCAAAGACTAAGAGCATCATGTAATTTAGGATCTAGGAGGCATCTGTAATATCCTCTCTTCTACCTCACTGTGAGTGAAGAGAGTGAGATTCCTAGAGGTTAGGTGACATTGTGTGAAGTAACTCAGTGAGCTGACAAACAATATTAGGGTTTAGCTCACTTTACTTCTCAAAGACTTTATAAGCTTGGATGGAACTATCACAGGGGTGATTTGAACTCAGTAATTTTTTTTATAAAACTGTCTTTTTATACTTTTCCATGGAAGGAGGGAAACAGTGGAAAAGGAAGGAACATTTCCTTTTGGAAGCTGTGAGTTCATGTGAAATGTAATCTCCATAATGTTTGTGATATAAAACTGCATTTCAGCTCTGGTTCCTGGCTTTGGACATGGGTTGGGATCCAAACTCTGTCATTGGTAAGCTATGTGAAGTTGGGCAAGCCATTTAACCTCTCTGAGCCTAAGCATATCTCACTCATGAGATTAATAATCATACAGGCTCAAAGAGTGGTCATGAGGAGGATTAACTGAGATGGTGTAATCCAAGCACTTATCACGGGACCTGTCACAGAGTAAACTCTAAATAGGTAGTAGCTGTTATTGTGGACCATGTTAATCTTTTCTGTGGAATGTCTCACTTAATTTTCTATTTTTGTTTGTGAGGTTGCCCTACTTTACATAGTTTCCAGCTTTGTTAAATACTCTCTCAAATTGCTCACTAGCCCTTATCTGGTTCTATATCAGATCTAGACCTTCTGACCTGTTTTTCAAAACCTTCATTATAAAGCTTCACTTTGTGTCTCCTACTCTTTCCCTCAGGACTCCTCTCAAAGTGCACTTTTCCATCCAGTCTACCTCTGCTCTGTCCGTGGTCCTGACTTCTTGGGTTCACATTATCGGGTCTCTGTCTTTTAGCCTATCCAAATCTTCCTTATGCCTTAATGCCTTTCAAGGCATAGCTGAAGTTTGAGCTCTTTCAAGAAATCTTCTCTGATTATCCCGGTCCTTACTGAGTTACTATTCTGAGGTTCTGAATGTGCTTTAAAACCTGTTGGGATGGTGCCTGATTTGCACTGCAACGGGGGCTTATCAACTGTGACTGAAAGTGAATTGCTATGAAACTATCAATGCAATGTTATATGTGGGGAGTGCATCTAATCAAGAATGCATGAAATATATAATTCTAATACCAACATATTATATTGGTATGATGACGCATGAGTAAATTATATAGAGTAATTATAAATATATGCATTAATTTCTAAAAAATAGACACAGATGAATACCTGACATCAATTTGCTAAAAGGAGACCAATGTATTTAAAAAGATACCTTTTTCTTACCAATATATTTATGCAAGTGTGCAAAAATGCACAAAGATGTTATGGTAGCATATTTAAGATATCAAAATATTGAAAACACTCTAAGTATATATCAATAAGACTTGAAGTTATGGTATATCCATACACAAAATACCATGTAGTTATTGAAAAGAACAAAATGGATCTATATGTATTGATGAGGAAAGATGCCCTTGATGCATTATGTGTAAGAAGTAAGCTGCAGAGTAGGTTATGTGACTTAATTTTGTAAAATAAACATGTATTTCAAATATATTTTATGTTCCTCTATGGATAGAAAACAGCTAGATACATGCTAAATTGTTGAAAGTGCTTATCTCTGAGGAGTTAAATATTGAAGATGGATTGGGTAATTAGAATAATCATTATTATGTCTTTTGAATATCTATACAATAAATAAAATCTCTTCTGTATCATAATTTTAGACCAAAGCAAACAATTATAATATGTATTTAAAACTTTAAACAAGACCTTGTGCTTGCTTTCCCACACTCTTAAGATTTGGAAAAAAAAAGTAAAATGTATAACTGAAAGAACTGCTTTTTTCCCAGTGTAAATTTTCTCTCAGCAATAAATGTAATTCATAGGCCTTCCTTTGACCTTAGAGCTGCATTTGACATTATTCTTCTCAAAACCAATAGTCAATATCCCCAAATTTCAGAGATCCAGTAAGGACATTATGGGAGATGATATTTTAAAAATATGTCACATCTTACATGGCTTTTGCACTGACCAGTCCGGATGGATGCTGGTTGGTATGCTGGACTGGGGCACCCTGGCAGAATATCAACTCTGGCCTTGGCTTTGTGAATTGGCAGAAGGCACGCTCTTAAATCTGTTCTTCACTTTTGTTGTCTTTTGCTTGATTTCTCTCTTTTCCTATCTCTCTTTTCCTACCCAACCCTAAAGGGGACATTATGAAGACAATTCACATGGCAGGACAGAAGAGATAGTCATTATCTATGTGCTTTGTTCAAGAAGATAGAAGGTGTGATAGGGAGTTAGGATGGTGCAGTAGAAAGAGAATGGGCTTTGGAGCAGACAGATCTGGGTTTGAGGCCTGGCTGGGTCATTTCCTGGTTGTATTACCTAGGCAAGACAAGTAAATCTCTCTGAGCTTCTATTTCTTCAAGTATAAAATGATGCTAATCTCTATCTCTTGTGGCAGTTGTTAAGATAAAATGAGGTCACTTGTCAAGTGTCTGGGGCATAAGTATTTGCAAATGTTAATAATCACCTATCTCTCTCCTACTTCCCAATTTTTCTTTCTAGATGCCCTTGACTTATTCTAGAATGTAAGATTCAAGCCTTTTCAGCATCTGCTGATGAATGCACTCTTTCCTCTCCTTGTACTGTCTGAGTTATTGCCCATTGCCAAGTCATGTACCCATTGTGTCACTGAATTAAAACAATGATGTGTGAAGACTAGGTGTTATTAGACATCTTTAAATGCACAATCATCAAGTAACACAGAACACAGAGCTCACCAACCTAGCAATTTAGCCCATAATTACATGGGAGTTCACGTGGGTCAGTTTCACCTTTTTTTTAACTCTATTAGAAACTCCTTAAGGGCAGAAGCCAATTATTCTCTGACAAATACAACAATCCATTGTACAATTATGAGTATATTCACCAGATACTTATTGACTGATTGACTGGTTCATGGGTGGCAGAGCCTCTTTATTGTGGACAAAGGAGCTTTCAAACTGGTCAACAGAGCTTGATAAGGAATAAAGTCCAAATCTCGCTGTGGGAGCTGGATTACACTTCATAAACAAATGCATCTGCACCAACATCATTGCAGATTGAATAAAATATTTTATCTGTAGGTATTCTTCATTTTCTCATTGGCTTTTTAGTGGCTCATTTGTGTAATGGAGATGCTGTGAGGCAAGCTTCTATAGCCTGAGAGCACAGGCAAACATCCCTGAGCTCAGGAAAGTACCCGGACAGGCCAGAAAGCAGGAGGGAAAGCCTTGGTGAAGGCAATTGAGAAACCTCCCGGCGAGACATTGTCTGCGGATCACTGGCCTGATATCACATAAAGGCCCCATCTGAGCCATTACAGCCTATTGTGTCAATGTGTTTTCTGGGAGGCTGTCATCCATAGATCACAGTTGGCAGTGAAGGTAATGCCTCCACGGGAACTGTTACTATTTCCCATCGGTGAATTCTATTAGAGGTCCGTGGGTTACTGCCACTGGAGTTCATATTAACTCGGTCAAAGGGATGGTGATTGATTCTGTGGAATTTTGTGAATACACACAAAATACATTTCATACTGTCATCTGAGTTTTGTATTGCGCTTCCATGATCCCTGCTACATGGTAAATCCAATGTAATCTACTCGAATTGTTACAGAGAAAAAAAAAAAATTTCCCATGCCATTTTAAGGCTAAAATACCTGCCCATTTCCTTTCTTCTCCAGTCACAAAAGATTTAGACCTAACTATAAAACATTGACCTCTCTTCTGACTTAACAACTCAGTCTGATGGGAAGGGCATTTATTGAATTTCCACTGTGTATAAAGAAACAGCAGTGGGACCTACAGGACGATACCAAAAACTTAATACATTAGGTTTGTACCTCCAGGTTTATAATATAGTTAGACAGAAGACACTCATAAAAATGATTAAAGAATATAATTATAAAACAACAGGAAGTACCAAATTAATACACAGGTGTGCCACTTAGTGCAATAGCTGTGTTCTTGAAAAGATGAGTGAGGGCTGAATCTTGTGAAGCACTGAAAAAATTAGCTATTTATAAAGTAAATAGTGATTTCTTGTATAGTCTAATTTGTTGATATTAAAGATTCTAAATTTTGTGAACATTCTTTCCCTTTAAGTGGGTTAGATACTTTGGGCTACTGGAAAAACAACAAGTTTAGTGGTAACCGTAGAAAGTTTTCTAGATTAATTGAATTTTGGATGAGATGCTGAAAGTGAAAGGAATTGGTAGTGATTTCAGCGAGGACCAATCTTCCCACAAGCTCATAGAATCAGGTCTCCATTTTCTTCCCGAAAGGGTGCTGCTCAACATAGACAGAGCTGATGCAAAGACATTTATGTGATTTGCAGGTGGAGTTTTGTCACTGGTATGTGAGTCCTTTATTTTACATGCCTTTCTGAACTGCATTCTGACATAGCCTGCATTCTACAGCTGTATAGCCTGAGACTTTTTGTGTACAGATAGATGCTTGGTGGTCCTCTGATACTGTGTCTGAACTCCTGGAGGAGAAGCAGGTACTCTCAGGGCATCCAGGGTTACTGTGGCCAGTGGCACATGAGTGGAAGAGCCCGAGGGTCTTGTTCATTGTGGCAATTCTTTTGTCCCTGTGACTCCTCTCTGAATGTCTTCAAAATGGCAGATAATGCTGGGACGTTTACTAGACTGAGGTCTCCATTCTGAAGATGGTGTAATAATCTAGACGGACAAATTTCTGTCTAATTCCTTCCTAAAATCCCTTAAGATGTCCCTTGAATTTATAGCTCCTTTTAGTTCCCATAGTTCCCTGCTTGTTTGAGTTCTCTTTGTCAGATAAATTGATTAATAGATGATAGATGGATGGATGGATAGCTAGCTAGCTAGAGATATCAGCAGCCTCTCAGATGATTGTTCTAATTTTCATCTCTCTTTGGTCCAATCCATTCTAAAACCAGCAGATAATTCGACTGTGTGCAAACCAGCAGATAATTCAACTGTGGGAAACCTATTGTTTCAAATAGGTAATTCAGGTAAAAATTTTTCACTCTAAGACCAGGTCCCTCACAAACTCCCTCTCACTGCAACCGAACCCCTCTTTCAATCTCTTTTATCACCAGCATTTCTCCTTCCTTTGTACTCTCTGCTATCTCCTAAGAAAAAGCCATTCATTCTGCTTCTGTGGTTTTCTATGAGATACCCCAATGCTCAAAAGGCCCACTCAACAAAGAGCTCCAGGGACTCATCCAAGCCACATCCTGCAAAGCATAGCTTCAAATTTATCTTTTCTAGGATATGTTCCTTAATGCATCATTCTTTCTTTCTTCACATTTTAATGTGACCCTTACAGTGTATTCTTTTGTCAGTATAGAACTTGTTCATCTAATCATACATAAAGTGTTTTACATCTGGGTTTTGTTCTTCAATTATATTGCAAGGTCTTAGTAACAGGGGCCATTTTTCTATTTCTTTTACCTGTTCCTGTCCCTACTCCACCCCTGACAGCAACCAGAATACAGTATTGTTATTGAACCTGAAAGTAGTTACAGGCAACCACCAACTAATCATGAATATTTTCTAAAATATTTTAAGTTGACATTTTAGATTTGGAACTGTTTCCTTAGGAACAAAATTTAAAATGGTGCTTAAGCTCCTTGTCAAGCCTTCAAATGTCTATTTGCTTATACTATAGCATTAGTCCCATTAAGTTAATATTATTGTTGTATCATTCCTAATAATGCTGTAAGTAGCTTATTCATTCAAATTTTATGTATTATGGACTTTTCCTGAGCCAACACAGGGTGTATGGTGGTGAAATATGGACCCTCTTTAGGAAATACGTGCTGTAGAGGTAAATTACAGCAAGCAGGGATAGGAAGTAACGCGATGATCACAGAAGGCTTCCGTGAGGAGGTGACATTTATACTGACTTTAAAATATGGGAAAGAATCATTTGGGCAGAGTGGAAGAGCACCAGACAGAAGGAACCAAGTGTGAAAAAGTCCTAAGATAGAAAATAACTTGCTATGCTCAAGAGCCTAGAAGGCTAGTGTGGCGTAAACATGAAAGTAAAGAGAGATGGTGGCAAGAACTAAGATTTGAGGAGGCAAATACCAGGTCACACAGGACTTTGGCCTCTGAGAGGAGTCCAGATTTAATTTAAAGGTGATGGGAAGCCATTGAGACTTTTTTTTTTTTTTTTTTGAGATGGAGTCTTGCTCTGTTACTACAGGCATGCACCACCACACCGGGCTAATTTTTGTATTTTTATTAGAGATGGGGTTTCACCATGTTGGCCAGGATGGTCTCGATCTCTTGACCTTGTGATTCACCCACCTCGGCCTCCCAAAGTGCTGGGATTACAGGTGTGAGCCACCATGCTGGGCCACCATTGAGACTTTTAAGTACAGTTGTAGTTTTTTAGATCATAAATTGAATATTATTGAAAGAACTAGCTGGACATGTAGACAAGTTGTTTCCATGGGACAGTAGTTTCCACAGAGTGGCAAGGAGAGATTATAGAGAATTGAAGAATGTTTGTGCAAAAGTCCCAGACATGGCAAGAATGGAGCCCAATATCCAAACCCCCGTTGTGGGAAGCCAGGTTGGCCAAATGATTGGATATTGGTTCTGCAGGGCTGAGAAGGAATAGAAGATAGCTGTCTCAGGTAAGACTGAAAGCTGAGAACCTGAGCAGAGAAACAATTTCAGCTAGAAAGTTGCAGGGAAAGCTGAGGTTCCAGCCCCAGAAAGACTAAATCTCAACAAGTTCTGAAGTCAGAGGGCCAGGGTCACGTGGCTGAGAGTTGAGAGTGGGACAAGAATAGGTCAGCAATGAAGAGCCCCTGGGAGCTCCCGGCTTCCTTTGGTGGTGGTGGGGTAGGGGTGGATTGGCAGGTATGTGGTGTGGGAGAACCTACCTGCTGCCTCCTGAGAGCAGTGGCAGGGAATCCAGTGACAAGAGGCTTCCTCTCACTTTCTCAGCCTCAAAGAACTAGAATGCTCCATTGACATAGGCAACCCTGAAGTCCACAGCAAGTGATAATTTATAATAGCGATTATTAGAGTATCTACTTGATAAAGGAGCTTAGCTCTATGAGCGTAAGGGCCAGATCTGTCTGGTCCACCACTATATTCCCAGAGTCTAGCAGGCTGCCTTGCACCCAGCTTCCAATCAATACATGCTGCTAATTGAATAAGGTTGTTGAGAAATTTAAATGAAATAATATAAGGAAAGGGCTTAGCTAAAATTGAATCCCACATATTGAAAGGCTGGCTTAAGGATACTAACAAATTAGTAAACAGATCTAATTTGAAACCCTACATACATATCTCAATAAGTGGCAACATTTTAGCTATAGTGTGATAAATGTATTCCTGGGGGAAAAAAAACCCCAAAACATTGTGTTCTGCAAAAGCCTATGCCAAAAATAACAGTGCTTTTGGGAAAAATAAGATTGAGACAGACTAATTAACACTGAGGCAACACTGCAAATACAGCATCAATAAAAACAATATTTTAATTAAATTCTAGTAGTTTAGAAATCAAAGTCATATTAATTTCTTACTAAATATATACTGTAGTACATAGAAAACTTAAAATGAAGGTAGCTTGATTAAAGGAATGTTTAAAAAATAACAGATTGTGTCTGCAGATTATTGAGACAAGGCCAAAATGCACAAAGATTGGGGGGAAACTGTAAATAATCACTTCTAAGACAGAACAGAATGAATAGGACAATACTGTATTCCCCTGTGGTTTGCTGCATTGAGCTGGGCTAATGTACTTTGCATCCAGCAGCCATTACTACAAGACACCAAACACTAATGTGCTGGCAAAAAAAACTGTGGGAACCAGTGTGTCATTTATGTTCTATTAACATCTTCCTCTTGTTTACCAATCATAGATGAGCTATTTCACATTTTAGAAACATGTTTAGAAGGCTGGGCACGGTGGCTCACGCCTGTAATCCCAGCACTTTGGGAGGCCTAGGCGGGTGGATCACCTAAGGTCAGGAGTTCGAGATTAGCCTGGCCAACATGGCGAAACCCTGTCTCTACTAAAAATACAAAAATTAGCTGGGTGTGGTGGCATGCACCTATAATCCCAGCTACTCAGGAGGCTGAGGCAGGAGAATGGCTTGAACCTGGGAGAGGGAGTCGGAGGCGGAGGTTGCAGTGAGCCAAAATTGCACCACTGCACTCCAGCATGGGCAATAAGAGCGAGACTCAGTCTCAAAAAAAAAAAAAAAAAATCCCAGGAGACTGGATTTACAAATTTTGAATAAAGAAGGTCTACAAATTATCCCTCTTTAATATTCAGAGGGTTTACACTGAAGCAGGCTCATACCTCTGAAGTATTTTTTAAAATTTTGAGTTGGTGTGTCCAAACATTTAAACATTCAGAAATGTTATTATGTGCTGCTCCTTATTCCTATGTGGCAGTAATTCAGTGACCTGGTAGTGGTTGTTTGCCTCCCATTCACATGGTCACTCTATTCATTTATGTTACTTGCATGGTCCTGGAGGTATCAGGATTGGCAAGACTGGTTATACTTTTCATTCTCCAGGGCTGGGCTCACATGTATATGTATTTTAAGTTGGTTGTTTGTAACTTAGGGAATGCCTGCATTTTATTTATATCCACTATTCTTTTGTGGCCTTCTTATTACCCCAAAATGCATAATCTTTAATTTAAAAGTGACCCAGATCCATACTAAACAGGTCACAGGTAAGTGAGATAAATGAATCCCAGGAATAGAAAAAGAAATAATGAGTTTTATGGGCAAATCAAACATTCCCTTCCTAATTATCACAGTTAGATGCTTAAGGAAGATCTGTTGATCACCTTTGGGTAGTGAGTATTTTAGTGCATTATTTTAAATTTAATTTTATGTGATTGCTGTGGTTCTCGTGGAAGAACAAGTGTATATAACATCAATGTAATTTTATTAGCTGCCTCCTACATAATTGTTTTAAAATAAGTTAATTCTTTATTGCTATACCTTGAGGTTTTATTATCATTAACATAAACAGGATATAAAACCTTTAATTTTTTATGTCACAGCTACCTAATTATTATTTTTACTATCAATCTTGTTATTGAGATAAAATCAGTACACATTTACATATTTGGCTTTTATTCCTCAAACAAGATGATGGATACCTCTCTGTATTAATCTAGAAAATAAAGCTGGTACTAGGCTACTCCCTGATGTAATCTTATGTCTAAAAAGTTTTGCTTTGGAATTTGGCATTTCTTCACATCTAATTTCCATAGTATGTAACCCCCTCAACCCATCCCCAGGAGAGTGAATAATTAAGAGCTCTGCTTCCGTGTTTGACCATGGAGGGGTTTGTATGATGTTTCAGAACAGAATATAAACCCTCATAGAGTATATATTCCTTAAGTTGAATTTGATGGATGTGTGTTCACTGCATCAGACTCACCCTGTCTTGTTCCAACAATGATTGACAGCCTCGATTGAAGACCAGTAAGTTAAAGGCAGATTGTTCAAAGAATGGCCACCATTCTCTATGAGGATGATAATGTTCTATAGAAGATATAAAATCCACAACCTTAGTTATGAATTTGTCAAACAAAGAGTGGAAATGGATAGATTATAAAAATATAAATGAATGAAATAGTAATGTAATAGGTGATTTTCTCCTTACGATTTGATTTTGTTAAAAGGTTATTGACAAGAATCATGAGCAATCATCTAGCATGAGGTAAGTTATTGAATTATAACTGAATTTTAAAAGTCATTGTTAATTTAATTTCCTACTGGACCTGGAAGCTCAACTTACTGTTCCTTTCAGCATTACTGCTAATTAGCTGTGTTTTCAAAGTCAGAAAAATTCAATGCATTTTTTCCCTATTCCCTGTATCACTCAAATGTTACGTAGATACTTTTTTAAAACAATAGATTTTAATCGTTGATTCTGTAGTCAGTCAAAGACCTTAAGATTTTCCACATCATTGTCTTTCTGACATCATCCCTAGTGTATTTCTATGGAAAAGGAAGTGTAATAGAAGATCAACTGTATTTCCCAGAAAAGAATATCTTTCACCTTCTAAGCGTCATCTACTGCTACATCTATTGCTGTTGCTGTCTCAAACTATTCTTTACAAATGTTTCTTTTCTTAGCTTTTATCTCTTGGTTCGTTAAGTAAATACAAAACTACTTTGCACAAATTTAAATTCTCCCAAATAGACACTTATTTTACATTTTAAAGCTCTCCATTGTAAAGATTTCTAACAAGGATTTCTATTTTCACCTTTGGTAAAGATGGAATATTCATGATTATGAGAAAAGTTATTGAATAGATACGTAAATTTTCTCTATTACCTGCAAACGTATTTTAAAATCACTTTTTAGGAATTTCCACTTAGGAAGGAAGTCTGTGAGTGTGCATGATATGCTGCTTGCTACTTCGAGCCTTCGTGGCTCCACAGACACAGCAGATATTGTCAGCGACAGTGAAGGAACAATAATAAGTCCACAGTCCTCCTTTCCCTCTTTGGAAAGAGCACTAGATTGGGAGTTAGGAGAGCTCTCCTGACCTTTACAATATAAATATATAGTCCTCCATCTCTTATCCAAATAGTGTGAGACCACTTAAGAATACTAAAACAATAATAAAGCCATAAAAAGAAGTCATAAGCCAGGACAAATGAAATGAGAACCAGAAATGTGCCAAGCCCAGGATCAACACAGTGGCTGTTGTTGAGCTTCAAGTAAGAATTACAAGGCTTATATTACTTTGGATATATACCCAGTAATAGGATTGCTGGGTGGAATGATATTTCTGTCTTTAGGTCTTTGAGGAATCACCACACCGTCTTCCACAATATTTGAACTAATTTACACTCCCACCAACAATGTATAAGCGTTCCTTTTTCTCTACAACCTCACCAGCATCTGTTATTTTTTAACTTTTTAATAATAGCCATTCTGACTGGTGTGAGATGATATCTCATTGTGGTTTTGATTTTCATTTCTCTAATGATCAGTGATGAGCTTTTTTGCATATGCGTGTTGGCTGCATATATGTCTTCTTTTGAGAAGTGTCTGTTCATGTCCTTTGCCACTTAGACACATGCATGCATATGTTCACTGCAGCACTATTCACAATAGCAAAGACATGGAGTCAACCCAAATGCCCATCAATGATAGACTGGATAAAGAAAATGTGAAATATATATACCATAGAATACTATGCAGCCATAAAAAATGAAATCATGTCCTTTTCAGGAACATAAATGGAGCTGGAGCCCATTACCCTTAGAAATTAATGCAGGAACAGAAAACCAAATACCACATGTTCTCACTTATAAGGGGGAGCTAAATGAAGAGAAGACATAGACACACATAGAGGGGAACAACAAACACTGAGGCTTGTTGGAGGGTGGAGGGTGGGAGGAGGAAGACAATCAGGAAAAATAACTAATGAATACTAGGCTTAATACCTGGGTGATGAAATAATCTGTACAACAACCCCCATGACACATGCTTACCTATGTAACAAACCTGCATATCCTGCACATGTACCCCTGAACTTAAAATAAAAGTTAAAAAAAAAAGCACAAGGTCAAGTCCAGTCTCTGTCCCTAACATGTTGGTGAATTTGAGTAAGACACTTCATTTCTCTGGGCTGTGATGTCTTCAGCTGGAAAGTTCAGGGACTGAATCACTAGATGATTTCTGAAATATCATCCAGCTTTAAAATCTCAAGTTCCTGTGACTTGGGACTTTTATAATTTATTCAGCTAAATATAAACATTGGTTTTAGGGCTGAGGTAGTGTCTTGAAAGTCTAACCAGTTATCTTGCAGATGGGGGTACCTTTGATCATGAAATAGACAGTGCAGGAGAGGTGGGGATGTGTAACCTGTCTCTACTTGACGGGAGTGTGGGAGGGACATCAAAGCTGGCCACATTTTCATTTCCATAGGGACAACATATGCAGTTAACCCCCAGAGAACTATATCTTCTGTTTTGCTCTGATCTACAAAGTCTTTCAACATTGCAGGCAAACAACTTTTCAGATTTATTTATTCATTCCTTTAGATGTAAATATCTGACTTTTTTTAAAAGGAAAATTACTTTATAGTTTTTGTACTCTCAACTGTCTCTCTCTATATATATATATTTACATGGCTAAGATACTTTGAATATGGAAGAGTAAAGGCAGGAAGTAAAAACAAAGCAAGCAAACAAAAACCACACTGTATCCCACAACCCAGACATAATCATTGACTGCCCAGAAAAAGCTGCTTTAAGAGAGATTAGATAACTAGAAATGTTTTTATTATACTAGGTAATGTCACACTGCTTTAAACAATAAGAGTGGATTTTAATTTAACTCAAACTTAATACAAAGAAAAATAAGTTGAAATAAAACAAAAGAAATTGCCTGGCTTAAAATAAGTGCTTGATTCCACGTATCTGTTGCCGGGAGAAGACGCTTGCCTTAATTTATCCTACATATTTGTCTTCACTTACAGTGACAAAGAGACTAAAATCTTTAATGTGCTCAGCTAATTCTCATCACCCTATTGTTTTCTTCCATTGTGATGTTTAATTGCAACATATGACCATACCTTAGAGTATAATTCCAGGTAAACTTGAGTATTTGGACCAATGATACCATGGCCATAGGGACTGCCAACAGAAAAGAAAAAAAGACCATATGTTTCTGCTTCATGTATGATCCACAGGGAGTTTCTAAAGAGATGATATTGTGGCCCTGAGTATAAGCAGTGCATGGCACATGCTCCTTTGCACACACAAGATTACTTACTTTTTAAAGCTGGAGAGGCAGGATGATCAAATACATGTGTTTGAGGAAGCCCAAGGATCTGCCTCCATTCCCACACCCTTTTTAATAATTCAGTGATTTCCAAAGCAGAATGATAACACAAGATAATCCACGAGAGGAAAATGAATTTTAAACTCATCCTTACAAAGTCACTATTTTTGGTGTATGCTTTTTAATGTCCATGCTGCATTATACAGTAGTACAAGTATACCATTTACAAAGAAATGAGTAAAGATGTACTTTGAGGGTGTGTGCATAAGATGTTCTTAGAGGGAAGAGTGCCCAGGCAAGACTGAGAACCCCTGCATTAAATGGTGATGCAGAGCCTGACGGGATTTTTCTCTGTGCCTTTGCCTTTCCGTTTGTAAACTGAAGCTCCTGTCCCCTCTCTTTCTGTTGCCTCCCTTCCAGGGAAGTTAGGAGATCCAGAGAAAACAGTGTTGCCCTAAAGAGCAAAAATTCCATAAACATTATGCATTAATTAGGATAATGTAATTCAGATTTTAAAAATGATTTTTTAGCACTTATTTTACTTCCTATGTTAATGGTCTCCATCTCCTTTGTTTAATTCATGTTTGTGGGCATACTCCCAAATATATATTCTAAATTAAATTAAGAAGCCAAAAAAAAAAAACCGTCTAAGAGGGGGCTTTTCACTACACACCTGACAGATTCATTTTAAATCCTCGTGTCTTAATATATGGCTGAAGGGACATAACATAAATGGGCTCTGAATTTCTCCCATGTAGCTCATTTACAAGAGTACCTTGGCTTGCTAAGAATTTGCCTCTTGTGGCCATTAGAACACTTATTAGAATATTTATTAGTTATTAACACAGAAAGTGTGTTTGCATGTGTGTGCATGCACTGAAAGGAATGAAGCTCTCTAGCTACTTATTGTTGGGGCTAATTTAGATTGCAACATGTTGCACCTGGATTAAAAAAGTAGCTAAATCCAAGAACGGATTTAGATGAGACTCAGGGGTAGAGGGCTGATCGGCTGACAAGGGCAGAAGTGGAGGGAGTCACATTGCCCGATGTACCTTGGGTTCCTGAGACTTAGAGATCCAATCATGTCATAAATCCAGGCAGCAGAGCTCTTTCTGCCTTACATTGCAGCTGCATTACTCTGCTGGGGCTGGCATAAGAAAGTACCACAGACTGGGTGGCTTCAACAACAGAATTGTATTAGTCTGAGTTCCAGGTGTTGGTGGGGTTGTTTTTTTCTGAGCCTTCTCTCTTTCTTGTAGATGGTCACCTTCTCCCTGTTTCTTCACATGATCTTCCCTCTGTGTGTGTGTATCCTAATCTCTTATTAGGACACCAGTCACGTTGAATTAGGGCCCACCCTAATAACCTCATTTTAACTTAGTTACCTCTTTTAAAACTCTATCCCCAAATATAGTCACATTCTGAGGCATTAGGGGGTTAGGACTTCGACATACAAATTTTGTTGTGGGGGGACATGAGTACAATTCAAGCCATAAATAGGGCATTCCCCAAGGTGATGAATGCACAGCCATCCTAACAGCATTTCAGCTAAGCGTCAGATAAATTCACATGGGACAGTAGCTTCCTTTGGCCTCGACTATCTTTGTACACTATTGTGAAATGCTTTATTGTGTAGCTGTTAAATAACATTTGTTGCTTTCCATGACAGAGGTGGCTATATTCCAGAAATGAATGAAGTGTTTCCTGTGCCTTTTCAGTAATGAAGGAAGGAGAGGGAAGAAAATTGGTGATACTAGTATTGTCAATTACCATTATAAGATATTCAGGAGTGCAAGTTTTAATCCCATTTGTAGGTCTCATTTACATGGAAAAAATTTGATTTATATAGTAACATAAATTTAGTTTATTTTCCTCCCGATTCAATCCCACCTGAAGGGACTTGAACTTGAACCCTTCAGCATATAGAGAAGAGGGTCAAAATACAATTGGTTTGCTAAGCTGTCACACAGATTCCCTTGCTAACATTTGCAGTATTTTTCTTGGCTGACCAAGCACTTTTCTTCCTGGAAAGTAAATAGAAAACAGCTGTCTATGAAATGGGTCAGAGCAAATATATTTGGTCAGGTGCTGGATAAATAGCTCACAGACTGACTAAAATAGTCCTAAACAAAACAAAACAAATCTCTAAGCCACACAGACCCAACCTGAAGGCTTTCAAAGGCAAAAAACAAACAAAACAAAAAATCTAATGTATTTGTGACTCATTCATATTTCTATTAAATGTGTGTTTCCTAAAGCTTTATTTTCACAATTAGAGCTCACCAAAGCACCAATCAACCAACCCAAAACTCTAAGCCTGGAAGAATTCTTATAAACTATGCTATTCCCTGGTGCCCTAAACCCCATGGTGGTCTAGAGACTCTGGAACCTTCAAAATCTCAGAGGACATAATTGAATGATTACTGCCTCAACAGACAGGAGGAAAGTATGACAGGTTGATAACCAAGTCTGATATTTCAGATAATAATCAGTATTCTTTTAATGACCAGAAAAGATTTGGAGGAAATATATGGAAAGAATGTATAGAGAAACAAAACATTCAACTTGCAAAAGAAGAAAAACAAAAAACAAAATCTATCACCTCCACCAAAAATGAAATAATTCTCCATTTGTGTTTCAAAGACAATGAGACATTTAATCCAGTAGATATCAACTTTTAAGGACCTTTGTTTTTTTCCCCCATTTTATTTTAATTGTATCGGTCCCTTAGCAAAACCCACTATCATTATAGATGACAACTGGGATCATAGAATTCTAGAGTTCAGTGGGAACTTGGAGATTTTCCTTCCTTCCATGATATTGCTGTATATTGGCTTTCCCTCCACCCCTACATAGTTCTTAGTCTTCTGGGCAGGCTCTTCTTTCCCTATCCATCCTTAGATATTGATAATTCAGTCCTTCATGTTCTCACTCTTCCCAGGTGATCTTACTCACTCCCATGGCTTCAGCTGCTATCCTTGTGCTGATGAATCCTCATGTTACCAAGCACAAGGGGCTCACTGCATGATACACTAGAAGCCAAAATTATGGTACCAGATTTGTGAGAAAAGAAAAGTTTTTACCACAGGTCAACCAATAAGGAGATAGGAGTCCAGCCTCAAATCTGTCTTCTTGTGCTGGTTTAAAGCAGTATGTTTAGTAGAAAAGGTCTAGGGGTGGATTCTAGGATTCATGAGTGATTTTTGGAAGGAAGGGGGACGTTTGGAAAGTCCTGGGGCATGTGCAGTTATCTCTTTATGCTACCTCGTGGGTTGCATGTGCAAATTTGGGGGGAGTTAGTATGAAACATGCAATGGAAATTTGGGCTGCAACATCAGCAAGCTTGTTCTGTGCACAGTACAGTTGGCCATATTGGTTTCAACCGAATTTCAGTCAGTTTTTAAAATTTCATAAATGGAAGAAGTTTCTGTGTTTCAACAAGTTGTTTCTTTTCTTATCTGCCATCCCTCAAACTCAAAAATTTCTGTCAGTTAGTTGGTTTCTTTAACTCTCCGGGGCATGGTTTCACCAATGCCTATCTTTCTTCTGAACTACAACCCATCAATCCAGCTCTTTACTGTCCATCTCTACCTTGACACTGTTGAACTAGTTTATATCCAAAACTGAACATCCCAAACTGACATTTTCATTCTTCCTAACTGTGGTAGCCAAGATGACACTTGTCTTGGTAGCCACTTCCTAACTGTGGTAGCCAAGATGACATCCCTGTCTCTTGGTATTTATGCCCTTGTGTACCCCTTCCTATATTAGATGGGGCTGATCAGTGTAACCAAAAGAACATTGTGGAAATGATGAAGCATGTCTTCTGAGGCTTGTTCATAAAGACATTGTGGCTTCTTTCTTGTTCTTTCTTGCAGCATTTGCTCTAGGGGAAGCCTGCAGCTATGTCATGAGGACCCTCAACAGCCCTGTGCAGAGGACTATGTGGCATGAAAGATACCTTCTGCCAACAACCAGCCCCAACTTGCCAAGCATGTGAACAAGCTAAACTGAAAGCAGATCTTCAGCCCCAATCAAGCCTTCAGATGACAGTAACCTCAGCCAATATACTGACTATAACCTCATAAAAGACCCTGAACCAGAACCCTCTAAGCCACTCTCAAACTCTACCCCACATAAACTGTGAAATAATATATGTTTATTGTTATTTTGGGCCACTAAGTTTAGGGGTAATTTGTTATGCAGCAATTATATAACCAATATTCCAACTAAAGCTGAAATGCCTCCTGCATTTCCTCCCTCAGTGGCCTACACTACA